>NW_018654717.1:1240651-1542232 GCF_000001405.40 Homo sapiens
CAGGATAAATGGCTAATACATATATGCAATGGAATATTATTCAGTGTTACATAATAATGAAATGCTGTCATTTGTGACAACATGGATGGACTTGGAGGGCATTACGTTATATGAAATAGGCCAACCACAGAATGACAATTACTATATGATTTCACTTGTATTTGAAATCTAAAATCGACAAACTCACAAAAGCAGAGAGTAGAATGGTGGTTGCCAGGTGCCGTGGTGCTGGGGAAATGGGTAGATGTGGTTAGAGCACAAAGTTTCAGATATACCACGTAAGTAAGTTCTGGAGGTCTCGTTTACAGCATAGTGCTTACAGCTAAGAATACTGTATTGCATACTTAAAATTTGCTAAAAGGGTAGATTTTGTATTCTTACCAATATTTCTTACCAAAAAAAATAATAATAAAGGGGGGGGACTTAGGGAGGTGAAGGATATGGTTATAATCTTGATGGTAGTGATGTGTTCATGGTGTATACTTATCCCCAAGCTCACTGAGATGTACACCTTAAATATGTACAGCTTTTTAAATGTCATCATAGCTCAACAAAGTCGGTGAAAAAAAAACAAGAGGGGTTGGTTAAAAACCTTAAAAGGAGGGGTAGATGTTCCCTTGTTTTTCTCTCTTGGCTTTTTTCCTTCCTGCTGCCTGGAATTCAAAAATGGTAAGTGGGAATTTAGCAGCCAAACTAGAGCCTCTTCTAAAGTATAGCAGAACAGAGAGCTGGAAGGGGCCTGCATCCCTAATGAATTTGGCAAGTATCTGTACTAGCCATGGTAGGTAGAACTATAGATTTAAGTGAGGGAGAAACAAACTTCTGCCTTGTTTAAGCCACTTTGTTCAGACATTAATTTTATATACATATAGAGAACATATGCTCCTTTATGCGTAGGAAAAATGTTTATGCCATATGGTCCATGATGGGTGTTCAACAATGTAGGATGAGGCTGATTATGATGACAATGGTGACAAATAGCATGAAATAATAAGCAATGAAAAAAAGGTGGCCTCATAGTTGTGTATGGTTACTTTATTTAAAGATTCTGCTGCTAATATCATTCAATGTATTTGTATGCTGGTGGGAGTTTTATTAGATGTAGACTAAGAAAGTTTACATTACTTAATGAAAAATACTTGACCAATTTTTTTTAAAAAAATAAAAATATCATGAGATGGAAGTAAGCATCTGTATTGCAAAGTAACTCTCCCAGTTGATTTTCTGCATAGTAATGATTGAGAATCCCCTGATCTAGATCCAACAGATCTCGACCTTTATAGGTGCTATCAAGGAAGCACCTAAGGAAGACAATTTTCCTGACTATATCGATACCTCCAGTTAGTAATAGATCTAGAGATCTAGAACCCAAATCCAGACCTCCTGCCTCCATGTGCGGTGGTCTTTCCCTGTTGTTTTGTTCCACTTGGTGAAGAGGATTTGAGAATAAATAGCCACATGATTCAACTCCCTCCTCAGTTCTGAGGAATATAGCCTTGTCCTAGCAAGCAAGAAGTTCATACAGCAGTGGATGAGACAAATATACATTCACTAATCTAACACACAAGGCAGTAAGTACTGTAACATAAACAAAGCACTTTGGAGTTTCAGACCAGGAGCAAGTGGGGTGATTAATTCTTAGCAGGGCTAGTAAAGTCTGGGAAGTGTTCACTAAAAAAATGTCTGGTCATTAATGAAACCAACTGATTTCGCAACACAGTCTAATTTATTGTAACAATATAAATGGTTGTTTGTTCATAAACTTTCATCTTTTGCCAAAATGTTTGTAGCTTATGTCCCCATTTAACAAGGTTTTCTGGCCAAAACTGTGCACCCACATCATTCTAATGAACTGGCTGTCCAATAAAAAAAAGGACTCTCAGTCTTCCCATAAAAGCAATTTTGCGTGCATAGAACACCTCTATCTGTGACTATCCCTAATGAGGTACAGAAAGACCCTTCTTATCCAAACAGAGACATTCCACTGGTGCTAGACAGCCACAGACGGAAGTTTTCTCTGCCTCCTGGAAATGAAGCCCAACTTTCTTCTTTCTTCAGCCGTGAGGATTGCTGTCCTCCTCTTCACCATTTTCTTCTTTATGAGCCAAGTTCTACCAGGTAACAAAATAAACTTGGTAAGAGTAGAGTGCCTAACACCTTACAGGGATTCAATACTCAAAGAGAAATCACCATCACCTGTGACCAGAAAAGGGGGTCTCATAGGAAATCTGGAAGACACATTGGCTGAGAGGCCTGCAGCCATCTAATTCGTTAATTCTCCATAGCAACTCAGTTAAATGAAGTCAATGGTGTTTCAAGTCTTTGAAACCCTCTTATTCCATCTCCATATTAGGCAAGTTTACCAGCAGTTACTAGACCTCAAAAATTAAAAATCAGGCATTATTCTACTAAATTTTTGTCTCCAAAGCTCCTCTAGTTTCTTTCGGCAACAGTTAGTTATCCTAAGAACTGGCATAAGAGCTATGCCAAAGGTGTGGTAGGCTCAGAAAGAAGGGATTGGTGGAAGAAGTCTCTTTGAAAATATTATTATAATCTAAGAAATCTTTAACCTATTGCTCCCCAATACTGTTGGTCCCTGGGGCTTGACTTTTCCCCTTAAGGCTCCATCTCCATCCCTGGCTTTCCCTCTTCCTTCTCAGCATCTAGTCTTGTAGAATTTAAACACAGGAACCAGGGATGACCCCACACCAGAGCATAGCCTACTGCATTCAGCATGCGAACATTAATCACAGGTATAAGGCCCCTTGCACAGACATGCTTTGGAGAAGTGTGTATAGGACTTCTTGGATTTGCCCAAGGTGGTTACCAGACACCCAAAGTAGATTCGAAAATTTTCTGGAACTCCTGAACATGTGTATTCAAGGATGAATAAGCAACTTATTGCCTCTATTTTTGCTGTTTTATAGAGAAAAAAAATAAGGCCCTGGAAACTGAAGTGCTTTTCCCAACAGTGGGGTAAATGTCAGAGTCAACAATTTGTTTTAATATCCTGGCTTTCCCTATACATCCCACCCTAGAGTTCTGTTGTGCTGTTCCTTTGTTTGACTTTCTAAAGCCTGAAAAAAGGTGATACCATATCCAATCATATTAACTCGGTAGCACACAACATCCGGGACTGACATAAGATTATTATCCCTGTGGCATTACTGAATTCCTGTCTCACTAGTACTTGTTAAATAGTCACCCTGGCTAAATACATGGGTTTGATTTTTTTTAATTAGTTAAAAATATTTTAAAATATGTGTCTTACATATATAACCCCAGAAAATCAATTCTTTTAATCAAGGTTTAAAAATTCCAAATTTGGATAAACAAATTTTTTTGTTTGTTTGTTTTCACTGTCACTCAATAAAAATAGAAGCAACTAATTGGATAGACCAGCACAGGCGGAAGCACGACTCACAGTCAAAAATGGGATGCAACAAGACTGGAGAAGAAAACACAGCATGGTGCTAAAGAATGCAGCCTAATGAAAGGTGGCATCTCCTCTGGATGTCCTTAGGTAGACATTGAAGCAGAACTGCCAACTTTTTGTAGAAGGCTAGAGAGGAGAGGAGGACACAGAGAGAGGGCAAGAGTGGAAAACAGAATGAGGCTCAGAATACCAAGCCTTAGTGCTCTCCCTATCATCTGCCTCACTCGATCACTGGGTAATCTTGGGCAAGTTTCTTCCTTTCCATCAGCTTATTTCCTCATCTTTAAGGTAAGTGACTAGACAAGACATCCTATGTTCATTGTAACTCTATCTTTTGTTCCTGAAGCAAATGGCTGGAAAAGACATAGTGTCCACAATATGCAATACACAAGGTTCACAAGCAAAGAACAAATGAAAACGAAAGATTTTTAAAATCCCTAATGTTATTTGAATTCTTGCAGATGAACTATGGTACATAATAATTTTAAAAAGCCTTTTGTAATTTCAATTTTTAAAAATAATTTCAACCTTTATTTTAGATTCAGGGAGTGCATGTGTGATTTGTTACATGGGTATATTGTGTGATATTGAGGTTTGGGGTATGAATAACTCTGTCACGCAGGTAGGGTGTACCCAAAGGGTACCTTTTCAGACTTTACTCCCTCTCCCTCCCCTCCTGGTAAGACCCAATCTCTCTTGTTCCCATTTTTATGTCCATGTGCACTCATTGCTCGGCTCCCACTTATAACTGAGAATATGTGGCATTTGGCTTCCTGTTCCTGAGCTAATTTGCTTAGAATAAAGTCCTCCAGCTGCATCCATGTTGCTGAAAAGGACACAATTTGGTCCTTTTTATGGATGCATAGTATTCCGTGACATATATGTACTACATTTTCTTTATTCAATCCACTGTTGATGAACACCTAGTTTGATTCCATACCTTCACTACTGTGAATACCACTGTGATGAACATACAAATTTAGGTCTTTTTACAAGACTGATTTACTTTCCTTTGGATATACACCCAGTAGTGAGATTAGTGGGTCAAATGGTAGTTCTGTATTAAGTTTCTTGAAAAGTGGTTTGAAAATATAATGCTCAATAAAATCAGGTATAGTAAAATAGTACACATGATTCAAAGACCTGTGAACCGAGAGTAACAACAAATTTCCACACAAACATATTGCAAGTTAGAAAATAGCTGTATTTTAATCAATTATTCCACAATCATTTACTGAATAGCTATTATAAGACAAGACTTTAATCAGATTCTGGAATATACATACAGAGGAGAATAAGATATGATTCCTGCCCTCAAGAAATTCATTATCAAGAATTGAGGTCAGATGGGAAAACGCCACCCATAGTAGAATGCAAGAAGTACTACCACAGAGGGATGTCCAAGAGTGATTTATCACATATCACAAGACAGGTCAGTGGTTCATCCTCTACACTATACTAATCTCTTATGACTCTTCCAGCTGCAAAGGGCCAATTTTAGCACAAGGCCAGTGGGCTTGGGTACTACTATACTTAGTAGCTGACTACTTACAGATAAAAGGAAGAGATGGAAAGCTCAGGGATCAAAAAACTCAGATTTCAGCTTGTTTCTACCAAGTGGTCAACATTTAGAATTACCATTGTCTTCAGAAAGGCATGACCTTTATTTCCCAATTTGCCTTATAGATATAAATATGATGTTGCATATATTTGGTCTTCACATCAATCCACTAACTGCTTTGTGACCATTGAAAAGTTAAATGGAATCTAATACATTTGGATTTCAGTTCAATTAAATAGGCATTTATTGAATGTTTATTAAAATTGCTGTACTGATTGAAAGCTATTCTAGAATTGGCTTTTGTGTTCCAGAATAGAAAAAAAAAAAAGGTGCTGGTTTTTATACTTCTCTTATTGCCAAGAAGTTGTCATGGAAAAGGTGCTCTGTGTTACATACAAAGACTGCTCAGAATTAAAACACTTTTCAAACTAAATACCTCAGTGTGTGTGGCCTATCCCCAGAGCAGTGATATTTTCGGACATAAATGAAATACTATTCAATGTTTTCAACAAGTATAGTTTTTAAGCCTTTAAGAAGACCTTGAATGTTTCACTCTTAATATATGCAATGGTTTCTAAAGAAAAATTGCAACCTCAAAGACCAGTGCCAGAGATATAAGTAGTGTGTGAAGTCTCAGGGGGTAACAAGTACTGGCACAGATATATTTGTGTATTAAACACATAGGAATATTGTTCCCTTCAACAGGAAAAATATCCTCTCTAACAATTAAAGTATATTATCTTTTAGGTCTAAATTTCAGTTCTACTTTTGAAAGATACATCTGTTATAATCTATCATATAGAGTGTGTGTGTGTGTGTGTGTGTGTGTGTGTGTGTGTGTGTGTGTGTGTAGGAGTAAAAAGAGATGAGCCAAAAGAGATTTTCTTCTCTTTCACTCCAGGAAAATCCATAGTACAAGACATTATATTTTTTTGAAAGGCTGAAATCTCCCATCAGTGTTGGAAGATAATAAGGAAGAAATAAACTGAAACTTGCATGCTCTAGAACTTGTAAAGGGGAGCGGGCTACTCACCTCCAGCCTTTTGTCATGTAGGTGCACCCAACATTCTCAGATTTTTCAAGAACACCAAAAAATCCAAATTTTTGTGTGACAGCAGATTTTTAAGTGTTTAAGAAATCAAATAACACACACACACACACAAATCCACACAAGATTATTTTCAGGCACTGCCCCCTACGTCCATGTAATTCAATACAAAGTAAAGACTGATGAATGCTTACAATAACCCTCTTCTGCTGTAGCCAGGGGCAAATTCAAGGAGATCTGTGAACGTCCAAATGGCTCCTGTCAGGACTTTTGCCTCGAAACAGAAATCCATGTAGGGAGATGTTTAAATAGCCGACCCTGCTGCCTGCCTCTGGGGCATCAACCAAGAATTGAGAGCACTACACCCAAAAAGGACTGAATCCTGTTGTTTTCTGGAGGTTTTAGGTTCTCTTTTTTCTCTCTCCCTCTCCCTATCTCCCTGTCTCCCGTTCCCTCTCTCCATTTTTCTCACAGGGATTTTTATTGAATCCTCAAAAAAGAATAAACCAAAACCAACCAGCACAAAACCTCTTTTAAAAGTTTATATTACTGGCTGGGTGCGGTGACTCATGCCTGTAATCCTAGCACTTTGGGAGGCCAAGCTGGGTGGATCGTGAGGTCAGGAGATCAAGACCATTCTGGCCAACATGGTGAAACCCTGTCTCTTTTAAAAATACAAAAATTTAGCCAGGCATGGTGGCGGGCACCTGTAATCCCAGCTACGCAGGAGGCTGAAGCAGGAGAATCGTTTGAACCCATGAGGTGGAGGCTGCAGTGAGCCGAGATCCCGACCCTGCACTCCAGCCTGGGTGACAGAGCAAGACACTGTCTCAAAAAAAAAATAAAGAAAGAAAGAAAGAAAGAAATAAGTTTATATGCCATGTTATGACTTGATTACTGTTTGCTTTCCAGTATCCTTCTATCCCATCTAGATGAGCTCTTAGTTGAAAATGACTTACAGGAGGGTGGGGGAACTTTCAACCATACCTATTGATTTGTCTAGCACTGTAACCCTTCACCCTGCATGTGGGAAGACCACTCCCATTTTTTACAGGGAAAATGCGCCATCCTATTCCATGCAGCCTTGCAGGGGTCTGTCTCTCCCTGATAAAGGTGCACCACATATGAAAATTGCACAATCACGTCAACCAGACTTCACCAGAAATCTAAATTATAAAAAGAGTTGCACTCAGAATAAAGGCAATTTCTTCAGCACCCTTTTCGGAGGCAAATCCCTGGGTCTGTACATGTATGCCTGGCCAAGATTCAGGGAATTCCTTCAGTTCCCAGCTTTCACTGGGCATAATCATTCAGCATTTTCTGCCATCTTTTAAAACACTGTATTGGCTTCCTATGGCTGCTATCACAAATTACAACAAACTTAGTGGCTTAAAGCAACACAAATGCATTATCTGACAGTTCTATAGGCTGCAGGTTTCAGATGGATCTCTGTGGGCCAACATCAAGGTGTTAGCAGGGCTGAGCTTTCTTCTGGAAGCTCTGCAGTTTTCTTCCTGCACCTTTATCCCAGCAATGACAGGCTACTCCTGGGAACCATAGCTTCCTTCATCCATTTTCAAAGCCAGCAATGGAGCATTGAGTCCTCACATTCCATCATTCTGAATTCATCTTCTCCCCACTCTTCCATTTTTTAGGACTCATGATTACGTTGGGCCCACCTGGATAATCTAAGATAATCTCCCTATTTTAAGGTCAGCTGATTAACAGCCTTAATTTCACATGAAACCTCAATTCCCCTTTGCCTTACAAGGTGGCACATTCACAGGACCCAGGAGTTAGGATGTGGATAGCTTTGGCAGGAGACAGAGGGGACATTATTCTGCCTACAACAGCCACTGAGTGCTTTTACCACCTGTCACAATTTTGCTCCATTTAGACACAATTTTAGTGGCTTTGTGTGAAGAGATTCTCATTCATAGAGTTTTCTTTTTTGTGTAAAGTAGTGAGGGGCCTCCCCTTGGTCATTGAAAGAGTATAGAATCAAGATATTTAAAAGTATATTAGCTGGATTTTATTTTTCACTATGACTGATTTGGCCAAGAAACAATGTTAAGTTATGTCACATGGACTACTCGAAATCTCAAAAAGTTCAAAACATTGAGTTCAAAATCTCAGAGATTGAGATATATTCCAACCAACTCAACCCTGTGGAAGTGCCAAGTTTTCCTCAGTGCCACTCTTGAAACCGCATCACCAACTGACCCTTTAATATATTTTTGCACTATATAACATTTATTTCTTAGAGTAAGTGCTTCCCTAGAAAAGAAGCAGTTTGGACACGTATATTAAAGCCGTCACATAGAATATTATCTTCTCATTGCTAGGAGGTGGCCTTCAAGATGGCTGACTAGAGGTACCAGGCACTGTGTCCTCCCAAAGAAAGACCAAAACAGCAAGTAGATAATCATACCTTGAAGAGGGCATGAAAGAGGGCACTAGAATTCAGCAGCAAAGTGACGAGGAATCTCTGAGGCATGGAAGGAAAGGAAAATGAAGCAGCAGCCCAGCCAGAATCAGCTTAAAGCCAGGACAGGCTCTGCAGTGTGGTGAAAAGGTAAAAAAGAGAGCCCCAGTGGTCCATATTCCCACTGTGGACACTGCAATCCTAGCCAAGGGACGGTCTCTCAGCCCTCGCAGGCCCTGAGACTACTATAGGGAGCTGCCTGGAGTGTATGTGATGGTCATTGTCCCAGAGAAGGAGTTGGCACTGGATCATCTGCACCTGCCCCCAGACACAGGCAGCTGTGGCACAATGCCAATTTGAGAGCCCAGCCCCCAAAAGACTACATCCTGCCCTGGGGCCCAACAGCCCCTGCATCTCCACATCTCTGGACCCTCAGTGACATTCCCTCATGTCCATCCAGAGGCCTGCAGAGTCACAATACCAGCTGAACTCACCAGTGTAGCTTGGTCCCCATCACTCTAGCCTACACAGTGTCCTACACTCCAGGGAACTGGCAGTGCCATTCACTAGAGAGGCTGCCCCCAGAACAAAGGGAGCTGAAGCAGGCACTCTTCACAAGTGGAGAGTCACCTTCCCAGGACCACTGACACTGACAGCAATCCTGACCCCCAGGAGCAGGGCCACTGCACACCTGCAGGCATCCTCAGGGGACCTGGGGACTCACCTGCCTGAGCACTATTCCAGGGCCAGAGCACAGGCCCATCCCACCCATTGCTGTCACTACCACTACCCAAGGTCGTTGTCCAGGACGCTGGGGATCAACCCACACTGCTGTCTGTCATTGGCACCTGTGCATGCCTTCTTGTGACCTAAGTATGAGCCCACCCAGCCTGGTGGTGCCTGTGCACATTGTCTGGGAGCCTGGGGATTAATCCACCATGCCTATCACCATCAAGTACCTGTGTGTCTCCTGAGAGCCTAAGGATAGGACTTCCCAGCCTGCCATCACGGCTGCCACCAATGCCCACATATTTGCACCAGGTGAAAGCCTGAGGACTACTCTGTCCATCATGTTGCCATGACTGTTGGTGTCTGCACATGCCATCTGGGGTCACAAGAGTTGACCTGCTATGACTACAGCACAGGGTCTTGAGGGCATGCCTATCTCCCTAGCTCACCACTGTCACTGCTGGCACTTGAGAAAGCCACCTGACTCACGCCTGTAATCCCAGCACTTTGGAAGGCTGAAGGGGGCAGATCACCTGAGGTCGGGAGTTCAAGACCAGCCTGACCAACATGGAGAAACTCCATCTCTACTAAAAAAAAAAAAACAAAAAAAAAAAAATACAAAATTAGCCGGGCATGGAGGTGCATGCCTGTAATCCCAGCTACTCGGGAGGCTGAGGCAGGAGAATTGCTTGAACCTGGGAGGCGGAGGTTGCAGTGAGCTGAGAACACGCCATTGCACACCAGCCTGGGCAACAGAGCAAAACTTCATCTCAAAAAAAAAAAAAAAAGCCACCTGAAGGCCCAAGGATGGCCTGCCTGAAACTTCAACCACTGGTGCCCACGTTCATCACCCACAAGTTCAAAGACCAATGCAACTGGTGCCCAAGGACCAAACTGCCTGGCCTGTCTTTCCCCAGCAAAATCTCACCACAGCCTCCATTAACAATGAAGGCTAAGACACTGAGGAGCTCACAGACATCAGTGATGCTGATTATAGCTGAAGAAATCATAGAAGTATAAACTACTGAACCAACTCAGAACTAAAGGCAAAGTGTCTTACTGATTCAACAGTATAGATACAGCTACAGAAGTCAGTCTTTTACTACCAAAGCCAATCTATAAAATTAGAAGAAGCAACTGTTTTACCAGATATTCAAATATCAATGTAAGGACATAAGAAACATTAAAGAGCAAGGAAACATAGCATCCCTGAAGGAAAACCAATAATTCTCCAGCAACAGATTTCAATCAAACAAATCCATAAAATGAGTGAAAAGGAATTTAACAGCCGAAATTGAATAATTCAATAAATAAAATAAATAATACAATTTGAGAACCTCAACAATAGACTAGATTAAGAAGATGAAAGAATTTCTAAACATAAAGATCGGTCTTCATATGCAGGATTAAATGGATTAAAGACTTAAGTGTGAAACACAAAACTATAAAAACCCTGGAAGACAACCTAGGCAATACCATTCAGGACATAGGCACGGGCGAAAATTTTATAACAATGACACCAAAAGCAATTGTGACAAAAGCAAAAATAGACGAATGGGATGTAATTAAACTAAGGAGCTTCTGGGCAGCAAAAGAAACTATTAACAGAGCAAAAAGACAACCTGCAGAATGGGAGAAAACTTTTGCAAGCTATGCATTCGACAAAGATCCAATATACAGCATCTACAAGGAACTTAAACAAATTTACAAAAAAAAAAAACCTTTAAAAATAGGCAAAAACATGATCAGACACTTCTCAAAAGAAGACATACATGCTGCCAACAATCATATGAAAAAAAAAGCTCAAGGGTCATGAGGGATTATGACAGACAGGAGGCAGAACTAGATGGCAGCTCTGGACAGAGCAGCATGCGGAGGCTTGCGTTGTGAATTTTAGCTCCAGATGGACTGCAAGAGCAGACCAGCAATCCTGACAGGACCCACAGACCCTCCGAAGGAAGCAGACTGCTCTTGCAGGACCTGGGAGACACCCCAAATACTTTAAGTCCCCTAACCACGGAAATGGGAAAGGGAGACCCTCGTCTCATGAACACACACCCCCACTGGAGAAGCTGAAAGTCTGTTTGTGGGAGAAGTTCGTGACTTTACCTGGAGCTGAGTCAAGTTAGAGAGCCGAGCTGAGCAACATACAGGAGTAGAGGAAGTAGCACAAAGGCACTGGAAGGCCGCTGGATCCCCAAGTAGCCCATTCCTGCCTGGCACGGCAGACATCCATCGGGGGGGTGGCCAGAGGAGTAGGGGGTAAAACTTCACAGGGAGAAGAACCTCTCTAGCTGAACTTTGTAAAAAATTGAATGGGGCTGGAAGCCTCCTGGCCAGAACTCGGGGGAGGGCGTGAATCAGGCTTGCAGACTTCACAGGCGGGGTAAGAACTGAAGCCCATTTCTTTGTCAGTCGGGAGGCAGAAAGCCTCAGGTAAGTTTTCAAGCCAGATTCGCCTTCGGCCTGGAAACAGACTCCGGGCTATCACAAGGGGCATTGTGGGAGTGAGACCAGCCTTTCAGTGTGCATGGAAGCTAGCTTTCCCCAACTTCCCTGACAACCTGCATGACTCAGCAGAGGCAGTCATAATCCTTCTAGGTACACAACTCCACTGACCTGGGAATCTCACCTCCATCCCCCACAGCAGCCAAAGCAAGACCCACCCAAGGAGAGTCTGAGCTCAGGCACGCCTAGCCCCACCCCCACCTGATGGTCCTTCCATATCCACCCTGGTAGCAGAAGACAAAGAACATATGATCTTTGGAGTTCTGGAGCCCTGCCCACCACTGGTCCCTCTCCACAGTGTCCGGAATTGGTGGGTTCTTGGTCTCGCTGAGTTTAAGAATGAAGCCGCAGACCCTCCTGGTGAGTGTTAACAATTCTTAAAGATGGTGTGTCCAGAGTTGCTTATTCCTCCCAGTGGGTTCATGGTCTGGCTGGCCTCAGAAGTGAAGTTGCAGACCTTCGCAGTGAGTGTTACAGCGCTTAAAGGCGGCACGAAACCAAAGAGTGAGCAGCAGCAAGCTATGTTGCAAAAAGCGAAAGAACAAACTTCCCACAGCATGGAAGGGGACCCAAGCCTGTTGAGCTGTGGGCTCCGGTGGCCTGCTTTTATTCCCTTGTCTGGCCCCCATCCATATCCTGCTGATTGGTCCATTTTACAGAGAGCTGATTGGTCCGTTTTGACAGAGTGCTGACTGGTGTATTTACAAACCTTTAGCTAGACAGAGTGCTGATTGGTGCATTTAAAATCCTTTAGCTGGACACAAAAGTTCTTCAAGTCCCCCACCAGATTAGCTAGACCCAGAGCGCTGATTGGTGCATTTACAAAGTTTTAGCTAGACACAGAGTGCTGATTGGTGCTTTTACAATCATTTAGCTAGACAGAAAAGTTCTCCAAGTCCCCAGCGGGCCCAGAAGCCCAGCCGGCTTCACCTCTTGATGGCACTCGCCACACAGGACTTTGCAGCACCCAGCCCTGGCACTCCAGCAGCCTAGAGAGAGCTCATCCCCCGGTCAAGCCCAGCAGGCACCGGCCAGCCGCCTCAAGTGTGGGGCCCACCGAGCCCGCGCCCACGCAGAACCCGCGCCAGCCCACAAGGGCCACACGCAGCCCCGGCTCCCACCACGGCCTCTCCCTCCACACCCTGCGAGCAGAGGGAGCCGGCTCTGGCCTTGACCAGCCCCAGAGAGGGACCCCCACAGTGCAGTGGCGGGCTGAAGGGCTCCTCGAGTGCAACCAGAGTGGACGCCGAGGCCAAGGAGGCACTGAGAGCAAGCGAGGGTTGCTAGCATGTTGTCATCTCTCAACACTACTACAGCGGATGCTTTCTGGAAAGCGCCATCTCCCAGCAGGAGGCCCATCAGCACAAAAAATAGAGCCTTAAACCACCAAAATGGTGGAAGCAGTTTGAAAAACAGGTTGGCAGTTTTCAAAGAATTAAAAATAGAGTTAGCATATAACCCAGCAATTCCACTCTTAGGTATATACTTAAGAAAAAAGTTTGTACGTAAGAGTTGAAAAATTCTCAGTGAATTCTTATAGCAGCATTATTCATAATAGTAAAAAAGCTGAAATAACCCAAATGCCCATCAGCTGATAAATATATAAACACATTGTGGTATATTTATATAATACAGTATTATTTATTGATAGAAGGAATGAAATAGCTATATATCCTACAACGTGGATGACCCCCATGGAGTCATCAGAACACCACCATCATTCTTCAGAGTTAGTAAAAACAATTCTAAAATTCATATGGAACCAAAAAAGAGCCCACATATCCAAAGCAAGACAAAGCAATAAGAACAAATCTGGAGGCATCACACTACCTGATTTCAAAGTATGCTATAAGATCATAGTCACCAAAACAGTGTGGTACCAGAAAAATATATACATCAAAATATGTGCACTTTAATAACATAGCATCAAATTTATAAAACAAAAATTGAGCAACCTACAAGGAAAAATGAAAAAATTCCAAACTATAGTGGGAGATTATAACTTATTTTTCTTAGTCATTCAAAGAAAAAGAAGACTTTAAACATCAATAATACATTGGATGTTAATAAAAATTTACTATTTTTGTGAAGGGAATAATTACAAATAACTTCATTCAACAACTACAGAATACAGTTTTAATAGGACATATTGAATATGCACAAATATTGACCATATAACGATTTGTTCTACATGCCAAATCTTAACAAAAGTCAAATAACTGACACTCTACAGAAAGTGTTCATTTATCACACTGATATGAAATTATAAGAAACTGTTCTAAAACCCAGTTAATTAAAGAAAAAAATCTTAGTGAAAAAATAAATATATTGAAATTAAAATATTACTTATTAAAACTTTTTGGATTCCATTGGTATAATATTAAAGAGGAAATTCAGGGTCATAATTGCTAATATTAGAAAATAATAATGGTGAGTCTTTGGCAATACCATCATGAACACTCCTGATCTCATCTGATCTCAGAAGAAAATAATAATAGAAAACAGAAACATCTCAGTCTTTGCAGTATGAATTACAAAGAAAATAAAATGCACAAATAAAAGTAACAGGAAAAAAGGAAGCATCTTTAAATATGCAAAACCATTAACGAAACTTGACAAAATTAACTCAAGATGAAACAGAAAATAAGAATGTTTTCCTGAATTAATAAAGCAACTAATTCTGTAATCAATAACCTTCCAAAAAAGAGGGCACTTAACTTATATTTTCAACCACATTTCAGAAATTTAAAAAATTGTAATTATATCCAACTCTTCTAAGAAAAAAAGAAAAAGGGACACTCCAAAACATCGTATTTATCAAAACAATTTTTATTAAGATAATATTCACACAATGAAATATTCACTATTTCAACCATTTTGATTTGTTTAATTTAATAGATGTTAGTATATTTACAATGTTGTGCAGCCATCACCACTATTTGATTCCAAAACCTTTCCATCACCCCAAAAAGAAACTCCTTCTCTAATCCCCAGAAACTAATAATTTGTTTTCTATCTTTATAGATTTGACTATTCTGGACAGTACATAACTGGAATTATAAAATATATACCCATTTGTGTCTGCCTTCCATAACTTAACATAATTTTTCAAGGTCATCCAAGTTGTAGGATATATAGCTATTTCATTCCTTCTATCAATAAATAATACTGTGTTATATAAATATACCACATTGTGTTTATATATTTATCAGCTGATGGGCATTTGGGTTATTTCAGGTTTTTTTACTATTATGAATAATGCTGCTATGAGAATTCATTGAGAATTTTTCAACTCTTAGGTAGAAACTATTTTCTTAAGTATATACCTAAGAGTAGAATTGCTGGGTTATATGGTGACTCTATTTTTAATTCTTTAAGAAATGCCAACCTGTTTTTCAAACTACCTCCACCATTTTATGTTTCCATCAGAAATGTATGAGAATCCAATTTCTCCACATTTTCCACAACACTTGTTATTTTCCATCTTTCTTGATGATAGTTATTCCACTCGATATCAAATGGTATCTCATTGTGGTTTTGATTTTCATTTCCCTTTCATGTGCTTATAGCCCACTTAAATATCTTTTTCAAAAAACTATTCAAATCTTTTGATCATTTCTTAGATCATTTGTGTTTTATTGTCGTTGTTGCTGCTGCTGATTTGTAGTAGTTCTTTATATATTCTGGATATTAATCCAATTTTCAAATATTTTTCTCATATTCATTGGGCTTTTTTCCCCTTCCTTGGCAGTATCCTTTAATGCACTCAAATTTTTAACTTAAATGAAGTCCAATTTAACTATTTTTTGTGGCTATGTTTTTGGTGTCATATTTAAGAAAGCATTGCCTAATCTAAGGTCACAAATATTTGTACCATTTTTTCCTAAACATTTACAATTTTAGTTATCACATTAAGGTCTTTGGTCAGTTTTGAATTAATTCTCATATATGGCATGAGGTAGACAAATTTTTCCTTTTACATGTGGATATCCAGTTGTCCCAGCACCATTTGTTGAAGACTATTCGTTCCTCATTAAATGGTCTTGGCACCCTTGTTGAAAATCAATTGCATGTAGATGAATGGGTTTATTTCTGAACTTTAAATTTGATTTTATCAGTCTATATGTCTATTCTTACACCATTATCACACTGTTCAGATTATTGTGACTTTGAGGTAAGTTTTGAAATTGAGAAATTTGAGTGCTCCCACTTTGTTCTTCTATTTCAAAATTGTTTTGGATATTTAATCGTCTTTTCATTTCTATATAAATTTTAGAATAATTTTTGTCAATTTCTGCAAAAAGACAGAATTTTGATAGGGGTTGCATTAAATCTGTAAATCAATTTGGGAAGTATTTTCAGTTAAATTATATTAAATCTTCCAACTCATGAGCATGAGAAATCTTTCCATTCACTTGGGTCTTCTTTTTCTTTCAAAAATATTTTGTAGACTCAGCGGACAAGTCTTACACTTGCTTCATTGCACTATTTCCTATGTATTTAATGTTTTATGCTATTGTAAGTATCATTGTTTTCTTCATTTAACTTCCAAGTTGTTCATTCCTATTACAGAAAAGAAATGCAGCTGATTTTTGCATATTGATCTTGTATCTTCAAACTTTGTTGAAATTGTTTATTAGCCCTAATAGATTTTTGTGAATTCTTTTGAGTATTCTACATGTAATATCATTTCATGGCTTAATGGAGATAATAATGCTTCTTCCTTTCCTCCGAATGCCTTTAGTTTCTTCTTAGCCTAATTGCCTTTGCTAGAACTTTCAGCACATTGTTGAACGGAAGTGTCAAGGACAGACATTCTTTTCTTGTTCCTGTTTTTAGGAGAAAACCTTTTAGTCTTTCACTATTAGGTATGATGTTAGCTACACTTTTCTTATCGATGCTCGTTATCAGGGTGAGAAAATTGTCTTGGATTTATGATTTCTTGAGTGTCATCATGAAAGGACACTAGATTTTGTCAAATAATTGTTTATGTCTTTTGAGACGCTTGTGGCTTTTTTTCCCTTTATTCTACTAATATTGATTGATTTTGCAGATTTAAAAAAACTTCTTTTTTTTCTTCTTTTTTTTTTTTTTTTGAGACAGGGTCTTGCTGTGTCACCCAGGCTGGAGGGCAGTGGTGCAATCTCACCTCACTGCAGCCTCTGCTTCTCGGGTTCAAGCGATTCTCTTGCCTCAGCCACCGGAGTAGCTGAAATTACAGTCGTGCGCCACCGCGCCCAGCTAAATTTGTATCTTTAGTGGAGATGGAGTATTGCCATGTTGGCCAGGCTGGTCTCGAACTCCTGGCCTCAAGTGACCTGCCTGCCTTAGCCTCCCAAAGTGCCGGGATTACCGGCTTGAGCCACCGCCCACAAGCCAATTCTTAAAATAAATTGCACTTGGTTGTGGTGTATAATCCTTCTAATGTATTGCTAGATTCCATTTTAAAGTATTTTGTTAAGAATTTTTGTATCTTTATTTATAAAGAATACTGGACTAGTTTTCATTTCTGGTAATGTCTTTGTCTTGCTTTCATGTCAGGGTAATACTGGTCACATAAAATTAGTTTGGAAATGTGTCATAATTTTTTAAAGACTGTAGGAAAGCTTAGCCTTCATTATTCTTTAAACGTGATTAAATTCACTAGTACAGCCATCTGGTCCTGGATTATATTTTTGGAAGTTTTTGATCACAGACTCACTACCGTCACTTGTTATATGTCTATCTGTATTTTTTATTTCTTCTTGACTCAGTTTTGGTAGTTTATTTGTAGAAATTGTCCATCATTTTATTTAGGGTATCTAATTTGTTGACATACAATTATTCATAGGGTTCGCTTATAATTTCTTTTATCTATGTAAGTTTGGTAGTAGTATCCCCACTCTTTTTTTTTTTTTTTTTTTTTTTTTTTTTTGAGACAGAGTCTCGCTTTGTTGCCCAGGCTGGAGTGCAGTGGCGCCATCTCCGCTCACTGCAAGCTCTGCCTCCTGGGTTCACGCCATTCTCCTGCATCAGCCTCCGAAGTAGCTGGGACTCCAGGCGCCCGCCACCACGCCCGGCTAATTTTTTGTATTTTTTTAGTAGAGACGGGGTTTCACCATGTTAACCAGGATGGTCTTGATCTCCTGATCTCGTGATCTGCCTGCCTCAGCCTCCCAAAGTGCTGGGATTACAGGCGTGATCCACCGCGCCTGGCCTTTATTTTTAATTTTAGTAATTTATGTATTCTTCCTTTTTTCCTTGGTCAGTATAGCAAAAGGTTAGTCAAGTTTCTCGATCTTTTCAAATAATCAACTTTTGGTTTTGTTGATTTCTCTACTGTTTTGTTATTCTCTATTTCACTTTGCTCTAATATTTATTATTTTATTTTTCCTGCTTGCTGTGAATTTAATTAGTTCTTCTTTTCCTGGGTTCTGAATTTCGAATGTTAGCTATCTATTTTATTCATTCTTTTTTAAGGTAAGGGTTTACATCTATAAATTTTTATCTGAGCTTAGCTTTTGCTGCATCCCTGATTGTATTTTCATTTTCGTTCTTCTCCAAGTATTTTTCAATTCCCTTTGTGATTTCTTCTTGGACACATTGGTTATGTAGGGGTATGGTGTTTAATTCTCACATATTTGTGAATTTTTCAGTTTTTTTTTCTGTTACTGATTTTTAGTTTCATCCCACAGTGATTGGAGAAAGTATTTTGTATGATTTTAATATTTTAAAATTTTCTGAGATTTATTTTATGGCCTAACGTGGACTATTCTGGAGACTGTTTTGTGTTTACTTAAGAAAAAAATATGTATTCACCTGTTGTTAATTGGAGTGTTGTATAGATGTCTGTTAGTCTACTGGTTTATAGTGTTGCTCAAGTTTTCCATTTTCTTACCGGTCTTCTATCTAGTTATTTTGTATTATTAAATTTAGAGTATCAGAATATCCATACTTTTTAGCTATTCCCTCTTCAGTTATATTAGCATATATGTATTTCAGGGCTCTCTTATTAGGTGCATACATATTTATAATTATTATATCTTATTAATGGATTGACCCTTTTAATATTATACAATATCCTTTTGGTTATAAAAATTTTGTCTTGAAGTCTATTTTGTCTGACATTAATATAGCTATTTCTGCTCTTTTTTGGTCACAATTTGCATGAAATATTATTTTCCATTCTTTTTTTTCAAACTACTTGTGTATTTTAATCTAAAATGAGCCTCATAGATAACATATAATTGGATCATGTTTTTAAATATATTCTCTCAATCTCTGCCTTTAATTGTAGAATTTAATTCATTTACATGGACTATAATTCCTAATAAGGAAGGATTTCTGCCATTTTTCTATTTGTTGTCTATATATCTTATATCTTTTTTGTTCTTCAATTCTTTCATTCCTCCATTATTGCCTTCCTTTGTATTAAATATTTCTAGTGTATCATTTTAATTATCTTGTTCTTGTACTACTTGTTTTTATTTTTTCATTTTACTTTAAGTTCTGGGATACAAGTGCAAAACGTGTAGGTTTGTTGCAAGGTTTACCTGTGCCCTGGTGGTTTGCTGCTCCTAGCAACCCGTCATTTAGGTTTTAAGCTCCACATGAATGAGCTGTTTATCCTAATGCTCTCCCTCCCCTCGCGCCCCCATCCCCTTACTGGCCCTGGTGTGTGTTGTTCCCCTTCCTGTGTCCATGTGTTCTCATTGTTCAACTCCCACATATGAGTGAGAACACGTGGTGTTAGTTTTTCTGTTCCTGTGTTAGTTTGCTGAGGATGATGGCTTCCAGCTTCATCCATGTCCCTGCAAAGGACATGTTCTCATTCCTTTTTATGGCTGCATAGTATTCCATGGTGTATATTTGCCACATTTTCTTTACCAGTCTATCACTGATAGTCATTTGGGTTGGTTACATGTCTTTCCTATTGTAAATAGTGCTGTAATAAACATACGTGTGCTTGTATCTTTACAGTAGAATGATTTATGATTCCTTTGGGTATATGCCCAGTAATGGGATTGCTGGGACAAATGGTATTTCTGGTTCTAGATCCTTGAAGAATCGCCACACTGTCTTCTACAATGGTTGATCTGATTTACATTCCCACCAACAGTGTAAAAGCATTCCTATTTCTCCAGAGCATCACCAGCATCTATTGCTTCTTGACTTTTTAATAATCACCATTCTGACTGGCATGAAATATTATCTCATTGTGGTTTTGATTTGCATTTCTTTAATAATCAGTGATGTTGAGCTTTTTTTTATGTTTGTTAGCCGCATAAATGTCTTCTTTTGAGAAGTGTCTGTTCATATTCTTTGCCAAATTTTTAAGGGGGTTGTTTTTTCTTGTAAATTTGTTTAAGCTCCTTGTAGATTCTGGATATTAGACCTTTGTCAGATGGGGAGATTTCAAAAATTTTCTCCCATTCTGTAGGTTTCCTCTTCACTCTGATGATAGTTTCTTTTGCTGTGCAGAAGCTCTTTAGCTTAATTAGATCCCATTTGTCAATTTTGACTTTTGTTACAAATGCTTTTGGCATTTTCGTCATGAAGTCTTTGCCCATGCCTATGTCCTGAATGGTATTGCCTAGGTTTTCTCCTAGAATCTTTATGGTTTTGGGTTTTACATTTAAGTCTTTAATGCATCTTGAGTTAAATTTTGTATAAGGTGTAAGGAAGGGGTCCACTTTTAATTTTCTGAATATGGCTAGCCATTTTTCCCATCACCATTTATTAAAGAGGGAATCACATCATCTGCAAACAGAGACAATTTGACTTCCTCTCTTCCTATTTGAATACTTTTATTTCTTTCTCTTGCCTGTTTGCCCTGGCCAGAAGTTCCAATACTATGTTGAATAGGAGCGGTGAGAGAGGGTATCCTTGTCTTGTGCTGGTTTTCTATCTCTGGTGGAATTCAGCTCTGAATCAGTCTGGTCCTGGACTTTTTTTGGGTGGTAGACTATTAATTACTGTCTCAATTTCACAGCTTCTTACTGGTCTATTCAGGGATTCACCTTCTTCCAGGTTTAGTCTTGAGAGGGTGTATATGTCCAGGAATTTATGCATTTCTTCTAGGTTTTCTAGTTTATTTGCATAGAGGTATTTATAGTATTCTCTAGTGATAGTTTGTATTTCTGTAGGGTCAGTGGTGATATCCCCTTTATCATTTTTATTGTGTCTATTTGATTCTCCTCTCTTTTCTTCTTTATTAGTCTAGCTAGTGGTCTATTTTGTTAATTTCTTCAAGAAATCAGCTTGTGGATTAATTGATTTCTTGAAGGGTTTTTTTGTATCTCTATCTCCTTCAGTTCTGCTCTGATCTTAGTTATTTCTTGCCTTCTGTTAGCTTTTGGATTTGTTTGTTGTTGCTCCTCTAGCTCTTCTAATTGTGATGTTAGGCTGTCATTTTTGAGATCTTTCTAGCTTTCTGATGTGGGCATTTAGTGCTATAAATTTCCCTCTTAACACTGCTTTAGCTGTGTCCCAGAGAGTCTGGTATGTGGTCTTTGTTCTCATTGGTTTCAAATAACTTCTTGATTTCTGCCTTAATTTCCTTATTTACCCAGGAGTCATTCAGGAGCAGGTTGTTCAATTTCCATGTAGTTGTGTGGTTTTGAGTGAGTTTCTTCATCCTGAGTTCTAATTTGATTGCACTCTGGTCTGAGAGACCGTTTGTTATATTTTCAGTTCTTTTGCATTTTCTGATGAGTGTTTTACTGCCAACTATGCAGTCGATTTTAGAATATGTGTCATGTGGCACTGAATAGAATATATATTCTGTTGATATGGGGTGGAGAGTTCTGTAGATGTTATTAAGTCCACTAGATCCAGAGCTGAGTTCAAGTCCTGCATATCTTTGTTAATTTTCTGTCTTGTTGATCTAATATTGACAGTGGGGTGTTAAAGTCTCCCATTATTATTTTGCGGGAGTCTAAGTCTCTTTGCAGGTGTCTAAGAATTTGTTTTATGAATCTAGGTGCTCCTGTATTGGGTGCATATATATTTAGGATAGTTAGCTCTTCTTGTTGAATTGATCCCTTTATCATTATGTAATACTCTTCTTTGTCTTTTTTTATCTTTGTTGGTTTAAACTCTGTTTTGTCAGGGACTAGAATTGCAACCCCTGCTTTTTTTGGCTGAGATTACAGGCATGGGCCACCATGCCCAGCTAATTTTGTATTTTTGGTAGACACGGGATTTCTCCATGTTGGTCAGGCTGCTCTCGAACTCCTGACCTCAGGTGATCCGCCCGCCTCGGCCTCCCAAAGTGCTGGGATTACAGGCGTGAGCAACCGGGCCCAACCTAAATCACATCTTTATACATCGTATGATCATCAACATAGGTTTATATTTATTGCTTTATGCGTTGACTTTCTTTTTATTGTATTTAAGATATACAATATTATGTTTGTGTATATATACATATATATATAGTGCAATGATTGCCATAATCAAGCAAATTAACATATCCGTCATCTCACATAGTTACTTTTTTGTGGTAAAAGTATCTAAAATCTGCTCTGGGCAAATTTCTGGAGTATGATACATTATTAACTACAGCTCTTGTGTTGTACATGAGATCTCTAGGCATATGTATTTTATATAGCTGAAACTTGTACCCTTTGGCTTTCATCTTCCATCTTCCACACATCTCCCACCTCTTTCTAACCATTCTATTTCTTAGGGCTTTTGTGGGGCTTTTTTGTTTAGGGTCTACCTATAAATGAGACAATGCAGTATTTTTCTTTCTGTGCCTGATTTATTATTAGCATAATGTCTTCTAGGTTCATCCATGTTGATGCAAATGAAAGAAACTTTTTTACAAAACTGAGTGATATTTTATTATGTATATAATTCCTTTATCCATCTGTTCATAAACACTTAGGTTTTTTCAATATCTTGGGTAATGTGAGTAATGCTGCAATGTGATGTGCAGTTGTTTTTAAATCAGAAGAAAAGAGGATATTGCTTATATATACTAAAGTTCCCTTTATTAAAGATACACACACACACACACACACACACACACACCAGCATTTTTACTCCTTTATGTGTTTGAAATTACTATATAATGTTCTTTCATTTCAGCCCAAATCACTCCTTGTAGAATTTTTTGTCATCCCACCGCATTCTTAAAAGAGGTCAGCTGTAAATTTACTGTGAATCACTAATAACTAATCTTCCCTTATCTGCAATTTTACTTTCCATGGCTTCAGTTACCTATGGTCAACTTTCACCTGAAAATATTAAATGGAAAATTTCAGAAATAAACAATTTTCAATTGCATGCCATTCGAGTAGCATGATGAAATCTCATGCTATCTGGCTTCATCCCACTTGGGATGTGAACCATTCCTTTGTCCAGAATATTCATCCTGTATATGCTACCGACCCATTAGTCAATTAGCACCTGTCCTGGTTATCAGATTGACTGTCACGCTATCACAGTCCTGTATTCAAGTAACCATAATTTTACTTAATAATGGCCCCAAAATGCAAGAGTACTCCCCCAATTTATATAATAAAATTATCAAATTTTAAATTTTGATTAAATGTTATTGTAAGTATGTATTAAAAAACATAATATGTGTATGATTCAATACTATCCATGGTTTCAGGCATTCACTAGGAGTTTTGAAATGTATCCCTCATGGATAAGAAGGAACTACTGTAAATGATAAGTCTCTTCTCTCCTACTGTTTTCAAGATTTACTCTTTGGCTTTGGATTTGAGCCATTTGGTTATGATATGTCTTCGGGTGGTTTCTTTCAGTTTATCCATCTAGAGTACATTGAGCTTATTGTACATGTAGGTTAAATTTTTTATAAAATTTGGTAAGCATTAGACAATTATATCTTCAAATATATTTTCTGTACCTTTCTCTCTCTCTTTTCTTTTTGGAACTTCCATTATGCATATGTTGATATCTTGATGGTGTTCCACAGGTCTATTAGGCTCCATTTATTATTCTTCATTCTTTTCTCTGAGATTTTCCCTAACTGGATAATCTCAATTGACCTATTTTCATGTTCACTAATTTTTTGTACCTCCTCAAATCTGCTGTTTAGCCCTCTAGAGTATTTTTCATTTCCATTATTTTATCTTTCAACTCCAGAATTTCTATTTGGTTTCTTTTTAAAAGAACATTATAAAATAAATAATTTTTTAAAAAAAAATTATTGATAGCCTCTATTTTGTGAGATATCATTCTCATGTTTTTTTTTTTAATTGTCTCTTGTTGATATTCTCTATTTTTGTGAGATATCATTCTCATGTTTCTCTTTAGTTCCTTAGGTGCCGTTTCCTTTAGCTCTTTGAACATATCTAAAATAGTTGATTTAAAGTCTGTTTCTATTAAAGCCAATGTCTGGATCTCCTCGGGATAGATTTCTTTAACTGCATGTTTTCTTTTCCATGTGCCATACTTTCTTGGGTTTTTTCTTTTTGCATGTCTCATACTTTTTTTGAATACCAGACATTTTAAACATGATAATGTGGCCACTCTAGAAATAAGATTCTCCGTCCTCCCCACGTTGTACTCCTCATTGTAGTTATTTGTTTGTTCAGTATCTTTTCTGAATAAACTTTTTGGTCTCTATTTTTTGTCACCTATGTCGATTAAAATATTTTTTCCATTAGCTTAGAGGTCAGCTAATAATTTGACAAAGATTTCCATATGTGTTTGGAACTTGCAGAGGGGCTTTGTGTATGTGTTGGGCCCTGCTTTCAACACTCAGCCACAGATTACAACTCTGCCTTGGCCTACACTTTCTGCTTGTGCAGGGAAGGTAGAAATTTCCCAGGTTTTTACTAAACATGCACACAGCCTTGACATACACAGTTTTGCAAATTCTCAGAAATATGTTGAAGCTTTTCAAAGCCCACATTCCCCAAAGCATCTCATTCCCAGGACTTCCTCTGAAGACTTTTGTTTAGTCTATTGTTTTCCCCAGTGTTCAGGCGGCAGTATTTATAATGTTTTTCTGTAAATGTTTTCTAATACCGCCCCACACCAAGTAGCAGCTTTACCACTGTGTGAGGTCCAGGTTAGGTGAAAAAACAAGGCTTCTGAGAATATATTCCAGGGAGTCAACAGGCAGACCAATTTTTCATGAATGAGGTCCATTCTGTTTCTTCTGGCATTGGTATTAAGAATCTGGGCATTATTTTCAAGCCTGCTGCTTCTCTGTGAAGAATGGAAACAGGGTAAGTTAAAAACCACAAATCGATGTTCTTACTGAGACCAGATATTTTGCTAGAATTAGCACTCCCTAGATTGCTGAAAACCTTAGGTTAGTTTTCAGAGTTCTAAAAAGCTTTATGTTGACAGTTGTTGCCAGTTTTATCGTATATTTTATAAAGAGATAAAATTTTGAACATTTTTATTCCACTTTTGCTGATGTCACTATACCACAACCTTCTTATTATACTCTTTGTACCGTATAACTTATTCATTATACTATTATTATTACTTATTAGTCACAACAATTCCCAATATTGAAAATGAAGGACAATAAAATTCTGGCAATTTTATTCAAGAGCATAATGGATTGAACCATGTAAAACTGACATTTTTGAAACTGAAAAAAAAGTTATAGCTACTGTGGCACAATGCATTTTTCAAAAATGCATTTCCAAAAATTGTAGTTTTCTAAAAATATATATTCCATCCCACAAGATCTTTTTATAATGTAACATTGATACTCCTCCACTGAGAGGTGAAGTCTGTGTTCCCTCTGCTTGATCTGAGGCAAACCTTTGTAACTGCCTTAACTAATAAATACAGTGCAGATGATGCTTTCTGACTTCTCAGGCTACATAATAAAAGGTTATATGACTTCTGTTTGTATCTCAGTCTTCAGAACCACTAGTTGAAAGACTGGAAATCTTAGCCAGAGCAATCAGGTAAGAGAAAGAAATAAAAGGCATCCAACTAGAAAGAGAGGAAGTCAAACTATCTCTCTTCGCAGATGTTATGACTCTATAATGAGAAAATTCCATAGTCTCTGCCCAAAGGCCATAGACCTGATACTCAGTAAAGTTGCAGGATGAAAAATCAATGTATAAAAAATCAATATCATTGCTATACACCAAGCTGTGAGCCACACCAAGAACAAAATTCCATTCATAATAGCTGGAAGAAAAAATAAAAATACCTAGGAATACAGCTAACCAGGAGGATGAAAGATCTCTAAATGAGAATTATAAAACAATGCTGAAAGAAATCAGGGATGACACAAACAAATGAAAAAACATTCTATGCTCATGGATAGGAAGAGTCAATATTCTTAAAATGGCCGTACTGCTCAAAGCAATTTACAGATTCAGCGCTGTTCCTATCAAACTATCAATGACATGTTTACAGAGTTAGAAAAAACTATTTTAACATTCATATGAGACCAAAAAAAAAAGAGTCTGATGAGTGAAAGTAATCCTAAGCAAAAAAGAACATCACTGGAGGCATCACATTACCTGACTTCAAACTATATGACGAAGCTGCAGAAACTAAAACAACATGGGACTGGTACAAAAGCAGACACATGGACCATTGCAACAGAATCTCTATTCCAGAGATAAAGATTGCTGTAACACAGAAATAAAGCTGCACACCTACAACCATCTGCTCTTTGACAAAGTTGACAAAAATAAACAATGGGGAAAAGACTCCCTGTTCAATAAATGGGGCGGAGATAGCTGGCTAGCCATATGTAGAAGGATGAAACTGAATGCCTACCTTTCACCATATACAAAAAACTAACTCAAGATGGATTAAAGATTTCAATATAAGACCTCAAACTATAAGAATTCTAGAAGAAAATCTAGGAAACATCATGTTCGACATTGGCCTTGGGAAATAATGCATGACTAAGTCCTCAAAAGCAACTGCAACAAAAACAAAAATTGACAAGTGGAGCTGAATTAACTAAAGAGTTTCTGCAGAGAAAAAAAAAAAAACTGTTAACAGAGTAAACAGCAAACTACAGAATGGGAGAAAATATTTGCAAACCATGCATCTGACAAAAGTCTAATATCCAGAATCTATAAGCAATTTAAATCAACAAGCAAAAACTAAAACCTTTATTTAAAAATTTGGAAAACATGGACACTTCTCAAAAGCAGACATACAGAGAGACACCCAACATATTTTTAAAATGCTCAGTATCACTAATAACTAGAGAAATGCAAATCAAAACCACAATAAGATCCCCTCTCACACCAGTCAGAATAGATATTATTAAAAGTCAAAAAATAACAGACCCTGGTGAGGCTTTGGAGAAAAGGGAATGCTTATACACTGCTAGTGGAAATATAAATTAGTTCAGCTATAGTGGAAAGTAGTCTGAAGATTTCTCAAAACACTTAAAATAAAAGCACTACTTGACACAGCAATCCCATTACTTAGTATATATCTAAAGGAATATCAATTATTCCACCATAAAGATACATGCATTTGTATGTTCATTGCAGCATTATTCACAATAGTAAAGACATGGAATCAACCTAGATGCCCATCAACAGCGGACTAGATAAAGAAAGTGTGGCATATATGCGCCATAGAATACTATGCAGCCATGAAAAGAAAAAATCATGTCCTTTGCAGCAGCACAGATGCAGCTGGAGGCCATTATTCTAACCAAATTAACACAGAAACGGACAGCCAAATACCATACATTCTTACTTAAAAGTGGAAGCTATTGGGAGGCTGAGGCAGGCAGATCACGAGGTCAGGAGATTGAGACCATCCTGGCTAACATGGTGAAACCCTGTCTCTACTAAAAATACAAAAACTTAGCTGTGCGTGGTGGCGCACACCTGTAGTCCCAGCTACTCAGGAGGCTGAGGCAGGAGAATCGCTTGGACCCCGGAGGTGGAGGTTGCAGTGAGCAGAGATCATGCCACTGCCCTCCAGCCTGGGCAACAGAGCAAGACTGTGTCTCAAACAAACAAACAAAAAAAGTGGAAGCTAAACACTGAATACACATGGACACAAAGAAGGGAACAACAGACACTAAGGCCTACCTGGGGTGGAGGGTGGGAGGAGGGTGAGGATTGAAAATCTACCTGTTGAGTAATACGCTGAATACCTGGGAAAATTATCTGTATACTAAACCCCCAGGACACACAATTTATCCGTGTAACAAACCTGCACACGAAACACTTGAATGAGTTACATATACAAGAATGAGGGCATAAAAAAAAAAAGGACTTTACTTAGCACCTTTGTCAAAATCATTAAGCATGGATAAATATATATGGTCTTACCCATATGCAGACCATTCATATGATGGTCGTATCCTTGACTCTCTATTATGTTCTGTTGAACTATATGTCTCTTCTTATTTCAGTATCACAGTGTCTTCGTTATTGTAGCTTTGTCTTGAAACAAGGTAGTCTAAATTCTCTGGCTTTGTTCTACTTTTCAAAAAATCTTTTGAATATTAGTCTTTTGGAACATTTATTCAAACCTAAAATTATTAAGGCATAAATTATTAATGAGGAAATAAATTAGCAAATGCTCATAAATACATCAACTAACATGAAAATGATCAAAAGTAGTCAAATAAAAGCTATATAAAAGTTATATATATATGCATATATAATTTTTCAGAAAAGACTGACACCATATATGAAAGTTTACAAATTTAAAAAAATATCAATTCAAGGAAATATGCCAATAAGGAATTGAACAGAAGGTAAATTTGTTTTGGGTAAGTTGGATGTTGGTCAATTGATTCTTGATTAAAGCATGCTCTTAAGCTTTCAATATTTTGTTGCTATGTGGTGGGTTAGGGTGAAAGGTTAGGGGAATCTCTTTAAGCTGTAGGCTCAGAGTCTTTTGAGAGGAGCTGCGCACTTTACTCTGTCTTTTATCTTTCAACTCTCCTGATCTTGCTTGTCTTGTTGTATGAGATAATTATACAAAGGATCAATAACGATGAAAAAATATTTGTTTTCAATGTGAATTAAATGTATCCACCTTTCGGATGTGATTAAGAACACCTCAGGGCCGGGCGCAGCGGCTCACGCCTTGTAATCCCAGCACTTTGGGAGGCCGAGGTGGGCGGATCACGAGGTCAGGAGATGGAGACCATCCTGGCTAACATGGTGAAACCCCGTCTCTACTAAAAACACAAAAAATTAGCCGGGCGTGGTGGTGGGCGCCTGTAGTTCCAGCTACTGGGGAGGCTGAGGTAGGAGAATGGCGTGAACCTGGGAGGCGGAGCTTGAGTGAGCCGAGATCGCGCCACGGCACTCCAGCCTGCAACCTGGGCGACAGAGCGAGACTCCGTCTCAAAAAAAAAAAAAAAGAACACCTCACACAAGTGACAGCCTTTCTTTTAAGGACTAACTTAGTTAAAAAAATAATAATAAATAAGAAAAACATAGCTTTTCATAAATGCACCTTAGACAATACTCTTGTCCCTCTTGCAAAAAAACAACTACAACAAAAACAAAAACAAAACAAAACAAAACAAAACAGTGTATTATGGAAATGTTTCCTTACAAGCCCTAGGACTTTTGCAGTAAGGATGTTCTGTACCCACATGGCTTTACTTCTTAGCCCCATTCAAAAAAGAAAATTAACTACAGGTATTAATTAACCTCTGGTGAAATTGAGAGCCATAGGAAAAGGAAAGGGTTAGCCATCTGGTTTCCTACAATTAGGTTAATTTGTCACAAAATTTAGAGACCTTCGAGTTTGGAAGTATTCCAACGGAAGCTGTTTTATGTCCTTTCTGTTAAGCTTCACTGAGCAAGAGGAACCTCAGGCCCCCAGAATTAAATAAAACCCCTGTGTTCCACCAGCCCTGATCACTCACCTCTCTATTGGGCACTCAACCATGAAACTCCATTCCCTTATTTCTGTTCTCCTCCTCTTTGTGACTTTAATACCAAAAGGTAAGATGGTGAATGATTGTAGAAGTCTATTGGGACGCCTAGACCGGAAGAGGTCTACTGAGATAATTATGCTGTGGCCATCCGAACTCAGACCCCAATTCACAGCCTTAGGAATTCAGAAATCCACCATGTTTCTCTTCTTTGGTACTAATGAGGCCACAATTGAGAAGCAGGACAAGGAGTTCTTTCAACAGAAAATGGGGGTTCAAGAGCTCGATAATTAGAAAATGGGGCCGAAATAGAGTTAGGGGTATAGAAGCTCTGATATGTGATTTAAAGGTTAGTAAATAAAGCAAACAGCTATCATCAAGGCTTCACTCTCCAAAAAGGAGAGTGAAGATGATAGTTCTTGATTCCAACTCGGTAGTGGATGGAAGTGATGTTGAGTCTATTGGTGAGGAATATTTGTGAAGGGTAGCAGTTAGGCAAATAAGACAGAGTTCAACAAGAAAATTTTGCATCAAATTATAAAAGACCAATAGAAATTTGGGAACAAGGGAATTGGGAAAAGAATAAACAGTGGCATGAAGCTTTAATGGCAAAATTTTAAGCATAAGACAAATAGTACAGAAAACCCTTCAAGACTCATAGTTGCATCCTTAGGGTCCACGATTCAGAAGTTTAAATATCGAAATGTAGAATCAAACTGAAAAGGGAATATAGAATCAAACATCTTCAGGGTGTTTCATCCAGATCCTGATAAGATATGATAAAATTATTATCTCCACTGTTAATAGTGGGATGTTCATAGCCCCCAAAATAAAGTGTGTGGTCAATGAGCAAAGATCTCTTCCTCCCTTTATCTCTGAGATTATTTTTTAAATAATTTCAACTTATATTGTAGATTCAGGGGGTACATGTGCATGTTTGTTATGTTGGTATATTTTGTGATGTGAGGTTTGGGGCATGATGGTAATCCCATCACTCATGTAGTGAGCATAGTACCAAATAGTTTTTCAATCCTTGTTTTCCTCCCTCCCCACTCTAGTAGTCTCCCATGTCCCATCTTTATGTCCATGAGTATCCAGTGTTTAGCTCCCACTTACAAGTGAGAACATGCAGTATTTGGTTTTCTATTTCTGCATTAATTTGCAGTCCTCCAGCTCATCCATGTTGCTACAAAGTATATGATTTTGTTCCTTTTTATGGCTTCATAGTATTCCATGGTCTATATGTACCACATTTTCTTTATCCAGTCCACCATTGATGAGCACCTGGGTTGATTCTTTGTCTTTACTATTGTGAGTAGTTCTGGGATGAACATAGGAGTGCAGGTATGTTTTGGGTAGAATTATTTGTTTTCTTTTGGACGATATACCCAGTAGGAATTGCTGGGTGGAATGGTAGCTCTGTTTTAAGTTCTTTGAGAAATCTTCAGACTGTTACATTCCCACCAACAGTGTATAAGCACTCCTTTTCTCCACAGCCTCATCTGCGTTTCTGTTATTTTTTAACTTTTTAATAATAGCCATTCTCACTGGTGTAAGATAGTTCTCATTGTGGTTTTGATTTGCATTGCTCTAGTGATTAGTGGTGTTGAGCTACTTTTCATGTTTGCTGGCTGCTTCTATTATCTTTTTTTGAGAAGAGTCTGTTCATGTTTTTCATGTCTTTTCCCCACTTTATTTATTTTTTGCTTGTTGATTTAAATTCCCTGTAGATTCCGGATATTAAATTTTTGTCAGATGCATAGTTAGCAGATATTTTCTCCCATTCTGTTGTTTTCTGTTTACCCTGTTAATAGTTTCTTTTTCTCTGCAGAAGCTCTTTAGTTTAATTCGGCTCTACTTGTCAACTTTTGTTTTTGTTGCAATTGCTTTTGAGTACTTAGTCATAAATTATTCCCCAAGGCCAATATCTACAATGGTGTTTCTTAGATTTTCTTCTAGGAGTCTTATAGTTTGAGGTCTTACATTTAAATATTTAATTCGTCATGAGTTAATTTTTTGTATATGGTGAAAGATAGGCATCCAGTTTTATTCTTCTGCTTGTGGCTGGCCAGCTATCCCAGCACCATTTATTGAACAGGGAGTCCTTTTCCCGTTGTTTATTTTTGTCAACTGTGTCAAAGAGCAGATGGTTATAAATGTGCAGCTTTATTTCTGGGTTCTCTATTCTGTTCAAGTGGTTCATGTGTCTGCTTTTGTACCAGTCCCATGCCATTTTAGTTACTGTGGCCTTATAGTATAATTTGGAGGCAAGTAGGATGATGCCTCCAGTGTTGCTCTTTTTGCTTAGGATTATTTTGGTTGTCTGAGTTCTTTTATGGTTTCATATGAGTTTTAGAATAGTTTTTTCTATTCTGTGAAAAATGTCATTGGTAGTTTGATAGGAATAGCACTGAATCTATAAATTGCTTTGGGCAGTATGGCCATTTTCACAATATTGGTTCTTGCAATCCACAGCAGGGAATATTTTTCTATTTGTGTTACCTGTGATTGCTTTCAGTAGTGATTTGTAGTGTCACTTGTAGAGATCTTTCACCTCCTTGGTTAAATGTATTCATGGGTATTTAATTTTTTGTGTGACTGTTGTAAATGGGATTGCATTCTTGACCTGGCTCTCGGGTTGAACATTGTTGGTGTATAGAAAGGCTACTGATCTTGTACATTGATGTTGCATCTTGAAACTTTACTAAAGTTGTCTATCAGGTCCAGGAGGCTTTCAAAGAATCTTTAGAGTTTCTTAAGTGTAGAATAATATCATCTATAAAATGAGGTAATTTGATTTCTTCTTTTCCTATTCGGATGCCTTTTATTTCAAAAGGCTGATTGCTCTGGCTCGTATTTCCAGTACTATGTTGATTAGGATGGTGAGAGGGGGCACTCTTGTTTTGTTCCAGTTCTGAGATTCTTTGAAGTGCAATCAAAGCTACTCAATTGTTTGATCTTTACCTAATCTGTGGACATGTTGAGATCCACCTGACATATGATTGCCTCCTTCTGAAGGAGCTTATGCAATTCTCATTTGGTTCTCAGCTTTGGTCAGAAGATACCATTGAGGTCAGATACACTTGTAGTGACATGTGATATGAAATTATATGATGGTAATAATTTCAAATTAAAATAAAATTTAGTGGCAGTTGTTTTTATTTTAGATAATAAAACCCATGTACAGATAAAGAATGTGATTTTCCTCCGATCACATAGGTAGTAGCAACATCGCAGCTAAAAGCAAATCTCTTTAATCTGGGTCAATGTTGTTTTTAATCAATCCATAGGTGGAGATATGCATACAAAAATGATAACTCTGATTTCTGCCAGACTTTTTTCTCAGAATCTTCTAATTATATATTGTGGAAACTAAGGAGGTTTTCTACTATATGTGACAACATGGATGAACCTGGAGGACATTATGCTAAATGAAATAAGCCAGTCACAGAAGACAAATAGTGCATGATTGCACTTATATGAGGTACCTAAAATAGTCAAACTCATGGAAACAGGTAGCAGAATGGTGCTTTCCAGGGACTGGGGAGGGAGGAGGAAATAGGGAGTTGCTATTTAATGAGTAAAAGTTTTCAGTTTTATTAGATGAATAAGCTCTAAATATCAACTGTACAATATTATATCTATAGCACTTAAAAATTTCTTAAGAATGTAGATCTCACTTTAAGTGTTACGACCACAATAAAATAAAAGATGAAGAACAAGAGGTTATTTGAGGTTGAAAGCTGAGTTAATCTCCCCACAAATACGACAAGAATCCTTCAGAGGCCTGCCTTTCAAGCCGTGACATCTTCCTGGAGGAATAGAAATATCAGCCCTTCTTTCTTCCTTCCAAATCAGCTATACCAGGAAGAAGGATTAAACAAAGGTCCTATAATTCTGCACAGGAGGGAATCACTTTTGAATAGCCAGGTTTCTTGTGATCAGAGGATATTAAAACCATACATAAAGGTCAAAATACCTTAGTTGTGCATATTGAGATGTTCTTGGACACATTATGAAGTGGGACCCAGAACACTCAGGTCGAAAAATAGGAATTTCAATATCAGTTTTGTATGGTCTCTTAGTACTGAATAGTTAATTGCTGAGCTGTCTATACAATTTAATAACACTGCACTCCAAAAATTCTGATCTTAATCTCTGCTGTGACTGTTGGGCATGTAGAATTTATCAGGTGTCTAGAAGCATTCTGATAATCTTAGAAATTTTATAACTCCTATATAACTTTTATGTCATAAAATTTCTATTAAGAAAAATTGAGTGGCTAGACCATGAAGAGTTTTGTTAAAGACATTTTTACACCAAAAAAATCCAATTAAGTAAAAAAAGTTATTGTTTTCATGAAAAAATTTCTCCAAAGAAACTACCTAATCTGAAATATTAGTTTATCAGCTTAATGTCTGATGAATATTAAGTTATAGCTACTTGAATATATGTTTTTATATATCCTTATATTTAATCCAAAAAGAATCCATGGTATCCTATAAAAAATTGGAATAGTTCATATAGATTTATATGTACACATAAACATACATATATATGCTGGGAATATGAGTCTAAAGAGGTTAGAATGGCATAAATCTTGGATTGCTGCATTAGCTCTCTGAGAATTAAGAAAATTATAGCATTCTTCTTACACTGACTGTGGAGAATAACATAATATCTAAATACACGACATTGGACAGGAGCAGAAGACAGCTTGAACTCACATTATGTAGAGAAAAGGAAACTGCACTTCTATTTTTTGATTGATAAAGTTCCAGGCAGATCCTGTTCCATTTAAATCCTCTACATCATCCAAAAAAAAAAAAAACTTAAAAGTTACTGACTCAATGAGTTCTAATGCTAAGAAAGTTATATCCTTTTAGAAAGTAGATGAATGCGCTATTAAGGGTATTTTCCAGTGTGATTCTAAGTCCTTCTCACTGCATCCACAGAAATTAATGTTGTGATATAATATGAAGTGAACATCTAAATTGTTTCTTTTTCCAAAGGCACTTATTAAATATGCATCCTTTCCTCAACTGCCGTGTGATATAACCATTATAACATATTAATGTCAAATAAATTCTAAAGTGTATTAGAGAGTGCCTCTCTTCTTTTGCTCTATATGTATATACTTCTGTCAGTAAGTCTGAAAATAAATGTGAATATCTGGGAAGAAATTTCCTTCCTCATGAATGAAGAATATGAATCTGAATCTGAATTAAGTAATTTAATCTTATCTTTTTGACTTAAACTAGTGCCCTCGGCATGACGATATGTCACAGTCATCGGTAAAAAGGGAGATTATAATTCTTTGGCTTCATGCTCAAAGCATACCTCCTTAAATTAAGCTTCCCATGTAGCAAGAAGCACATCACTGGTAGGATGAATTGTTCCACTCCTTTTGAGTGAAGCAAGGGACATCTCCCAAATAGAGGAATTGGCACTGTCTTAGGCTACATGCTGTGTCAGTAGGCTGAACTTTACCGTATAGTGGGTTATGCATCCTGCTGAGAGGAAGTTCACTCTTTTGGCTTCAGCTGAAGATTCACATTCCACCTCATTTTGCATGGGATGCCTCTAAGTTCACACACATAGGCCTCCTTGATACCATACTCTGCCTCTGACTATATCTTTCCCAGTACTAACACCCCCTGATTTTAGCTTCATTTAAAAAGTCTGACAGTGTTGCCAGATGTTAAATGTATGGATGAAGTTATCAGGGAAAAGACCAACAGCTAGCAACAGGTCTGCTATGCTTCTGAGCATGAAGCCTGTGTTCTGTGTAGACAATGCAGTTGAACCAGCACCTTCCACAACTGGCTGGGGAGACTTCAGGTCTCTCTCTGAAAGACAGCCACTTTCTCTTCCACAATAGTCTTGGAAAAAAGAGAGAATATTACAAGATATTGCCGAACTCCCCCATCATGATATTCTCTTGTGCACAGAAACCCTGAGTTTATGAACTGCTAGTCTGATAGTAGAGTATAATACCAGACTGCACTAGGTTGAAGCTTCTAACAAGAGTGGAAGACAATCTTGCATAGGTTATGAGCACTCAGTTCCAAAAGGTTGCATTGGTTTTTCTGGCTATGGATCTATTTCTACAGAGTAGAGAAACAATAATGATAGCCTAGTTTAAATACAAAACAATAACAAACAACAACAAAAAGATTGAGAGCTGAAACGGCCACCAAACTGTTACTCATCTACAGAAGCAAAGAAGCCAGAGGTAGTATATTAGAGGCCAGTAAAAACAAAATAAGATCCAGGTGTGTTAACAGGATGGTTCAGGAACTAATGTCTGTTAATGAACATCAGCAAAAGTGTTTTTCTTATATAACATCTGCAGTGATATACAGTAGGAAAAATAAACTATGGTTGTGCTGAGAAGGCAAGAGAAAGGATAGTAAGCATAGAGAAAACTACTGAATTAGAGCACACCCTTAGCCATATGCTTCTCAACAACCAGATGAATTAAGAGAACATGTGGATACACTTAAGGGAAAATACCTTTTAGCTCTGTGAGTAATTCTCTGCAGGTGTCTGTCTGTCTATCTATCTATCTATCTATCTATCTATCCATTCCTCCATCTATCTATGAGGTATTGAGCAACATAGGAAAGGTATTTCTTACATAGTTCTGAAATGAGGAAATTAGTTTAGATAAAATCTCAAGGATTGATAGGCTTTCTATGAAAGGAGATGAAGATATGCACATGAACCATTTGATAGGGATGATGTATGCGCAGATGGGTATTTGGAGGGACACATACTTCCTTTGAAACTGTTTCTTAGTGGTGGCATTGTTGGTGTTTGGTGCAAGACAATTCCTTAGGTGAAAAATTTAGCAATGCTGTGCTATCTGCTAAATACCAAAGACACCTTCCCTAGGCATGGTGGCAAGAACAAATGGTCCCACACATTTCAAAATGTACTGCAATAGGGGAGGACAATCCCTTTAAAGGATTTTAGAAATTGGCCTATTTCCTCCAAGGTGTATATAATCTACAATCTTAGCTCCCTTCCCATAAAAAGGCGCTGTTTCTGTCTGCGGGTCTGATCCTTTCATATAGACAATGTTTTCTTTCCTATCCCAAAGCCATTCTTCTGGGGGTTTATTGTTTTATGTATATTTTCAATAGTGAATTAATGATGTTCTTAAATTTCTTCCTGTGTAGGAAAGACTGGCGTTATTCCAGGACAAAAACAGTGTATTGCTTTGAAAGGGGTGTGCAGAGACAAACTATGCAGCACACTAGATGATACCATTGGTATATGTAATGAAGGAAAAAAATGTTGTAGAAGGTGGTGGATACTTGAGCCCTATCCAACTCCGGTTCCCAAAGGAAAATCTCCTTAGGTGGGAGCAAACGTTAAGCCCTTTGAACTCCAGAATGGATGGATAAATTTTGCAGACTCCTGCTTAACCCAATTCCTTATTCTTCCTTGACTGGAAATAAATGTTGTCCTAATCCCATGTGTACTGACTGCCTCCTGGAGCATTTCTTCTTGATGCACATGCAAGCCTCTTAAGAACTATAGGAATAAAATAAATAACAGAAGAATCTCATACCCTATAGGTACTTATAAAAAATGTTTCTAAGAAAAAAAAGATAAAAATATTAAATACGTAAAACAATAAGAATATGAAGTATCAGTAGGCAGTGTTTGATTATTTGAAGTGCAATGTCAGTCTGCTTCCTCATCCAGTTCTGAACAAATATCATTTTCATTACTAATAGAGACCTACTTAGATAATATGGGTTAAAGCCTGCTAATCATGTGACCTTGCTAACATTGCACCTGAGAATTAGGCGCATGACCATTCCAGTCATACCAGCACTTGAAGCAGATCTCCCCTCTGCTGCCCCCTGCCCCTAGAGAAGTAGAAAAGAAGACCCGCTTTCTACAAGTAGGCTCACTAGGAGGAGCTGTAGAGCTGAAGAGTGGCTAACTTATCATGCCTGGTTCTTTCCAAACTCTCCATCAGATAAGTCCATTTCCTGGGGCCAAGAAAATTAAAGGGCAGGGAGGATACCAGGAGTATGACATGGCATGAGTGTCACAAAGATGGAAAACATCTAGAATGAGGCCAAATTACCTCACAAACAAAATTCAAGGGTTTGTATTTTTTTAACCACAGAGCTTATGGTCAATGAATCAGGGGAGGATGGGTTATCTCCCTATGCAGAGGAGATGTCAGGAGTCTATTAAAATAACTCAAATCTCATCTTCATGGATCTGTTTCTTCAATACTAGTCATTAATTTTTCTATATCTTCTCAGAATCACTCATGAACGGCATGTTACTCTGAGATCAGATTCTAAGCTAATCTCAGAATAATACACTAATACAATTTTTACCATATACATTTTACACATAGCTGAAAATTTACATCCTCTCTTCTTTGCCATCTTAAGTTATGTGCCACTACATTATCCAGTGTAGCACATTAGAGATTCTTTGATAATTAAATGACATTAAGAGACTTTAAAAGTCATAAATACCCTCCTATATTAAAATGCTAAAAAAGAAAAACTTCCCACATTTGAATATAAACAAGTGTTCTTATAAAATTTCTAGGCATAAATTGAAGTTCAAAGATTGAATCTCTTCTATCTCTATGTTAAAGCCCAAAGACATTAGAATCCAAATGAATTACTGCCTGAAATTATCTTCCCCTTGTTAAGTCCAAATTTTTCTATTAAATGTAAGCAAAAAAAAAAAAAAAAAAAAAGTCATCACCCATTTCTTATTCTCCGTCTTAGTGAAATAGTGAAAGTTTCTTCAGAGACTTGACATTGAATTAATATAACATCTCAACTCACTGAAGCAAAAAGAACTTTTTTTTTTGAGACGGAGTCTCGCTCTGTCACCCAGGCTGGAGTGCAGTGGCGCGATCTCAGCTCATTGCAAGCTCCGCCTCCCGGATTCCCGCTATTCTCCAGCCTTAGCCTCCCAAGTAGTTGGGACTACAGGCGCCCGCCACCACGCCTGGCTAATTTTTTGTATTTTTAGTAGAGACGGGGTTTCACCGTGTTAGCCAGGATGGTCTCGATCTCCTGACCTCGTGATCTGCCCGCCTCGGCCTCCCAAAGTGCTGGGATTACAGGAGTGAGCCACCGTGCCTGGACAGAACGTTTTTTATATCTGGGCAAGAAGAAAAAACAGGTAAGGGAAATGAAAAACATAAGGAACAAACAGAATCAGTCCAGAAAGTCTAATTTCTTTTTTTTTTAAGTGAAAGTTTATTAAGAAAGTAAAGGAATAAAAGAATGGGTATTCCATAGGCAGAGGAGCCTCTAATTTCTAATTCTGATTGTTTTTCTTAATTTTCTTTCGGATAATACTCTCGATTTTACCATACAGTATTGGCCATTTACTAAAGAAGTTCAGTGACAGATAATACAATATAAAGTAGAGCAATGTGTCTGATCTCCAGCACTGTCAACATTTTGAGAAGAACAATTTTTTTTTTTTTTTTTTTTTTTGCTGTGGGGAGCTTTCCTGTATATTGTAGGATGTTTAGCAGCCTCTCTTGCCTCTAAAACATTTCTCCCACCTGTGACCAAAAAATAAATAACTAAACAAACAAACAAATAAAAATCTCTAACATTACTAAAAGTCCTCTGAGGGCAACATTGTCCCTAGTTGAAAACCACTATAGTAAAGAAATTATCAGTTAAAGTTGAAAGTAAATAGGAGTTAGAAAATTCAATCAAGTAGAGATCTTTGCCTGTAAACTTTCAAAAAGTAGGACAGCTTCACATATAAAATAATAGATAAGAAAAGTCTTCTGACAATCCAAAGATGAATTATATCTCTTTATCTGAAACATATAGATCTAGAGATAACCCCTTTGGTTTTTTTACTGCTGTGCTAGTTGTTATAAATACCTGACCATATCTTAACCATTGAGATTTTAGGGCAATATTGCTCTGATATCTCATCCAGAGGTGCAGAAATCCACGTTTTAGGGACATTTAAAAGATTTCTGGGAAAAGGCTGTCTGTGCCTTTTGATAATAAGACTGGGTGAATTACATGCAATCTGTTGGAGTACTTGACTATATCTTCTGGAGAAGGCCATGTTTACTGTATACAATGATATGATTCTGTGCATGGAACATATTATATTGATACTAATTTATGAGGGCATAGTTGATAAACCCCAAAGGAATTAATTTTACTGTTATATAAAGGCAAAGGCAGGCCGGACGCAGTGGCTCACACCTGTAATCCCAACACTTTGGGAGGCTGAGGTCAGGAGTTCAAGACCAGCCTGGCCAACATGGCAAAACCTCGTCTCTACTAAAAATACAAAAACTAGCCAGGCATGATGGTGGGTGCCCGTAATCCCAGCTACTAAAGAAGCTGAGGCAGGAGAACTGCTTGAACCCAGGAGGCAGAGGTTGCAGTGAGCCGAGATTGTGCCACTGCACTCGAGCCTGGGCGACAGAGCGAGACTCCTTCTCAAAAAAAAAAAAAAAAAAAAAAAAGACAAAGGCAATACTATATATCATGAAAGCTTGAGATACTCTCAGACCTTTGCCAGTTGTACATTTAGAAGTTCGTTTTGTTCTTTCTATCTTTCTGGAAAATTTGATATGATCGAGACAATAGAGTTTCTGAATAAATGGCAAGTCACAAAAATACTAGAAAATAGTCCAAGTAAAATGGATTTTATTATCACTAGAAAAAGATTGCAATTTCCATATTCAAAATACAAAATAAAATATTTTTGCTGCTGTAAGAACCATAGCTCATATAACCTTGAAAGGTTTTTATATTAGATGTAAAGTAGTATGACACCCAATGATACACTGTGGTGTAAAGAGCGATACTATGAACACTAAAGCAACTCTTAAATAACACAACAGTTTAATAAGAAAAAAAATGACTAATTACAATGACCCATCTACTTGAAAAAAAGAAGAAAAAGAAATCAAAGAACAAATGAAGCAGAACATCTGTAAGATGGCTAAGTAGAAGATCCCCAGCCTTCGTCCACCCACAGAACACTGATTTGGCAACCATCCATGGATAAAATATCTTTGTGGTAACATCAGGACCCAGTCAGGAGTTCATGACAACCCACTAGAGCCCAAGACCAAGGAAAACTGCTTTGAGAAGGCAGGCCCATGTCCCTGGGAGTAGGCTCACCAATCATAGACCTGGCCATGAACACAGAAACACCGCCATCTGCCTGTGGACCCTGCTGCAGCCCTGCTCACAGGTGGTTCCAGATGCAGCCTCAAAAGTCATTCCCAAAAGTCATTCAGGAGCAGGTTGTTTAATTTCCATGTAATTGTATGGTTTTTAGTGATTTTCCTAATATTTGTCTCTATTTTTATTGGGATGTAGTCAGAGAGTGTGGTTGGTATAATTTCGAGTTTTTTGAATTTGCTGATTATTGTTTTATGGCCAATCACATGGTTGATTTTAGAGTGTGTACCATGTGCACATGAGAAGAATGTGTATCCTGTTGTTGGGTGGACTGTTCTGTAGATGTCTTTTAGGTCCATTTGGTCAAGTGTTGAGTTAAGGCCTAAATATCTTTGTTAGTTTTCTCTCTCAATGATCTGTCGAATGCTGTCAGTGAGGTGTTGAAGTCTCCCACTACTACTGTGTGGTTATCTAAGTCTTTTTGTAGGTCCCTAATAACTTGTTTTATGAATTGCGCACACTTGTCTTGGGTGCATATATATTTAAGATAGCTAAGTCTTCTTGTTGAATTGAACCCTTTACCATTATGTAATGCCCTTCTTTGTCTATCTCTATCTTTGTTGGCTTAAAGTCTGTTTCGTCTGAAATTAGAATGGCAACCCCTGCTTTTTTGTTTCTCATTTGCTTGGCAGATCTTTCTTTGAGCCTTTACTTTGAACCTATGAGTGATGGGTCTCACATGCAATGACACTGAAGACAGCATACATTTGGGGCTTGCTTCTTTATCCAACTTGCCACTTTGTGCCTTTTAAGTAGGGCATTTAGTCCATTTATGTTCAAGGTTAATATTGCTATGTGTGGAGTTGATCTTGTTATTGTGTTGTTAGCTGGTTATTATGCAGACTTCATTGTGTGTTGCTCTATAGTGTCACTATCTATGTAATTAATTGTGTTTTGTGGTGGTTGGTACTCTTTCATTTCCATATTTAGTACTCCCTTAAGGACCTCTGGTAAGGCATGTCTGATGGTAACAAATTTCCTTAGCATTTGCTTTTCTGAAAACGATTTTATTTCTCCTTTACTTGTAAAGTTTAGTTTAGATGGATATAAAATTCTTGGTTGGGATTTCTTGTCTTTAAGAATGCTGAATGTAGGCCCACAATCTCTTCTGGCTTATAGAGTTTCAGCTTAACAGTCCACGGTTAGCCTGATGGGATTCCCTTTGTGGGTTTCCTGCTCCTTTTCTCTAGCTGCCTTTAATACTTTTTCTAGGGGATGGTTGTCTTGTGTAGTATCTTGCAGGCATTCTCTGCATTTCCTAAATTTGAATCAACCTCTCTAGTGAGGTTGGGGAAGTTTTTATGGAAGATATCCTCAAATATGTTTCCCAAGTTGTTTGCTTTCTCTCCTGCTCTTTCAGGGATGCCAGTGAGTCATATATCTGGTCGCTTTGCATAATTCCCTATTTCTCAGAGGTTTGTTCATTTTTTTGAATTCTTTTTTCTTTATTTTTGTCTAACTGAACGAGTCTTCAATCTCTGAGATTCTTCCCTCAGCATGGCCTATTTTTTTATTAGTATTATACTTTAAGTTCTAGGGTACATGTGCACAACGTGCAGGTTTGTTACATATGCACACATGTGCCATGCTGGTGTGCTGCACCCATTAACTCGTAATTTACACTAGGTATATCTCCTAATGCTATCCCTCCCCCCTCCCACTACCCCATGACAGGCCTCAGTGTGTGATGTTCCCCTTCCTGTGTCCAAGTGTTCTCATTGTTCGATTCTCACCTATGAGTGAGAACATGCGGTGTTTGGTTTTCTGTCCTTGGGATCGTTTGCTGAGAATGACGGTTTCCAGCTTCATCCATGTCCCTACAAACAACATGGAGTCATCCTTTTCTTATGGCTGCATACTATTCCGTGGTATATGTGTGCCACCTTTTCTTAATCCAGTCTATCACTGATGGGCATTTGGGTTGGTTCCAAGTCTTGCTATTGTGAATAGTGCTGCAATAAACATACGTGTGTATCAGCATGCCCTGTTTTGCTGTTAATACTTGTGATTGTATTATTAAATTCTCATAGACAGTTTTTCATATCTATCAGATCAGTTTTGTTCTTTCTTAAAAGGGCTATTTTGTCTTTCAACTCATATCATTTGATTAGATTCCTTAGATTCCTTGAATTTGGTTTCAACTTGCTCCTGAATCTCGATGATCTTCATTCCTATCTTGATTCTAAATTATATGTCTGTCATTTCAGCACAGTTAAGAACCATTGCTGAGGAACTACTGCAGTCCCTTGAAGGTGAGAAGACACTCTGGCTGTTTGAGTTGCCAGAGTTCTTGTGCTGCTTCTTTTTAATCTGTGTAGACTGATGTTTCTTTAATCTTTGGTGTTCTTGTCTGTATTAATCTGTTCCCAAGCTGATAATAAAGACATACCAGAGAATGGGTAATTTATAAGGAAAAAGGTTTAATTTGCTCACAATTCCACATTGTTAGGCTGGGGAGGCCTAACAATCATCGCAAATGAGGAGCAAAATTACGTCTTACGTGGTGTCAGGCAAGAGAGTTTGTGCAGGGGAATTCCCGTTTATAAAATCATCAGATCTCATGAGAGCTCACTCATGGGGGAACCACCCCCATGATTAAGTTATCTCCATCTGGTCCTGCCCTTGACACATGGGGATTTATTCAAGGTGACATTTGGGTGGGGACACAGAGCCAAACCGTATCACTGTCCTTTGGATGGGGTTTTCGCTCTTATATTCTTTGACATCTTTGACGGTTTGATTGTGGAATAAAGTGGGTTCCGTTGACTGGTGTCATTTCTGGGAAACTTCTGGGGGCCAAGGCTCAGCTCATTACTCCTGGGCTGTGTGCCCTAATCCTGGGAAGCTGGTACCAGGCTCCTGGCTTTTTTCTCTTGTCCCTTGAGGTGAGAAACCTGCTGCACTTGACATTGGACATTTTAAGTTCTAACTTAAGTTCTAACCGCAAAAGCACAGACAATGCATTCAAAAATAGACAAATTCGATTATAATCAAAATAAAAAGCTTATGCACACCAAAGAAAACAATTAAAGAGACAATCTGCAGATTGGGAGAAAATATTTGCAAGCCATACATCTGCTAAGGGGTTAACAGACAAAATTTATAAGGAACTCAACAACTCTACAGAAAGAAAACAAATAGTCCAATTAAAAAATGGGCACAGGAGGTGAATAGACATTTCTCAAAAGAAGACATACAAATGACCAATAAACTTGTGAAAAACTGTTCAACATCACTAATCATTAGGGAAATGGAAATTACAACCAGAATGAGATATCAGCTCACACCTGCTAGAATGGCTACTACCAAAAAGAGGAAATGTAACAGGTGTTGGAGAGTATGTGTAGAAAAGGGAACACTTGCACACTGTTGTAGGAATGTAAATTACTGTAGCCATTATGGAAAACTTATAAGTTTCTCAACAAAAATAAAAATAAAATTACCTATGACCTAGGAATCTCACGGCTGGGTATTTACTGAAAAGACTTGAAATTTGTATATTGAAGAGATGTCTGCATTTCCATGTTCATTGCAGCACTTTTTGCAATAGTCAAGTTTTGGAATCAACCTAAGTGTCTATCAACAGATAAATGGATAAAGAAAATATAGTATATATACAGAGTAGAATACTATTCTACCTTAAAGAAAAGAAACTTTTTTATTTGCAGCAACAAAGTTGGAATTGGAGAACTTTATGCTAAGTGAAATAAGTCTGGCACACAAAGACAAATATTACATGTTTCACTTATTTGTGGAATCTAAAACAGTCAAACTCAAATAAGCAGAGAGTAGAACAGTGGTTACCAGAGGCTGGGGATGGTAAAGGGATGAGGATATCATGGTCAAACAGTACAAAGCCTCAACTGGACAAGAGAATTAGGTTTCTTTAAGATATACTGCACAGCATGGTGAATATAGTAAAAAATGTATTATACATTTCGAAATTGCCAAGAGAATACATTTCAACCATTCTCAAGACAAAAAAATCATGATTTTAGGTGATTGGTGTGTTAATTACCATGATCTAACTTTTCCACATTGAATTCATAAATCATAACATCACTTTGTACCCAATAAATAAGACAACTATAATTTATCAATTTGTAATTAATAATTTGTTAATAAATAAGATAACAGGCAAAAGATTTGAGTACTCATTTCACCAAAGAAAATATGTGAATGGGCATAAACACATGAAAAGATTATCAGAATCATTAGTCATTAGTGAAATGCAAATTAAAACCACAATGAGAAGCCACTTAACACACACTAGAATAACTATAATAAAAATGACCAGTGATAAAATATGTCCGTGAAGATGTGGCTAAATGAGGTCCCTTTACAATGCTGATGGAAATATAAAATAGTATCACCGCTTTGGAAAATAGTTTGGCCTTTTCTTAAAACTGATAAATATGAATATATCATACAATTTAATGATGCTATTCTTAGGTTTCTATCCCATATATTAGTATATGGATAAACAAAATTTACTATATCTATATGGAGAAATACTATTTCATAATAAAAAAGAACAAATACTAATAGATGATACATCATGGATGAACTTCCACAACATTATGCTGCATGAAAAAAGCCAGTGGATGAGTTTATATATAACCCCCACACTCCCAGTCTTCAGATTAAAATGTAGCCCCAGCTGACAGCTTTTGTCTGCAACCTCAACACAGACCTTTAGCCAAAAGCACCCAGTTAAGCCTCATCCCACAGAAACTTGTGATAATCAGTTTGTTGTTTTAAGCCACTACATTTTGGAATACCTTGTTATGCAACAATAACTAATACACTACCCCTGTGAAATTTCTATATTGTGCTTATTCTCTTTCATAAAATGTGTTGAGTAACCACCTAGATCAATCTGTAATCTCAATTATTCTTAAGAAATAGGAATTATCACACTTTGGGAGGCCGAGGCGGGTGGATCACGAGATCAGGAGATCGAGACCATCCTGGCTAACAGGAGGAAACCCCCATCTCTAATAAAAAATACAAAAAAAAAAATTAGCCGGGAGTGGTGGCGGGCGCCTGTAGTCCCAGGTACTCAGGAGGCTGAGGCAGGAGAATGGCGTGAACCTGGGAGGCGGAGCTTGAAGTGGGTCGAGATCGCGCCACTGCACTCCAGCCTGGGCGACAGAGCAAGACTGCGTCTCAAAAAAACAAAAAAGGAAATAGGAATTATCTATTTCTTCAGGATTGTACATAAAATCTTGCTAGTTCTAGCTCCTTTTGGTTGTAAAAGGATAGAACATTGACCACTTGTAAGTTTGTTTTGGTCAATATTATTCATTCGTATTTCCCTAAAAGTGTCCATTTCATTCACATATTCAGCATAGAGGGTTTAAAGGATTCTATCATGATATCAAAACACTTCTCTATCTGTAGTTTATGTTCCTTTTCTTCCCTGTATTATTTTTTTTCTCTTTTTCTCATGATCTTTTCCTAAGACTCATCTAATATATGAATCTTCCCATAAACTATCTAGTGGTCTTACTAAATAACTCTACAATGTTTCTTGCTTTGTTTTGTTTCTTATTTATGTGTGATATTATTTTTGTTTATTGCCTCCTATTTTGTTTCAGGTTTTTCTTCTTTTTATTTTGTTATTTATTTCGATTCTTCAGTTGAGCAGTACGCTGCTTTCATACTTTCATGAATTCTAGTAAATATCTTGAAGATCATAAATGACGGTTTTTATACCACTTTGGCTGCATTCCACAGGATTTCATTTATAGTGCTTTCCGTTTTTTCAGATCTAATTATTTTGTATTCATTTTTATGAATGCCTTAGCCCAAGTGTTATGTAGGAATGTGTTGTGTTTTAATATCTCTGTGTATGAATTTGGGAATATACCTTATTGTTATTGATTTCTGATATTAGCAACTTGCTGCAGGGAGCATGGCCTTTTTGATATCAATTTTATTTTAGAATTTATTCAATAATCATGGAAAGCCTCTCTGAGACGGTGACACAGGAACAAAGCCTGAATGAAATAGGGGGACAGAGTTTCCATAGAAATATCTTAGAAAAGAATAATCCTTGCAATGGTAATAGTAAAAACAGAGGCTATGAGGTAGAAATGAGTTTGAAATGTTTATGGAAGAGCAAGAAAACTAATACGTGTGGAACAGAGTGAAAAGAGGGAACAGTAGCAGGAAAAAAAAGATCGGAGAAATATTCAGCAACCAAATCAGGTAGGACATTGTGTGCCATGTAAACAGACTGGATTTATTCTATGTAGTTTTTTTAAAAAAACGTAATTAGATTTTCAATAAGGAAATAATTTGATTTAATTTGCATTTTAGAAACATATCTCTGGTGTCTGAACATAAATTAGAGTATGCAAAGCTCTGGTAAAAACATAGAGACAAGTTAGAGGGCTCTCTCCAGAGACACCAGTGACTTGGACAATGATGCAATGACAGAGGAAGTGTACAAAGGTTGGATTTAAGACACATTTTAGGCCGGGCCCAGTAGCTCACACCCATAATCCCAGCACTTTTGGAGGCCAAGGCAGGCGGATCATCTGAGGACAGGAGTTAGAGAACAGCCTAACCAACATGGCAAAACCCCATCTCTACAAAAACAAATACAAAAATTAGCTGAGAATTTGTAGCTAGCACCTGTAATCCCAGTTACTCGGGAGGCTGAGACACAAGAATCGCTTGAACCTGGGAAGCAGACGTTGCAGTGAGCAGAGATCGCACCATTGCACTCCAGCCTGGGTGACAGAGTGAAACTCTGTCTCAAAAATTTTTAAAAATAAAAAATAAAAGAGATATTTTAAAGATAGAACTGGGCTTGCTAATGGGTTGTAATTATGAAATGAGAGAATCAAAGGTATGCTCAGAGTTTTTGTTCGTTTTTGTTTTTTAACCTAAACAACTAGGTACATGAGCCCATCATGGAGAGAGCAAGACTAAAGGCAGTGTGAGTATTAACAGAGAAAGTGGTATGAATCAAAAATTCATTTTGGAATTCTTGAGTTGCTTATTAGACATCCAAAAGTAGATGTCAAGTAAATAGTTGAATTTTTTTATTCTGAAGCTTATAGGGAACATCCAGGCTAGAGCTAATACTTCATTTACACAGAGAGAGACAGCAACCTTGTGCCAATATGCTTCTCATAGCTATGAAGAGAATCTATCTATAGACTTGATCAACTCAAGTGCAGAAAGAGAAAAAAAAACTGCCTCCTAACAACTGATGGAGTGATTTGACTCATTTCGTTTAACCTTATGTCTATCATTTATTTTTACCTTATTTTCTATCTTTTTCTCTTATTTTGCTAGTTGAACAAAGTTATTATCCATTTTTTACCTCTACTGGAAAATAGTCTATACTAAGATTCTCCTTTCAATTAACAACGTATTGAAGTAAAGGTTTCACTCGCTCCACATAAGTTAAGCACACCTGCAACTCCAGCAGCCACTTGGGTCAGGAGACCTAGCCAGAAATTGATTTGGAAATAGTAGAGAAGCCCCTTGGGACAATCTCATAACATTTACGTAGTGAAAGTAGAAACACAAAACAATGCCCAACAATGAAAGGATGATTACATAAATATATTATGAAATATCCATAAGATGGAATATTATGTAGAAAGTAAAAATTACTGTTTAGGAGTATTTGAAAATAGTATAGGAAAATATTTACATTAAAGTGATACTTATTAAATAAATAAAGCTATAGGTGAATCACAAGAATAAGAGAGAGAAATTTAATGGAAAGTAAATAAACTAAAATAGTAATGATCTTTTTAGTGATCAAGTAATGTGTTATATCTATTATCATGATAATCATTTTTTCCAATTTTACATGAAATAATCTTTAGAAATCAATAAAAATAAAATATACATATAGGATATAGGCATACCTGTGTTTGTCTACTCTTAGAGAAAAACTTGTGAGTGATTTAACAAAAGTGTATTCAATGGAAAGCTGAGGGAAAATGTCAGCCACGTGTGGGGTAAGAAGTGAATGAAAGATAACATGGAAAAGAAGCGTAGAGACTATGATTTTCCTGAGGGGGAAAGGGAGAAGCTAGGGCATTCATTAAAAAAACAAACTAAATACAGGAAAGACAATTTTGTGTTTTGTTTTTAACGTGGCAGGAACTTGAGGATATTGACAGACTTCAAGTAAGGAAAACAATAGATGTAGAAAGCGGGCAGCGCCGGGCACGCAGCTCACTGCTGTAATCCCAGCACTTTGGGAGGCAGAGGCAGGCAGACCACTTGAGGCCAAGAGTTCAAGACCAGCCTGGCCGACATGGTGAAACTTCATCTCTACCAAAAATACAAAAATTAGCTGGGTGTGGTGGCACACACCTGTAATCCCAGCTACACGGGAGGCTGGCAGGAGATTCACTTGAACCTGGAGGTGGAGGTTGCAGTGAGCTGAGATCACGCCTCTGCCCTCCAGCCTGGGCAACAGAGTGAGACTGTCTCAAATAAATAAGTAAATAAGAAAAAGAAAACCGGCATTAACAAGAAGAAAAACAGATAATTAATGCATCAAAGTCCCCAAAGCTGTCAGTACTGCTGAAGGCAGGGTAGGAAAGTAAACAGTGAATACTTGATTATAAATTGTTTATTGAAAATCTGGTGCCTTCCTGGAGAGTTATGTGCAATAAAGCGCTATAATTTCTAGGTCAAATTTAATTATCTAATGGTAAATTGCCTTCTTTCTTCTTCTACTGTGACAGCTTATATTTGATAGGTTGATAGCTATCTGATTTTCTTCTTGGTGTTCTTTTAAGGAAAGTCATTGGTCAGAGCACTTGATCTTTCTTTGCTGAAGCCCTCTGCAATCTAAGCCATCTTTCAATGCTCATCTGGTACCTACTGGTCCACCCCCAGCATGCAATGAACCTTCCTCTGACCCTTCTTTGATATCCCTGATTGCTAGCCCATGGATTACACAATGTTCTTGGGCTTCCTGGGCAGGATTCCAAGCCTGCCTCCTGACTCCAAATCTCTTAGGTTGGTGCAAACGTAATTGGGATTTTTGCCATTGAAAGAAATGGCAAAAACCACAATTACGTTTGCACCAACCTACATCAGGCTGGCAAACAAATGTTCATAGAAAATATCAAGCAGTGAAAATTATGCCCTTAGTGTTCCATAAAGGATTTCAGTTATTTGTTCTCATAAATTGTATTGCTTTGCAGTGTAAACTGTACTTCCAAAGCTTTTCCTCGTGATCAAGAAAGAAATAATTCTCAGAGAGGTGAGAAAAATCAGTAAATTCTGGATACTTGATCAGAGATACTAATGATCCTAGGCCATTCTGGCTTCAGTAAATGGAACAGTCAGCAATAACCAGCACAATGACCCTAAGATCCCCCTTTGAGTTATCTAGGGTGCTGGCAGAGGCTTGTGCCCAGGCACCGCTGCCCCAGCAACTCAGGAGGAAGGACCTGAATGGAGGTTTAGGAAAAAACATCCCCAGAGCTTTCATGCCCCTCACTGGCCCTCCTTAGGCTAAGACTTGGGAAGTTTGCCTCTTCCAAGACCTCCCCATCCCTTACTCAAGATTTCACTTTCAAAGTCTCTAAAGGCAGGAAGGACCTGCTGAAATAATATAATCAGGTGTTCCATTCACTAACACTCTGAAGTATTATAGAAGTAGCACCAAGAAGAAGCCATGGCAGAAAGAGAACTTCCTTCTTGGTACTGAGAAAAGTTACTTCACCTGTAGTGAGACCATCTAGAAAGGAATGAAGGTCAAGTAAGACCAGGAATGTGCATGTACTTTACAGTTTCTGAAGCTGATATTCTGGCCAGATGTGGTGGGTCACCCCTGTAATCCCAGCACTTCAGGAGGCCGAGGCGGGTGGATCACATGAGACCAGGAGTTCGAGACCAGCCTGGCCAACATGGCAAGACCCTATTGCTACTAAAGATACAAAACTTAGCCAGGCATGGAGACGTGTGCCTGTAATCCCAGCTACTCGGGAGGCTGAGGCAGGAGAATCCCTTGAACCCGGGAGGCAGAGGTTGCAGTGAGTCAAGATCGCACCACTGCGCTCCAGCCTGGGCAACAGTGTGAGACCCTGTCTCTAAATAAAAAATAAATAAATAAATAAAGTTTACTCATACCCTGTTTAAGCATTCCCTACGGCACCCAAAGTATTCTGGTGATTATGTTCATTTCCTTAGTGTCTAAGAAGTAATTTGTACCTCTCTGTCAGAAATATGCTTGTGTTGCATTGCTATTTATTTGTATATATTATTTGCTTTCCGAAGTGTATTATAGGTTCCCTAAGGCCCACTCTCCTTTCTTTAATTCCTCTCATATTACATGTAACTGATGTGCAAACAATTTGTGTTAACTTAGATTTCAATATAAAAATTAGTTTATCCCATTCGATCGATTGGACAGAAAGATAATCAAATAAAAGTTTTTCTGTATCTCACTAGTCTGTTTATAATTTCATATTTAATTCCATTGCTTAAGCATGCTAACACACGGTGCCAAAATAGTAATAAATAGGCAGGCTGTTGTATTACGTGCTACTTCCTATTATCAGAAAAATAAAATGAATGCTTTTCCTCTATAACTGCTTCCTTAACTTTTACAGTTCCTCCAGAATGCATAAGACAATGCTGATATTTCAAGTCTCTCTCCTGCCTTTGACATGGCTGTGCTTTCTACTACCTTTGCACACACCCTCTTTACCTTTGATAAATGTACTTTAAATGACCGATAGTCGTGATGATTGCATGCTGTCTCCTGATATAAAATCTCATTGAAACACAGAAATGTTCTTGTTCCTGAAGGGTTCAATAATCACTCAGCAACTCACCTCTTCAGAGGAGTGAATATACACAGAAGTCCTCTTCATCTCAGCTACTGATTCTCTCTAACCTGCTTTACCTATTCAAACATGAGGGTCTTGTTTTTCGTCTTTGGAGTCCTTTCCTTGATGTCCACAGTTCCTCCAAGAAAGACAGAAACTTTTTTATTCCAAAGTTCTAAAACTATAAGTAAAAGAAAATGCAAGGTCTTTCAAGAGTCTGAAAATAAATTAGGCATGGGCAGATTTTACTGTACCATGAAGGCTGCTCAGAGGATTGAAGAGTTAATACTAAAGAAATAAATAAGGTGGTTCACTGCAGTGATTTAACCTATGATAAACTCACTCGAGGCCGGGCACAGCGTCTCATGACTATAATCCCAGCATTTGGGGAGTTTGAGGTGGGTGAGCTCAGGAGTTCTAGACCAGCCCGGTGGGGGCAACAGGGTGAAACCCCATCTCTACAAAAAAAAAAAAAAAAATCATACAAAATTTAGTCAGGTATAGTGGTGCGTGCCTGTGGTTCTGGCTACTCAGGAAGCTTAGGCAGGAGGATCGCTTGAGCCTGAGATGTCAAGGCTGCATTCAGCTTAGGTCATGCCACTGCACACCAGCCTGGGCAACAGAGTGAGACCCTGTCTCAAAAAATAATAATAATAATAAATAAACTTACTTGAGAGTTGTGTTTGATCAAAAGGTGGTGAGAGGATGCACACAGAACACAGGAAATTTAAAGAATTGGAAAAATGAAAAGCGAATGATGACTAGAAGAAGGGCTAGAGGTGAAGAGGTGGATACTCCACCATAATCCTTGGTTCACAGGATAAATTCACCACTGATCCAGGCAAGGACCTAGCCTCTGTGTTCCTTTAAAGTTGAATAAAACTCATATGATATCATTTAATGTATATGGAAATTACTTTTTCTACGGTGAGAGTTAAGATTCTACCTTAATTTTTAACCACATAACTAGTCAATTATATATAAGCATATTTATTAATCAATATGACTTTCCCAAATTAATTTTAAAATTCATCAATACCCCATAATAAAAACATATTAAACTGTGGTTTATACCTGAGATTTAGATTACTGGTTGACTTATTGATCATTTCTGAAGCACATTTTAATACTTCACGATTCAAGATTCCCTCATTTATATAATATTCATGATTCAAGATTCCCTTATTTATATAATTGTAAGTAATTATGCCTTTCCTCCATGAATGTTAGTGGGTTTTTTATATTTTTATTGAGATACAATTTACCATAAAATTCATTGCCTTAAAGTGTTCTATTCAGTGGTTATCAGTGTATTCTTAAAATTGTGCACCCCTCCCCATTATCTAATTCCAGAATATGTTTATAACCGCAAGAAGAAATCTCTCCTCCTCCCAGTCCCTAGCAACCACTGATCTAATTTGTGTCTCTATGTATATTCCTATTCTGGACATTTACTATGAACAGAATAATAAATATGTGATCCTTCATGTCTGCCTTCTTTCATTTAGCATAATGTTTTCAAGATTCATCCATGTTGTGGCATAGATTCGTACTTCATTCCTTCATTCAGTGGTCATCACTGTATCCCACTTTAAGAATCCACTGATACTCACTAAATGGAACACTCTCAAGGAATGAATTTTATATTAAATTCTATCTCAATAAAAATGTAAAACACCAACATTCACGGAGGAAAAGTATCATTCTGTATAATTATATAAATGATGGAATCTTGAAATAAATTTTAAAATGTGCTCTGAGGTAATATGCACCTCAGAAAAGATAAATAAGTCAATTGATAATCTAAATCTCAGGTATAAACCACAGTTTAATATGTATTTATTATAAAGTATTGGTGGATTTTAAAATTAATTTGGGAAAGTTAGATTGATCATTGATGTTGGTAAAAAAAATTTCATCGTATGGATTATTTAGCATATGGTTGTTTATAACAGACTCTAATGATCCATTGTGTTTCTTTTATATCAGTTGTAATGTCTCCTGTTTTATTTCTGATTTTATTTATTTGGCATTCTCTCTTTTGTTCTTGGTTAGTCTAGCTAGCAGTTTATAAAGTCTGTTTATCTCTTCCAAAAGTCAACTTTTTGTTTCATTAACTCTTTGCATTTTTTAAATCTCGAATTCACTCAGTCCTGCTTTGATTTTTATTATTTCTTTCCTTCTCCTAAGTTTGGATTTCATTTTATCTTGTTTTTCTTGTTCCTTGAGGTGCATAGTAGCTTGTTCATAATCTTACTATGTTCTTGCAGTAGGCATTTATTGCTATAAAATTCTCTCTTAGCACTGTCTTTGTTGTATTCCATAGGTTTTGGTATGTTGTGTTTCCATTTGCATTTATTTCAAGAACATTTGTTATTTTCTTCTTAGTTTTTTCATTGACTCAATGGTCGTTCAGAAGCATGTTGTTTAATTTCCATGTTATCTGTATAGTTTCCAAAGTTCTTCCTAGTATTCATTTCTAGTTCTATTCTATTTTTGTCTAGAATATACTTGATATAATGTTGATTTTTCAAAATTTGTTGAAACTTTTTTGTGTCTTAACATGTGGTCTAGCCTGGAGAATGTTCTATGTGATGAGGAGAAGAATGTGTACTCCACTGCTATTGGATGAAATGTTCTGTAAATGTCTGTTAAGTCTATTTGGTCTGCGGTACAGATTAAATTCGATGATTATTTGTTAGCTTTCTACCTAGAATGCTGAATGTTCAATGCTGAAAGTGGGGTATTGAAGCCCTCAGTCATCATGATGTTGAGGTGTATCTCTCTCTTTACCTCTAATGACATTTTTAATATATCTAAGTATTCCACTACTGGGTACATATATATACATATTTGGAATTTTTATATCCTCTTGCTGAATTGGCCCTTTTATCATTATATGATGGCCTTCTTTGTCTCTTTTTATGTTTTTTCGCTTAAAGTCAATTTTGTCCAATATAAATATAGATGTATTAGGCCATTCTTGCATTGCTATAGGGTTATCATAAGAAAGTACCACAGAATGGGTGCCTTAAATAACAAAAGTTCATTTTCTCACAGTTGTGGATGTTATAAGTCTAAGATCAAGATGTCAGCACATTTGGTTTCTCCTGAGGCCTGTCTTGGCTTGCAGCTGGTTGCCTTCTTGCTATGTCCTCTTATGGCATTTTTTCTGTGCACATGCATTCCTGGTGTCTCTTCCTCTTCTAATAAGGACATCAGCCATATTGCACGAGGGCCATACCCTGGGAGTCTCATTTTAGCTTTATCACTCCTTAAAAAAAAAAAACAAACTTATCTTCAAATATGATTACATTCTGAGATACTAAAGATTGGGACTTCAACCTACAGATTTTGGAGGAAAACTTGTTAGACCATAACGATGAATTCATCAATAGACCGATGTGATCAAGGAAAGAATCAGTGAGCTTAAAGAAGTTTAAATAGCAACTTCCAAACTTAAAAGCAAAGAAAAAAGAATTAAAAAGAACAGAATATTTGATAAGTGTAGGCCAATTACAAAAAGGAACAATATATGTGTAATGAAGTATCAGGAGGAGGAGAAAGAAAGGAATAGAAGAAATATTTGAAGAAATTCTGACTGAGATTTTCCCAAAATTGAAAATAAACAAAATATACATATCTAGGAAGCTGAGAGAATACCACGCAAGATAAATACAAAAAAATTTAAACATAGGCATATTATATTGAAGCTGCCAAAAATCAAAGACAAAAAAAAAATCTTAAAAGAAGCCAGGAGGGAAAAAACCTTTATCTATGGACAACCAAGGATAAGAATTACATCAGACTTCTCTTAAACCACATAAGCAAAAAGAGAGGAAAGTGAAATATTTAAAATGTTAAAAAAGAAAAAAAGAACACTATCTTAAAACTCTCTACTTAGCAAAATTATCCTTTTTTTTTTTTTGACAGAGAGTCTCACTTTGTCACCCAGGCTGGAGTGCAGTGGCAGTGACCTTGGCTCACTGCAGCCTCCGCCTCCTGGGTCCAAGCAATCTCGTGCCTCAGCCAGCCACCACCACGCCTGGCTAATTTTGTATTTTTAGCAGAGACTGGGTTTCGCTAGGTTGGCCAGGCTGGTCTCGAACTCCTGACCTCAGGTGATCCGCCAGCCTTGGCCTCCCAAAGTGCCAGGATTAAAGGTGCAGGCCACCGCGCCCAGCGTACCCTTTAAATTAAGATAAAAATACATAATTTTCTTAGGTAAACAAAAATAGAGTTTGTCACCAGTAGTCCTACCTTACAATAAAAGTAAAAAGAAATTATTCACTCATACTCAATGGTAAAAAACTAAAAGCTTTTCTTCTAAGATCAGGAACAAGGCTAAAGTGCCCCTTCTTGCCACATTTATTTAACATGATACTAAGAGTTCTAGCAAGAACAATTAGGCAAGAAAAGGAAATAAATGGCATCCAAACTGTTGAGGGGTGGGAATGAGTAAAATTGTCTATTTCCAAATGACATAATTTTTTTGTAAAAAGCCCTAAACTTCACTCCCCCCAAATTATTACAACTAATAACAAATTCAATAAAGTTGCAGGACAGAAAATCAACATACAAATATCAGTTGTGTTTCTATAGCACTAACAACAAACAACTGGAAAGCAAGTAAAGAAAATCCCATTCATAATAGCAAGAAAAAGTTAAGATATTTAAGAATAAACTTAACCAAAAAGATGAAAGACTGGTGCATTAAAAATTGCAGACATTCATGAAAGAAATTAAAGAAGACACAAATCAGTGGAAAGATATCCTATGTTCGTGAATTGGAAGACATAATAATATTAAAATATCCATACTATTCAAAGCAATTTATAGATTATATACAATCCCTATCAAAATCCTAATGGCACTCTTGACAGAAATAGAAAAAACAATCTTAAAATTCATATAAAACCACAAAGGACCCAGAATAGTCAAAACAATGAGCAAGAAAAACAATGCTAGGGGCATCACATTTTCTAATTTCAAAATGTATCATAAAGATGGAGTAATCAAAACTGTGTGCTACTGGCATAAAGACAGACATATAGGCCACTGGAAGAGAATAGAGGGCCCAGAAATCAACAGACACTTATACAGTCAACTGGCCTTCAACAAACATGCAAAGAATATATAATGGGGAAAAGACGGTTTCTTCAATACATGGTACTGAGAAAACTGAATATTCACATGCAAAAGAATAAATTGGGCCTGTATCTTACACTACACACAAAAAGCAACTCAAAATGAACTACACATTTAAACATAATTACCTGAGACTGTAAAACTTATAGAAGAAAACATAAGGAGAAACTTTCATGATGTTGGTCATGGCAATTATTTTAACTTACAAATTGTAACAAAAGGATTTGGGAAGGACTGGTAGGTTTAAAGGGAATATTTATGGGGGATTATGGGTTATAGGCTCCTGTGCATATCTCAGTAACTTCCTCAACAAAGGAGAAATGGCCTTGAGCCCTAATACCCTGGGAAGCTGGAACTAAGACTCAACTCCTTCTGACCCGTTCTCTCAATTAAGGATTCCTTTTTCTCATTTCACCAAGAACAGAGAAGCAACCAAAGATAGCTTTTCCACTTTTCCACCACCATATCTCTTCACATAGTTTTATCTTTATCCGTAATCTACCTTCTCTTCACTGTCTGATTCAAGGCCAACCCCTCCACTTACACTAGATTCCATCCCCAATGACTTTTTCAAAAATTTAACTCCAGAAGTTAAACATTATTTCCTGCATTATGAATCTCTACACTACCCCCAAGCAGGATAATTCATTTTAGGTAGAAATATGTGGTAATAGTTCTCATTTAAAATTCTGTACATTTCCAGCTACTGCCTCATTTACTCCTCTCTTTATAGAAGAAAGCATCGTTTGTCTTTATTCAGCATCTCCACTTTTTCTCTTGCATTCTTTTGCTGTTTTTGTTTTTCTGGGAAAGTTCTTTAATGTTTTTAATTTATTATAAAACATTTCAGACATTTAAGAATAAAAAGTAAGTATATTGTATCGTATAATTTGTCTTCTCCTCTTAAAGCCAGAAGCTTCATTTCTAATGATGAATGTCCTTCAGAATATTATCATTGCAGACTGAAGTGCAATGCTGATGAACATGCAATTAGATACTGTGCTGACTTCAGCATCTGCTGCAAACTGAAGATCATTGAAATTGACGGACAAAAGAAGTGGTGAAAATGCTAACTCCATCTTCTTCAGACTCCAGGAGCAAAAACATGTCTTAAACTCTCTTATGTACGAATAATTAACATGATGGATGAAAATTATTATAATTGCATGTTTAGATGGTCAGGTGAAAATGAATATAAATTTTATAAATGCTTACCCTCTATTTTCATGTGTGCATTTTAACATTAACTCCCTTAATTTACATCCACAGCCACATTGCTGTTTCACCCATAGTACTATAACCGATGCGGGGAGTAAGAGCCAGCCCCTCTTGCCCCCCTGGCTGTTAGGACCCCCATTGCAGCGGGGTGAGGCACTCCCCGCGATGCCGGGAGTAACAGCTAGCCCTTCTTGCCCCGCTGGCCCTTAGGACACCCATCGCAGGGGGGAGAGGGGCCCCCCGCGATGCGGGGAGTAAGAGCCAGCCCCTCTTGCCCCCCTGGTTTTTAGGATCCGCGGTGGACTCACAGCCTGTTTATCATACTGTGAGTAATATCATCTCCCGCTCTGGAGATTATGAACTGTTTCACAAACCGGTGTACACCCTGGGTATACAGAGGTTGTACACCCGTCTCTATTGGGAGTCATATCATCCTCTTCCTCCCTGAATATTAAGAACAGTATCACAGAGTTGTTTCTACTCCCTGGGATATCGTGTGTCATATCCTCCTCTCCCACGTTGCAATTAGAAACAATATCAGTGGGGGGGTGTCCACCTTCTGTGATATTGAAAGTAATATCATACTCTTCCCTCTAGGATCATGGGAACAATATACTTGGTGGTGTCCACTTTCTGCAATATATGTAGTCCTATCACTCCCTCCGCCTTGGAATGTTATTAAGGACCATCTCACACGGGGGTGTACACTTCCTGCGATGTTGGGAGTAATAGCATTGTCTTCTTCCGTGAATATTAGGAGCAAAATCACAGGGTGGATGCACACCCAGTGCTATATTGGGAGTAATATCTTACTCCACACCCTGGAGATTATATTCGGATCAATATCACCGGCTGGGTGTACACCTACTGTGATATTGAACGTAATATCATGCTCTCTCTCTCTCTGGACATTAGGAGCAATATCGCAGGTGGTTGTACACCCACTGAGGTATTAGGGCGTAATATTAGTATGAATTATACCTCATTTATTATTAACATAAATATGAATGACTGATATTAATATTAATATTAATAAATAATTGCTAATAAAAAGTTTACAGATTATTAATATTAATATGAAATATTAGGAGCTAATATTACTGTTTTCTAATGAATAAGATCAATAGTTATTAATATCAGGCGTCATTAATCATTAATATTAATCATGTATTGTTATTGTTAGTATAACTATTTAATATTAATTATCATTATTATCGGTATTGATTTTAAAAATTATATTATGGGTTATTAATATTGATAATTATTAGTGTCAATTAATAATTGAGATTATTAATTGCGGCAAGTCGCATTGCGCCATTCCACCCCTCCCTCGGCAGCTCGTTTACGACCCAAAAAGGGGACACAAATGCCCCTGAGAGAGCAGCGATAGACTGGGATAGATGAGGATGGTCACGTGGTGGAGAGGCGTGTTTTTGGGTACCAGCCCTTCACCTGCATCGACCTTCTCAACTGGAAAAACAATACACCGCCCTATACCGAAAACCCACAAGCACTAATTGATTTGCTCCAAACTGTTATCCAGACCCACAACCACACCTGGACCGATTGGCACCAGTTGCTCATTTTCCTCTTTAACAGTGAAGAAAGGCAGAGAGTCCTCCAAGCAGCAACTAAGTGGCTAGAGGAACATGCACCAGCTGATTATCAAAACCCCCAAGAGTATGGAAGGACCCAGTTGCCAGGAACCGACCCCCACTTGGACCCACATGAAAGAGAGGATATGCAAAGGTGAAACCGAGACAGGGAAGCTCTCTTGGAAGGATTAATGAGGGGAGCTCAGAAGGCCACAAACGTTAACAAGCTCTCTGAGGTCATTCAGGGAAAAGAAGAAAGTCCAGCACAATTCTACGAGAGAGAATTGTGGGAGGCCTATCGTATGTATACTCCCTTTGATCCCGATAGCCCTGAAAATCAGTGCATGATTCCCATGGCTTTAGTCCGTCAAAGCGCAGAAGACGTGAGAAGAAAACTGCAGAAACAGGCTGGGCTTGCAGGGATGAATCCATCCCAATTACTAGAAATAGCTAGCCAGGTGTTTGTAAACAGGGATGCAGTAAGCCCTAAGGAAAATGGCAAAGAGAATGGAGGTCAGGCCCGGCAACACGCCGACCTGTTTCTCAGCTGCAACAATCAGAGGGCCCCCCCAAAGAGGCAAGGGAAAGGGGGCCCTGGGAAAGAAACTCAGCTTGGCTGTCAGAGTTTGCAGCATAACCAGTGTGCTGATTGTAAAGAAATAGGACAGTGGAAGAACAAATGCCCTCAGCTCAAAAGAAAACAAGGTGACTCAGAGCAGGAGGCCCCGGACAAGGAGGAAGGGGCCCTGCTCAACCTGGCAGAAGGGTTACTGGACAGAGGGAGACCGGGCTCAAGCCTCCCCAAAGAGCCTCTGGTCAGAATGACTGTCGGGGGTGAAGACATTGACTTTCTTGTAGATAGCGGTGCTGAACATTCGCTAGTAACCGCCCCGGTCACCCCCTTATCCAAAAAGACTATTGACATCATCGAAGTCACGGGGGTTTCAGCAAAGCAAGCTTTCTGCTTGCCTCGGACTTGTCCTGTAGGAGGACATAAAGTCATTCATCAGTTTTGGTACATGCCTGACTGTCCCTTGACCTTTTCGGGAAGGGACATGCTCAGCAAGCTGAGAGCCACTATCTCTTTGAGAGAGCACGGCTCTTCGCTGCTAAAGTTACCCGGAACGGGAGTCATTATGACCATTATAGTCCCCCGAGAGTTGGAATGGAGACTTTTCTGAACTGAGCCGGGCCAAGAGAGACCAGCTCTGGCTGAGCGGTGGCCAAGAGTATGGCAGAAGACAACCCTGGGGCACTGCCAGTTAAGACTGGGGCCCAGCCGGTGAGGCAAAAAGAGGAGCCAGTCCCCAGAGAAGCCCTTCAAGGTATCCAGGTCCATCTCAAGCACCTAAGAACTTTTGGAATGATTGTTCCTTGTCAGTCTCCATGGAACACTCCCCTCCTGCCTGTTCCCAAACCACGGACCAAGGACTACCGGCCGGTACAGGATTTGCGCTTGCTTCATCAAGCTACACTGACTTTACATTCAACAGTACCTAACCCGTCCACATTGTTGGGGTTTCCGCCAGCTGAGGACAGCTGGTTCACCTGCTTGGACCTGAAAGACGCTTTCTTTCCTATCAGATTAGCCCCTGAGAGGCAGAAGCTGTTTGCCTTTCAGTGGGAAGATCCGGAGTCGGTGTCACTACTCAGTACACTTGGACTCGACTTCCCCAAGGGTTCAAGAACTCCCCCACCATCTTCGGGGAGGCATGGGCTCAAGACCTCCAGAAGTTTCCCAGCAGAGACCTAGGCTGCGTGTTGCTCCAGTAGGCTGATGACCTTCTGCTGGGACACCCCACGGCAGTCGGGTGTGCCAAGGGAAAAGATGCCCTACACAGGCACCTGGAGGACTGTGGGTAGAAGGTGTCCAAGAAGAAAGCTCAGATCTGCTGACAGCAGGTACGTTACTTGGGATTTACTATCTGACAGGGGTCGGAACGCAGCCCGGGATCAGAAAGAAAGCAGGTCATTTGCCATCTAGCGGAGCCTAAGATCTGAAGGCAGGTGAGAGAATTCTTAGGAGCTGTGGGGTTTTGTAGACTGTGGATCCCAAACTTTGCAGTATTAGCCAAGCCTTTGTATGCGGTCACAAATGGGGCGGGGACCGGGAACCTTTGGAATGCAGATCCCAACAACAGCAAGTCTTTCATGAGTTAAAGGAAAAACTTCTGGCAGCCCCAGCCCTGGGGCTACCCGATTTGACAAAGCCTTTTCCATTATATGCATAAAAGAGAGAAAAGATGGCAGCTGGACTTTGAACCCAAACTGTGGGGCCCCGGCCGAGGCCTCTGGCCTACCTCTCTCAACAACTAGACGGGGTTTCTAAACGATGGCCCCCCTGTTGGAGGGCCTTGGCAGCAAGTGCCCTGCTAGTACAAGAAGCAAATAAGCTGACTCTTGGGCAAAGCCTGAACATAAATGCCTCCCGTTCTGTGGTGACTTTAATGAGTAGTAAAGGACATCATTGGCTAATGAATGCCAGACTCACCAAGTACCAAACTTTGCTCTGTGAAAATCCCCATATAACCAGTAAAGTTTGTAACACCCTACACCCCGCCACCTTGCTGCCGGTATCAGAGAGCTCTGCCGAGCCTGATTGTGTAGAAATGTTGTACTCAATTGACTGTAGCAGGCCTGACCTCCGGGACCAGACTTGGGCATCAGTAGACTGGGAGCCATACGTGGATGGGAGCAGCTTCTTCAACCCCCAAGGAGAGAGAGGTGCAGGGTATGCAGTGATAACCCTGGACACTGTTGTTGAAGCCAGATCACTGCCCCAGGCCACATCAGCCCAGAAAGCTGAACTCATTGCTTTCATTGGGGCCTTAGAACTCAGTGAGGGTGAGACTGTCAACATTTACACTGATTCTCCGTATGTCTTTTTAACCCTTCAAGTGCATGGAGCGTGATAGAAAGAAGACGACTTTTGAACTGTGGGGGAAAAGACAGAAAATATCAACAAGAAGTCTTTCAATGATTAGAAGCAGTATTGAAACCCCACAAAGTGGAAGTTAGGCATTGCAGAGGACACCAGCGAGCTTCCATCTTGCTGGATTTGGGGAATTCCCACGCTGACTCAGAGGCTCGAAAAGCAGCATCTGTCCCCTTCTGGGCATCAGTGCTCCCTCAAGCACCTGATCTTGGACCTGCTTCTTCTAAAGAAGAAAAGGACTTTCTCCAGGTAGAGGGAAGGACAAGTGATGGAGGAAGGATGGATTTGGTTACCAGACGGGAGAGTAGCTGTGCCACAGCTGCTAGGAGCTGCAGTTGTACTGGCTGTGCAAGAAACCACCCATCGAGGTCAGGAGTCACTGGAAAAGTTGTTAGGCTGGTATTTCTACATCTTGCCTTTGTCAGCCCTTGCCAAAACGGTGAGGCAGCCGTGTGTTACCTGCGACAGCATGATGCGAGGCAAGGTCCAGCCGTTCCGCCCGGCATACGAGCTTATGGAGCAGCCCCCTTTGAAGGTCTCCAGGTGGACTTCACAGAGATGTCAAAGTGTGGAGGTAACAAGTATGTACTAGTTCTTGGGCGTACCTACTCTGGGTGGGTGGAGGCCTATCCAACACGAACTGAGAAAGCTCATGAAGTAACCCCTGTGCTTCTTCATGATTGGATTCCTAGATTTCGACGGGCTTTAGGGATTGGCTCAGACAGCGGGCCTGTGTTTTTGGCTGCCTTGGTACAGAAGATGGCAAAGGTATTGGGGATCACACGGAAACTGCATGCCGCCTCCCGGCCTTAGAGTTCCGGAAAGGTGGAGCGGATGAATCGGACTATCAAAAGTAGTAGTATTGTCTTCCCCGCTGGATATTTAAAACAACACCACAAGGGGCGTCAAACCACCTGCTAAATTGGAGGGAATGTTATCCTCTCCCCTCCTCCCCCAGCCCCGGATATTAGAGACAATAACACAGGGGTGATGTACACCCACTGCTTTATTGGGAGTAATATCATCCTCTCCTTTCTTGGATATTAGCAACAATATCACACTGTGCGTGTAGGCGTGTCGCGAAATTCAGTGGAATGTCATCCTGCGCCTTCCTGGATATGACGAACAATATCACGGCAGATGTACAACTTCTGAGATATTGGGAATGATATCATCCTCTCCCCTCTGGAAGTTAGGGACAATATCACAGGGGTAGTGTACACCCTCTGGGATGTTGGGACTCATATCATCCTCCCGCCCACTGGATATTAAAAACCATATCACAAGGGGCATGTACACACACTTCGATAACGGTATGAATACCATCCTCTCCCTCTTTGGATATGCGGTGCCATATTTCAGGTGGGGTATACACCACCTTCAATATTGGAAGTAACATGAATTTTTCCCCCCTGGATATGAGAAACAATATCACAGGGGGTTGTGAACAACCCCTGCGATATTTGGAGTAACATCATCGTCACCCCTCACAATTATTAAGAACAATATCGTAGAGATGGGGGATGTACACCCACTTTCATATTTGATATCATCCTCTTCCCCCCTAGATATTAGGAGCAATATCAGGAAGGGATGTACAGACCCTGCAACCTTTGCTGTCATAGAATTGTCTCTCCCCTAGATAATAGGAAAAAATGTCACTGGGGATGTGAACAGCCCTGTGATATTGACAGTAGTATCATCCTCTCCCCCCATGCATATTGGGAACAACATCACAGGTGGGGTGTACTGCCTCTGTGATATTGGGAGTGAAATTTTCCTCTCTTCCCCTGGACATTAGGAAGTGTATCATAGGGGGAGGGTGTACATTCCCTGCGATATTCAATGTAACTTTATCCTCTCCCTCCCAGGGTATTCAGAACAATATTACAGGAGGGGTGTACACCCTCTGCGATATTGAGAGTCATATCATCCTCTTTCGCTCTGGATGTTAGGAACAATATCACAGGGTTGTGTACACCCCCTGCGGTATTGGGAGTAATATCATCCTGTCTCCCTGTGGATATTAGGAAGAGTATCACAGGGCTGTGGAAACCCTCTGCGATACTGGGAGTAACATCATCCTCTCTCCCTCTGAATATAGGAAGATTTTCACAGGGGGGTGTACACCCCCTGCTATATTGGGAGTAAGATCATCCTCTCCACCCAGGAAATGACTAACAAGGTCACGGGGGGGTGTACTCCCCCTGCGATATTGGGAATAATGTCGTCCTCCCCAAACCTGGATGTTAGCAATGAGATCACAGAGGGGCTGTACACACCCTGTGACACTGGAAGTAACATGATCCTCTCCCCACCTGGATACTGGGAAAGATACCACAGCGCGGGTATACGTTTCCTACACTGGTGGGAGTAATATCATTCTTTTCCTTTCTGGATATTAGGAAGAATATCACAGGGGTGCTGTACAATTACTTCGATATCGGGAGTAATATCATCCTCTATTTTCCTGGATATTGGGCACAAAATCACAGAAGGGTGTACAACCCCTGCGATATTGGGAGTAATAGCATACTCTCCATCCTTGGATGTTAGAAAACAATATCATCAGGGCTGAACACCCCTCGCGATAATAGGAGTCATGGTTACTCTTTCACAGGCCATTTGGAACAATATCACAGGGGGTGTTTACAAAGAGGGGTGGTGTACACCCCCTGTGATATTGGGAGTAACATCATTCTCTCCACCTCCAGATATTAAGAACAATATCCTGGCGGGAGGTGGTACACCCCCAGTGATATTGCGAATAATGTCATCCTCTCCTTCCCTGGATATTAGGAACAATATCACAGGGGGTGTACACCTTCTGTGATATTGGAAGCAATATCATCCTCTCCCCCGCTGGATATTAGAAAAAAAAATCACTCACGGTGTACACCCACTGTGATATGAGGGGTAATATCTTCCTAGGGTATTACGAATAATTTCACAGTCTGTACACACATGGTGTACACTCACTGTGATATTAGGAGTAATATCTACCTAGTAGATAACAAATAACATCGCAGGGTGTACACCAACTTTGATATTAGCTCTAGTATTCTTCTAAGTTGTTACAAATAAGATCACAGCGTGTACCAACATGGTGTACACTCACTGTGATATCAGGAGTCCTATCTCTGTGATGTATTATCAATAATATCACAGGATGTACACCCACTGTATTATTAGGAGTAAGATCTCTGTAGGATATTACAATTAAGATCACAGGGTGTAGAGTCACCATGATATTAGGAGCAATATCTTTCTAGGATATTACAAATAATATCACAGGGTGTACGCCCACTCTACTGTCAGGAGCAATACCTCCCTAGGATATCAAAAATCCTATCACAGGGTGTCCAATCTCTGCCTTCCAGGTTCTAAGGGATTCTCCAGCTTCAGCCTCCCGAGTAGCTAGGGTTACCCGCCACCACGACCGGCTATTTTTTTTTATTATTTTCACTGGAGACGGGGTTTCACCACGTTGGCCAGGCTGGTCTGGAACTCCTGACCTCAGGTGATCCATCATCCTCGGCCACCCAAAGTGCTGGGATTACAGGTGTGAGCCATGGTGCTGGGCCAGCAGTTATAGATTCTATTCATTTGGAAACCCAGCTCCCATTTTTGAGTATGCATGTACTTTTATGAAGAAATGATGTCAGAAAACCGAAGGATGATAATAAATATGAAAAGTAACAGGCATGTGAAAAGGTCTTCCGATTGAGAATTATAAGGTTCTTTTTCGTTTTCAGATAATGGGGTCCTAGCCCTTGTGTCGTCCTTTTACATATTCTACATCAATGGAAGTTGTAGCACTGTGTCAGAATAAAGTAGAGTGTATTTCACGGTTTCTTAATTTCTTTCAATTAGACTGAGATCTTTTTCTGAAAGAGAGAAGGACATTTTCATTGCATTGTATTTTTTCTGAAAAGAGTAGGCCATATTTTACTGAGATCACGGATTTGTTATATATGACGTTTTGGTCTTCTAATATTCTCCAGTGGATATTCTCTAAAGTAGTATGTACAGAAAGCCTTGAATAGCAAAAAAGTAAATCACGTAATAATTCTGAGATTTTTGGAATTGTCACAACTGAGAAACATTGCTGGCGGTGTATGGTCCGCAAGTGTGAAGATGTTCCTTGTGAATTGCTTGCATCTAGCATTAAGGGCTGGTTTTTATCTTTTATTTTTCCAATCCTCTTTCCTTCTCAAGGTGTCCAAGACACACAGGGCCACGGAATCTCACAGGTGTCTGAGAATTTCTCCTCTTGGGACTCTCAGAGGATCCAGAACTGCAGCCAGTCCTCGCTTTGCTGTCCCTGTCCCTGTCCATGTACCTGGTCACGGTGCTGAGGAACCTGCTCAGCATACCGGCTGTCAGCTCTGACTCCCCCCTCCACACCCCCACGTAATTCTTCCTCTCCAACCTGTGCTGGGCTGACATGGGTTTCACCTCAGCCACGGTTCCCAAGATGATTGTGGACATGCAGTCACATAGCAGAGTCATCTCTCATGCGGGCTGCCTGACACAGATGTATTTCTTGGTCCTTTTTGCATGTATAGAAGGCATGCTCCTGACTGTGATGGCCTATGACTGCTTTGTAGACATCTGTGGCCCTCTGCACTATCCAGTCATCGTGAATCCTCACCTCTGTATCTTCTTCGTCTTGGTGTCCTTTTTCCTCAGCCTGTTGGATTCCCAGCTGCACAGTTGGATTGTGTTATAATTCACCATCATCAAGAATGTGGAAATCTCTCATTTTGTCTGTGACCCCTCTCAACCTCTCAAACTTGCCTGTTCTGACAGCGTCATCAATAGCATATTCATATATTTCGATAGTACTATGTTTGGTTTTCTTCCCATTTCAGGGATCCTTTTGTCTTACTATAAAACTGTCCCCTCCATTCTAAGGATTTCATCGTCAGATGGGAAGTATAAAGCTTTCTCCACCTGTGGCTCTCACCTAGCAGCTGTTTGCTGATTTTATGGAACAGACATTGTCGTGTACCTGGCTTCAGCTGTGTCACCACCCCCCAGGAGTGGTGTGGTGGCATCAGTGATGTACGCTGTGGTCACCCCCATGCTGAACCTTTTCATGTACAGCCTGAGAAACAGGGACATACAAAGTGCCCTGCGGAGGCTGCGCAGCAGAACAGTGGAATCTCATGATCTGTTCCATCCTTTTTCTTGTGTGGGTGAGAAAGGGCAACCACATTAAATCTCTACATCTGCAAATCCTGTCCCTTAGTCACATTATTTTTGTGGCTTGATGGCTTTTATTCCTTTCCGCATTTCCTTTGTGAATATTGCTTTCTTCGTTATGCCTTTAACTGGAATGGGTGAGGATTCTGGGATCCTTGGTTTAGCAGAAACCTCATGACAGAATCCTCTATAACGAGGCGGCCTCTTTTAGTTTCTGAGAAATAACACTGTCATCCAGGTGGAATCACAACCATCTTTTTATATACACGAAGTCCTCACTTCGTTTTGGAATTCCCTGAAAACTGACTTTATGGAAACAATGCACAGGAGGTCCTCCAACACCATTGGTTGTTCAAAGTCGTGTAGTTATACTGTGGAAGAAAAATAAGTGGTTTCACTATACATAATTTTGCTTCAAGGTGAAGTTTCCAAGAGACTTTCAAAGATGTTAAGTGAGGACATACTGTACATCAAATTCATATCCTCTTCCACAGTTCATGTGGAATTTCTTTATAAACTGCTTCTAGAGAATCTATTTAGGCAGGTTCTGTGTAGAGATCCATGTCGCCGTTCCTCAATCTTGGCTTTGAGTCAAATCACCTGGGGAGCTTAGAAATGATGAGGCCTGGGTCTCAATGCCTGAGATTCTGATTTCCTTGCACCTGTGTGAGTGCGTGGATTTTTTTTTTTTTCTTTTAAAGCACCAGAGGTGGTTCCAATCACGAAGTTTTTAGAGGCGTCAAGCTCCAATGAGTAAGAACAGAAATTAATTTTAATATGATTTCTTCAAATATTATCTTCAAATGCATTGTCCATCAACACCATACAAATTTTATTATGCTGTTTTTTCTTACCATTTCGCATTTTCTATTTATTTATCTTCTTTTTTTTTGAGTCCGAGTTTCACTCTTGTTGCCCAGGCTGAAGTTCAATGGCACGGTCTCGGCTCACTGCAAACTCTGCCTCCCGTATTCAAGAAATTCTCCTGACTCAGCCTTCCAAGGAGCTGGGATTACAGGCATGCGCTACCATGCCTGGCTAATTTTTTTTTTTTTTTTTTTGTATTATTAATAGAGACAGTGTTTCTCCATTTTGTTCAGGCTGGTCCAGAACTCCCGACCTCAGGTGATCCGCCAGCTTCCGCTTCCCAAAATGCTGGGATTACAGACATGAGTGACCGCGCCCAGCCACCACTTAGCATTTACATTTTACAATTGTTGAAGTTATAGATTTATACACACATTGATTGCTGCTTTGTTATACACTTGCATATACATAAGATTGGAAACAGAAAAGAATAAAATGGGCACAGTATCCCTAAAGTTTCACATTCCGAGGCATTTCAAAAATATTTGCTCTTCAGAAATTTGTTTCAATGAAGAAACTGTGGTATACACACCCAATGAAGTATTATTCAGCCTAAAAAGGAGGAAACTCCTCTCCGCTGCAGACAAAATGGATGAGATTGCAGGTCTGTATATTAAATGAAATAAGCCAGGCACAGAATGACAAATATTTCACGTCCTCACTTCTATGTAGGAAGAAAAAAGGAAACCTTGGCCAGGTGTGGTTTCTCAGGCCTGTAATCCCAGCACTCTGGGAGGCCGAGTCGCATGGGTCAATTGAGTCCAGGAGTTTGAGACCCGCCTGGCCAACATGGTGTAACCTCGTTTCTACGGAAAACACAAACAATGAGCCCGGCGTGGTGACGCGTGTCTGTAGTCTCAGCTAATCCGAGGGCTGAGGCCCAAGAAGAGCTTGAACTCGGGAGGCGGAGCTTGCAGTGAGCCCGGATTGTGCCTGTATACTCTAACCTGGGCAACAAAAAGAGACTCCATCCCAGACACACCTACACACAAAAGGAATCTCAGGAAGGTGGAGAGTATAAAGGTGGCTAGCAGACGCTAGGAAGAAAAGGGGTGGGATAGGGAATGAAGACAGGTGGATAATTGGGTCCCAAAATACAGAAAGATGGAATAAGTGAGTACTACTGTTTGATAGTACAGCATGAAAATTTTAGTTTACAAGAATTGCTTGCATATTTCCAGATGCTTTGGTAAGAAGCTTCCTAACTTTCTCATTATGCTGGTTTTTAAGCTCTTCTCTTTCTGCTCTTGAAATCATGCTGGTTTTTTGTTTTTTGTTTTTTGTTTTTTGTTTTGAGATGGAGTTTCGCTCTTGTTGCCCAGGCTGGAGTGTCATGGTGTAATCTTGGCTCACCACAACCTCTGCCTCCTGGGTTCAAGCGATTCTCCTGCCTCCACCTCCCGAGTAGCTGGGATTACAGGCATGTGCCAGCATGCCCAGCTAATGTTTTATTTCTAGTAGAGACGCGGGTTTCTCCCTGTCAGTCAGGCTGGTCTTCAACTCCTGACCTCAGGTGATCTGCCCGCCTCGGCCTACCAAAGTGCCGGGATTACAGGCATGAGCGACCGCGCCCGGCCCATGCTGTATCCTTATCTGGTGTCTGTTGTTGTTTGTTTGCTTTGGAGCCCAGAAATAACTTCTCACCTGTATGTTCAAATGATTTTTCACATGAGTTCTAAGAAAGCTCATTGGTGGAAAAGCAGCCTTTTCAAGAAATGGTGTTGGAGAAACTTGATTTCCACATGCAGAAGAATGAAGGTGGACCCTGTGTCACACCACGTGCAAAAATTAACACAAACTGGATCAAAGACCTAACCCCAAGGACTAAAAGTATCATAAGCCTAAAAGAAAACATTGGCCACACTTTCATGACATCAGATTGGGCAACGTTCTCTGGGTATGACACCAAAAGCATAGGCAACAAAAGAAAATTAGATTCCTTGGATTACATCTAAATGACAGACACTTTTGTGCAGCAAAAAACACTGCAAATTCAGAGAAAAGATAACCCATGGATTAGGAAAAATATTTGCAAAGTATATATCTGAAAAGAGGCTGATATCCATCATATATGAAGAACAGCTAGAACTAAACAACAAGAAACCCAAAGCATCCCATCAACAATGGTCAGAAGACTCGAGTAGACGTGTCCCTAAAGAAGATATCGTAATGGCCAATAAGCATCTAAAATGATGTTCAAAGTCACTCATCATAGGGAAGCGCAAATCAAACCAAGAATGTGACACCACACATTAGGATGGATATGATAAACAAACAGGTATTGGTTAGAACAGAGGGAAGTAGGAATGCTCGAATGTGATCGGAGGGAATGTAAAACCATGAAGGAACCGGGAAAATAGTATGGCGTCTACTGGAAAAATTAGAAACAGAATGATCAGATGTTCCCGCAGTTGCATTTGTGGGTACCTGCCAAAAAGAATTAGAAGCCAGGAGTGGAAGACAGATTTGTGTACACCCATATTCATAGCACCATTATTCACAACAGCCAAAATGTGGAAGCAACCCAAGGGTTCGTAGACAGATGAATGAAAAAGCACACTGCAGTTCCTTCATACAATGGAAGACAATTCAGCCTACAAAAGGCAGGCACTTCTGGCCGGTGTGGTTGCTCACGCCTGTAATCGCAGCGTCTTGGAAGACCGAGGTGGGTGGATCACCTGAGGTCAGGAATTCAAGACCAGCCTGGCCATCTTGGTGAAACCCTGTCTCTACTGAAAATGCAAAAAATTAAATGAGCGTGGTGGCGTGTGCCTATAGTCCCAGCTACTCAGTAGGCTGAGGCACAAGAATCGCTGGAACCCGGGAAGCGGAGGTTGCAGTAAGCCCAGATTGTGCCACTGCACTCCAGCCTGTGCGACAGAGTGAGACTCCATGGGAACACAAAACAAAGCAAAGTCAAAAGAACAAACAAAACACAAACAAACAAAAAACAGACAGGCACTTCTGACGCAGGCCGCAACATGGATGAACCTTGAAAACATTATCGTCAGTGAAATAAATAAATCCCAAAAGGATAAACAGGCCCAGGCTCAGTGGCTCGCAACTGTAACCCCAGCACTTAGGGAGGCTGAGCCAGGCGGATCACTTCAGGTCAGGAGTTCGAGACAAGCCTGGCCAATATGGTGAAAGCTCGTCTCTATTAAAAATCCAAAAATTAGCAGGGCGTGGTGGCGCACGCCTGTAATCCCAGCCTCTCGGGAGACTGAGACACAAGAATCGCTTGAACCCACGATGTGGAGGTTGCAGTCAGCCCAGACTACGCCACTGCACTCCAGCCTGGGTGACAGAGAAAGACTGTCTCCAAAACAAAAAAATTAAACAAGGTATGATTCCGCTTATCTATCAAGTGTCTAGAGTAGTTAAACTCATAGAGTTGCAAACTAGAAAGGTGGCCTCCAGGGGTGGGCGAGAGAGAGGAATGGAGAGCTTGGTGAGTGGGTGGAATTTCCATTTTGAAAGATAAAACTGTTCCGGAGACGATGGCGGCGACGGTTGCTAAACAATGTAAACTTACTTAATGTCGTTAAACTGTAAACTGAAAAAGAGTGGAAACTGTAAATATTTATACAGGCTATTCTCTATGAACTAATATGTATTTATAATTTTTAATATTTATACGTGGTATATTTTCCCATATTAAAAGATGAAAATTAAAGCAGTTGGATGTTTAAAAAGTAAAGAAAGAAGTGAAGAATACCCACCAGCTTTCTCCTGATTAGAGGAAGAGCCCCAAAGCTTCTATGGACACTCACTTTTCTCTTCTTCTTCTTGCAATATTATGAGGAAATCCTTAGAGGTTGGGGAACTTGGGCGACTTTGGCTAATGAGGAGCTCTGGGCCTTGAGCCCCCCAGGCCACAGAATAGTAAATAGTCTGTGCCTCCAGCCCTGCAATGTGAGGTTGCAGTCCTGTGGGCTCCACTCCCGTCACCTGTATCAGGGGGCTGATGTCTCACCCTGTTTTCTTGCCAGCCTTGAGGACGGAGTCTGAGCCTCCATGGTGCACCAAGCAGGGAGGACAGTTGACCTGTTCTCCATGGTCATGGCCCAGCAGAGGGGAAGAGCAGTTCAGTGAATGTAGGCAAAAGAAAGTGAGATCAGACACTTACTCTGTCTATGTAGAAAGGAAAGACATAAGAGACTCCATTTTGAGAAAGACCTGTACTTTCAACAATTGCTTTGCTGAGATGTTGTTAATCTGCAGCTTTGCCCCAGTCACTTTGAACCAACCACTTTGACCCAACCTGAAGCTCACAAAAGTATGTGTTGTATGAAATCAAGGTTTAAGGGATCTAGGGCTATGCAGGACGTGCCTTGTTAACAAGATGTTTCCAAGCAGTATACTTGGTAAAAGTCATAGCGATTCTCTAGTCTCAATAAACCAGGAGCAAGATACTCTGTGGAAAGTCGCAGGGACCTCTGCCCTTGAAAGAGGCGTATTGTCCAAGGTTTCTCCCCATGTGATAGTCTGATAAGTGGCCTCATGGGAGGAGAAAGAACTGACCACCCCCAGCTCAACCCCCATAGATCGTCTGTGCTGAGGTGGATTAGTCAAAGAGGAAAGACTCTTGCAGTTGAGATAGAGGAAGGCCGCTGTCTCCTGCCTGCCACTGGGAACTGAATGTCTCGATATAAAACCCGATTGTACATTTGTTCAATTCTGAGATGGGAGAAAAACCGCCCTATGGTGGGAGGCGAGACATGTTTGCAGCAATGCTGCCTTGTTATTCTTTACTCCACTGAGATGTTTGGGTGGAGAGAAACATAAATCTGGCTTACATACATGTCCAGTCATAGTACCTTCCCTTGAACTTCATTATGACATAGATTCTATTGCTCACATGTTCATTGCTGACCTTCTCCTTTTTATCATCCTGCCCTCCTACTACATTCCTTTTTGCTAAAATAATAAAAATAATAATCAGTAAAAACTGAGGGAACTCAGAGGCCGGTGCCGGTGCAGGTCCTTGGTATGCTGAGTGCCGGTCCCCTGGGCTCACCGTTGTTTCTCTATACTTTGTCTCTGTGTCTTATTTCTTTTCTCAGTCTCTCATCCCACACGACTAGAAATACCCACAGGTGTGGAGGGGCAGGCCACCCCTTCAAGTGAGTGCTGAGGGACGGTCGGGAGCCTTGTTTGTTTCCTCATTCTCAAGACAAACAGGAGAGTGCGGTGGGTAGATGGGAGGAGACCAATATGCAACTCTCTGCTCAGCAGACTGTGGAGTTTCTGTTCTTGGTTGTGGTGGGGGTCTCAGAAATCTTATTCAAAATTTTGCTTTCCTCCCCCACTGGTTGTCCTTTTCATAGATATCTCACCCATGATAGCAGGGAATCAGTCCCTCTAAACTATTCCCTAAGAACAACAAAAAGATTATGAAGGTGATGATGAGGATAAAGAGGATGATGACAGACACCATGGCATCATGAACCCTTACTGAGGGCTTCCTAAAGGCCAGGCTCTGAGTTCTTTGCTGTATGCAGCATATTTCATTTCATCTGCTTAGTCTCCATGTTATTAGTGCACATTTCAGGATGATTTTACAGACTAGAAAAGGCGCAACGGATTTTCATGTAGCTTGTACCAGATCACGAAGTCAAAAAGGGCGAATTCCAATTTGAACCAGGCAGTCTAAGTCCAGACACATGGCATTTGGCCAGTCCTCTCCCTGCAACCAACCGGCCCTCTCAAATCCTTGTCACTCAGGCCGATGCCCCTGCTCACTGTGCCCTTCCCTTTGGGGGTTCCTTAGAGACCAGAGCTAGACCAGTGGGTGCCACAATCACTGTGTCATGTATAGAGAGGGCAGCTGAGATCACATCAACGATTCCAGAAAGAATTGGCACAGGATCATTCGGGATGCATCTCTCCCTTGCCCTGTTCCTGGCTTTCCTTACAGCTCTGGACTTCCTCAAAGGAGTCACCAATTCAGAGTTTGGCTTCCATTCCTATTGAGGAAGATGGAAAGTGTTTCAAAAATGCTCCTCCGATGTGCCTGTGGTTAAGACTTCTTAGCTTTGCTTAAAACTTTTTGACGCTGGGTACGGTGACTCACACCTATAATCCCAGCCCTTTGGGAGGCTGAGGCAGGTGAATCACAAGGTCAGGAGTTCGAGACCAGCCTGGCCAACATGGTGAAACCCTGTCTCTACTAAAAATACAAAAGAAAAAAAAAATTAGCCAGGCATGGTGGCATATGCCTGTAATCCCAGCTACTGGGGAGGCTGAGGCAGGAGACTCCTTTGAACCCGAGAGACAGAGGTTGCAGTGAACCGAGATCACACCACTGCACTCCAGCCTGGGCAACAGAGCAAGACTCTGTCTCAGAAAAATAAATAAATAAAAATTACGAATAAAAGTGCTTGGATGGGCTTGGCAAACTTTAGCCATTAGCTCATGTACCACTTTGGAAGGGCATACCTTCAGTCACTTCACCCTTTAATCTCTTTGCTCAAGACTAAAGTTCTGAGAGGAAGTCTAATCGGCTGAGTTGTGTCCATGTGGGCAGTGCAGGAAAGGATGCAGCGGGAGGCGGCTCCAGGGACGTCTTTGGCTTCCATCATGGGGGAGCAGGTGCCTGAATTATCCACCCTAAGAAATCTGGACAAAGGAAAACGAGGTTCTCTGAGGAAGGAGACATAGAGCCCAAGGAGCTAACCAAGAGACAAATAGTCATCCTGTCTTGTCATTTTCTTTTACACATGTGTGTACATTATCTTACACTTATTACTTGTTTTCTTTCTCTCCTTTAATTGCACCCTGCTGCAAAAGTTAAAATAAAATGAAAGTATTGAGATAGCTCAACAACTGACTTTTGGTCAATTGCCTTTTCCTATAGTGAACAGCTGCGCAGACGATTGTCTCTGTCACTGTGCAAATTTGCAAGCATTTGCATGATCACTCCCAATCCCCCATCACAGGGCTGTGTTACAGCACAATTTAGTTCAGTGTTTTGCTCTCTGTAACAGGGAGGTTCTCATCCATTACAGGATGCAGTAAAAACAGGGGTACCATAAGCAACCACCTCTTTCCTCAACGATGTGATGAAAGCAAAAGCCAAGTAGCTCCATGTATCCAACTTAAAAATACAAAAATTACGCCCGTGGGCTGCATTTGGACCTATGGCGGTGGCAGCTGTCACTGGGCCTAGCCCGGGGTGTGGACCTGGGGACTCCCAAGAAGGGCCTGAGGAGGAGGCTCACGGAGTGTCGGCGGAAGGCGCACAGGATGCTAAAGCTTTACAACGGCCTCTCGGAAGGGGAGTCGGTGGGACTCCCCACGGGGCCCGACCCCCTGGACCCCACTGATCGGAACGGGGCGCACTTCGACCGGGAAGTTTACCTAGACAAGCTGCCTAGAGAGAGTCCTCTGGCCCAGCTGATGGACTGTGAGACGGACATGGTGCAGCAGATCCGGGCTCTAGACAGCGACATGCAAACCCTGGTCTATGAGAACTACGATAAGTTCATCCCAGCCACAGAAATTGACAAACAGCATAAAACTGTATGAGGATTTGCAGGAAACCCAGAATTTCCCAGATAACCTTGTAAAAGAAGAACAAAGTTGGAAGACCCATAAAAAAAAACATATATATATATATACACATATATATATACATATATACGTATATATATATACATATATATATATAAAGTTGTATTTTCGTTCTGTTGTAAATGTTTAGTAATTTCTATTGTGATTTTTCATTTAACTCATGAAAGCATATTTTTAATTTTGCAAATGTGTGCTTGTGTTTAGCTATCTTTTTGCTGCTGACTTCTAATTTTGTTGTATTGTGGTCAGGAAAATGTGGTTTGGACAAGGTCAATCGTATAGTGGATTTTGTTGAGACTTCTTTATGGCCTAATATGTGGCCAGTTTTGGTGTTGTTGTTGTTGTTGTTGTTGTTTTGCAAATTTGCCACATGTGGTTAAAAGGAATGTGGATTATTTGTTTTTTGTTTTTTTTTTGGAGAGTTTTTATTTTTAAATAGATAAGGTTCTCAGTGTAATTGAAATCTAGCTTCAATTAACAATATGCTAGATCTCTCAAACCTTAGGATGTTAGTCAGTGTAACAATAGACTGCTGCTGAGACGAATAAACCCTGAACTCTCAGTGGGTTGGCACCCATAGCATAGTCTGGTGTAGGGCAGGGGTTCTCCTTGGCGGCCCTTGTCCAACATTGATTCAGAGATTCTGGAGGTTTCCATCTTTTAATTCTGCCATCTCAGAGTTTTTCACTTGTAGCCATATGGATAGGAAGAGAGGGAACATAGCTCACACTTGCCTTTGATAACCTTGGCCCAGAAGTGATTTCTTACATTCGTATTGGTGGGAATGCAGTCACATGGTTCCAAACTAACTGCGAGTGAGGCTGGGAAATGTAGTCTTCCTGCATGTAGAGGAAGAGGAATGGTGTGAACACAGCATTGTCTTTGACACACTAAGCATGTGCTGAAGAGTTCTTAGTCTCATAGGAGGTTTGTCTGTCCTGTGTAACTTTCTCAGTTTTTGCTTAGATAGTTTCAGGCAATGTTGTTTGGTGCATTCAGCTTGATGATTATTATGTCCTCTTGGCAAAGTAGTCAAGATTCCCATCAGTTTGAATGAAAGTGTTTTACAGATAGATCAGGAAATGTTAATACTTTAAAAGGCCCTTCTATTCCTCCACTGTACAGATAAGAACAACAGAGTCCTAGAGAGAGGAGGTCATGGGTCTCACTCATGAGTGGCAGAATTGAAACCAACATGGCAGTAACTTTGCCTTTCCCCCATCATGTTGTTCTCCCTCTATCTTCACTCTGCTGATTTCTTCACTTGCTCCATACAGACCTCCCAGTGCCAAGTGTATAAGTGTGTCCAGAATTGGTGGGTTCTTGGTCTCAATGACTTCAAGAATGAAGCCGCAGACCCTCCTGGTGAGTGTTACAGTTCTTAAAGGTGGCATGTCTGGAGTTTGTTCCTTCTGATGTTCAGATGTGTTCGAAGTTTCTTCCTTCTGGAGGGGTTTGTGGTTTTTCTGGCTCAGGAGTGAAGCTGCAGACCTTCATGGACAGTGTTACAGCTCTTAAGGCTGCACATCTGGAGTTGTTCATTTCTCCCGGTGGGTTCATGGTCTCGCTGGCTTCAGGAGTGAAGCTGCAGACCTTCACGGTGTTACAGCTCATAAAGGCAGTGTGGACCCAAAGAGTGAGCAGCAACAAGATTTATTGCAAAGAGCAAAAGAACAAAGCTTCCACAGTGTGGAAGGGGACCCCAGCGGGTTGCCACTGCTGACTCGGGCAGCCTTCTTTTATTCTCTTACCTGGCCCCACCCACATCCTGCTGATTGGTCCATTTTACAGAGAGCATGAGTGGTCTGTTTTGACACGGCGCTGATTGGTGCATTTACAATCCGTGAGCTAGACACAAAGGCTCCCCACGTCCCCACTAGATTAGCTAGATACAGAGCGTCCACAGAAAGGTTCTCCAAGTCCCCACCATAATGGCTAGATACAGAGTGTCTATTGTTGCATTCACAAACCCTGAGCTAGACACAGGGTGCTGATTGGTGTGTTTACAAACCTTGAGCCAGATACTGAGTGCCGATTTGTGTATTTACAATCCCTTAGCTAGACATAAAGGTTCTACAAGTCCCCATCAGACTCAGGAGCCCAGCTGGCTTCACCCAGTGGATCCTGCACAAGAGCCGCAGGTGGAGCTGCCTGCCAGTCCCTCTCCATGTGCCCACACTCTTCATCCATTGGGTGGTCAATGGGACTGGGTGGCGTGGAGCAGGGGGCGGTGCTCATCTGGGAGGCTCGGGCCGCACAGGAGCCCACGGAGGGGGGAGGCTAAGGAATGGTGGGCTGCAGGTCCTGAGCCCTGCCCCGCAGGGAGGCAGCTAAGGCATGGCAAAAAGTCCAGCACAGCAGCTGCTGGCCCAGGTGCTAAGCCCCTCACTGTCCGGGGCCGGTAGCTCCTAGCGCGGGGCTGCCAAGCCCACGCCCACCCGGAACTCCAGCCGGCAGGCAAGCAGCGCGTGTAGCCCCGGTTCTGGCTCACGTCTCTCTCTCCACACCTCCCTGCAAGCTGAGAGAGTCAGCTCCGACCTTGGCCAGCCCAGAAAGGGGCTCCCACTGTGCAGCCACGGGCTGAAGTGCTCGTCAAGTGCCGCCAAAGTGGGAGCCCAGGCAGAGGAGGCACCGAGAGCGAGCAAGGGCTGTGAGGGCTGCCAGCACGCTGTTACCTCTCATAAGGAGTGATTAATCTGAGCTTCTCCAGAAAGTCCATTCCTGGTGGGCACTGGGAATAAGAAATCTCAGAGTATTAAAAAAATCAAGTGGTAGCACTTTTGCGAATGGCTCCCAAATTAGATCCTTTACTTTTTTTTTTTTTTCATGAAGCACGGTTGCCCAAAACACACTTAGCCTGAGATGAAGCACATATTAGAGAAAGGTTCTCTCTATAGCATTATGTATTACTCGAATGAGCATTAAAAAGAGGAGATGTGACATGCTCTCTCTAGCTATTATTACCTGCACTATAGAGTTGACATACACAAGCTCATTATTGCATTATGTTTTATTCAACAAAATAACTTTAATGTTGAAGCTTAAATTGAATTCGCTAAAACATCTTTGTCTCCAGCATACTGTGCCTCAAGTGTCTTCTTGGTGTCTGAATTTTCTCCAGAATTATCGTGCTGAAGCTATGGAAATGGTGAAATTATATGCAATCTGAAAAACAATGTGGCTATAACATGGTAATTGGCCTTCCACATAATTAAAGGAACATTTCCTCATCAGAGCTGTTCCATCAGAGACCCAAAGGCTATCGTTGTACAAATCACCCACTTAGGAAAACCTTTATTCCCAGTAGCCTATAAAAATCTGGTTATGCAAACAGATTTGCTTATTCAGTAACATTAATGGCTTCTCATATTTAAAAAGTCATCAATGTGATTGGCCTATAATCTGTTTCCTCTGTGACCAAGTGTCATTTTTATTTTGACAGTTAGGAGCCTTTTGACTCTTTCACAGCTGGCATGAGGCACAGGGAGGGAAATCTCAAAAACCAACAACCTGTGTATTCCCAGCCTATTCATCAATAGAAAATCACTTCAACTGGATTACGGTCTTGTACCTGGCAGAAAGGCTGTTATGGACATTGGAATTGGATTTTTACACTTGATATGACACCTCCTTGAGTCAGATCAGATTCGTGTTTGATAGACTCTTGCCGAAAAATTGCTCCAGGGTCTGTGCAGTAGCTAAAGCCTTTTTGTTGTTGTTGTTTTAAAAGCAGCATTAAATGTTTTCATGAAGACCTTCCCAGCAGTTATTTTATTGGGAATATGGTCTTTAGCTCTGGTCCTGAATAACTCACACTGAGGAAACCTCTAACAAGTGTTTTATTGGAAGATGTCTGATGGATGGTTGGTTTTAATAACAAATCTCTTCCCTTTTTCTGTCCCCTGTGTTCTATTCTCCTTTCTCTACACATTATTCTGGGAGGATTCACCTATTCTCAAAGTCCTTTCCTCTTTATTTCCATTCCAGAGCTCTCTGTATAACTCCAGGCTGATGAATCCAACGGCCCAGTTGTTATCTCTACTTGGCAGTCTTTCTTGCATTGACCTCATCTTACCTTGCCTCTCCTGATTTCCTCTTCTGCCTGGGCTCACCACGTCAGATTCACACCACCATCCACCCAGCGTCCAAAACAGCTGGGCCTCCTCCTTCATTCCTCCCTCTTTCTCAGTCAAGTTAGTCTACTGTCTCCTCTCCATCCTCACTGCCACAGCCTTGGTCCAGCCAACCATCTTGTCTCACTTGGTGTATTGCAGCCTCCTACCTGGTCTACTTACCTCCCACTCTCCTCCAGCCAGGCTGCTCTTGTTCTAGCAGAAAGTGGATCATTACTCCCCTGCCTAAAGACATCTACTGTCTCCCTTTGTCTACAGGATAAACACGACAAAGAGCCTTTAAGATTTGGCTCCAACTTACCTCTATATTAGTCACTTTTTATAATTATATGAACATCTCTCAGCTCCTCACCCTCTCACATCTCGATTTGTGCACATGCTCTTCCCTCTGCTGGGAATGATCTTCCTCACCTCTCCTATCGACCTGGCTAGTTCCTACCATTTTCTAGTCTTCAACCGAGGAGTCCTGTGATGGAGAAGGATTTCTCATCACCTGATAGAGATTGCATGCCCACCCACCTCCAGGCTTTTATTTATTTATTTGACAGAATTTCGCTCTGACCATGCAGGCTGGAGTGCAGTGGCGCGGTCTTGGCTCACTGCAATCTCTGCCTCCCAGGTTCAAGCAATTCTCCCACCTCAGCCTTCTGAGTATCTGGAATTACAGGTGCCCGCCACCACATCTGGCTAATTTTTTTTTGTATTTTTAATAAAGACAGGATTTCACCATGTTGGCCAGGCTGTTTTCGAACTCCTGGCCTCAAGTGATCCACCCACCTTGGCCTCCCAAAGTGCTGGGATTACAGGCAAGAACAACTGCACCTAGCCAATCGGGTGCCCCTTCTATTTGCTGCCATTGCCCCAGGCATACTTTCACCATAACTCTTACCATTCTGAGTTGAAAATGATTTTTTTTTTTTGCTTTTTATTTCTCTCATTAAATGCAAAGCTCATTGAAAAGAGGACAGTGGTTGTTCACTGTTGTACTCCTAACCTTTGACTCAGTGTCCTGAGGTTGGCTCTAGAGCTGTGCACACATGTTCAGACATTGGAGCACATCTTGTCTAGCACCTCTTTTGAGGTGGCTTGGAGAAAAGTCAGTAGGTACCTCCCTAAGGATGAAACAGAAGCTTCACCTAAACCAGTTTTTCAACTTCAGCCTGCATTAGAATCCTCTGACAGCTTGTTAAAAATACCGTCTCCTAGAGCCCACTCTTCAAGAGTCGGTGAGTTTCTTCATCATCAAAATATATACAGAATTCAGGCAGTCTTCAGTGCCAGCCTGGTCTGAGCCACTATGGACTCCCACCTGCAGAATCTCCCTGCTGGTCTCCTTGCTTCTGCTGTTACCTTCTTATTACCCATTCAAGTAGCCAGGGTGATCCTTTTAAAAAAATTTTTAAATTTGTTTGAGATGAAGTCTCACTCTGTTGCCCAGGCTGGAGTGCAGTGGTGCTGTCTCAGCTCGCTGCAACTCTACCTCCTGGGCTCAAGCCATCCTCCCACCTCAGCCTCCTGGGTAACTGGGACCACAGACATACACCGCCACACCCGGCTAATTTTTGTATTTTTTGTAAAGACACGGTCTTGCTATGTTGCCCAGGCTAGTCTTGAACTTCTGTGTGCACCCACCTCAGCCTCCTGCATTTTTAGGAGGCCCCTCTTGTAGGGATTTTGATCCAGAGGCCTGGGTGCCTCATGTCTCCTCCCATCTCTCTCTGTCTTTCTGTCTCTGTCTCTCTTTCTCTTTGCCTTATAGCTGCCCTGGGGACTAGACTCTGCCTTAGGCATCCCTCTGACTCTTGTTTGCTTTTACACTGAGGCTGCTTTAAGTGGCACCTTGATCCGAAGCCTTGGACTTCTGTTCCTATTCCTTGCTTTTGTCGGAAGGGCCGTGCAGCTTCTTGACAAATTGCAAAGGTGCCCACGAGTTTCCAAGTCCCCAAGAACGAAACCAGATGACAAACAAAGATGCAGCCCACAGCTGGGGAGACAGATTTCATGTCCACACAGAGACTCCAAGATGCTGAACTGAAATCCACCCTGGAACCTGTTTTCTCTCTCATTTAAGTTCAATGTCAGCTGGGGGCTTGCAGGGCAGGGCTGGTGACCATTCTCAGGGCAAAGATGCTTCGAAAGGGCAACTGAGAATGGTGTGGTGGTTGACAGATGGCACGTCAGAGCATAGATTAACATGGAAAGAGAAACTCAGCCCTTGGGGGGAATGTGTGAGGCTGGCAGCCACACAGAGGGCTTTTCCTGCGAGCTCTTGCACAGATGCAAACAGCCAGGAGGTTTTGCTTTCTGAGCCTGAGTGGAAGCATGTTCCTCCCTGCACATTGCCGCTCTGCAGCAAATGTTTATTCCTGTTGCATTGATTAAAACTGCTTACCAGGCCGGGCACTGTGGCTCACGCCTGTAATCCCAGCACTTTGGGAGGCCGAGGCAGGCAGATCACAAGGTCAGGAGATTGAGACCATCCTGGTTCACACGGTGAAACCCCATCTCTACTAAAAATAAAAAAAATAGCCGGGCATGGTGGAGGGCGCCTGTAGTCCCAGGTACTTGGGAGGCTGAGGCAGGAGAATGGAATGAACCCAGGAGGCGGGGCTTGCAGTGAGCCGAGATTGTGCCACTGCACTCCAGCCTGGATGACAGAGCAAGACTCCGTCTCAAAAAAACAAAGTGCTTACCGAAGGGGTTTGAGGGCAGTGGTGACAGTGTGTATTATGGCTTTGCCGGCTGCCAGTGGAGCCAGCCGCTCTGCACAGCCGTGCAAGTGTGTTTTCAAAAGTGGCTCAGCCAGCCAGGAGTGACTGGCTGTAAATATTGCTGCCACAACATCTTGTAGCCTGATTGGGGCCGTGTTTGCAGAACCCCTAAACCACTACACTTGTTCAGGCTTAAAAATAAGCTTACTTTTTTTTGTTTGTTTTGTTTTGTTTTATGAGATGGAGTCTTGTTCTGTCACCGGGTTGGAATGCAGTGGCATGATCTTGGCCCACTGCTACCTCTGCCTCCTACGTTCAAGTGATTCTCCTGCCTCAGGCTCCCGAGTAGCTGGGACTACAGGGGTGTGTCATCATGGCCAGCTAATTTTTGAATTTTTAGTACAGACGGGGCTTCACCATGTTGGCCAGGATGGTGCGATCTCTTGACCTCGTGATCTGCCCGCCTTGGCTTCCCAAAGTGCTAGGATTACAGGCGTGAGCCACCGTGCTTGGTCAAACATAAACTTACTTTCTTACCTCTTCTGCTGAACTCTATTTGCTTCTTTTCTCAACTTCTGCTGAACTCTATTTTGCTTCTTTTTTCTGGATAAAGCTCTTCTTTATCCAGAAGAGCTTTTAGCAACAAAGTTACCCAATGCCCTTCCCTAGTCTCTCCTTGCAACAGGCGGAGGGGGGGAGGGGGGGAAGGGGTTGTTAGGAGGAAATCCTTGACAGAACCAATTTACATGACTGTTTGGAGGACTCTCGCTAGCCCCAGGAGGTGTTTGCATTTTTAAATTGGTTACTAGTGTCAGAATGTTTCATGAGTAAGAGCACAGCCTCTAAGTTGGATACCCTGAATTTAAATCTCAACATGGCCATTTTGCATATAACCAGAGGTTGGATTTGGAGACCCAATGGGTCTACCATGACATGAACTTGCACCAACATTCCCCTGACCTCCAAAATGCCTATTCTGACTGGTAGACCCTAGTCTCAGCCTAGTGCCAGTTCAGAGCCTGTGTCCAGTGATCCTGCACAGGTCCCATTAGTTCCTTTTCTCCTATTCAGTCATCCTGGTAAAAGGCTGTGTATTCCCTTGGGCGCAGGCTGGGAGAAAGATTGACAGTATTAATTTGTGGCAGTGGAGCAGAGTCCTTTCTGGAGGGGACCTGGCTTCCCATTCAGACAAGGGAATCCGGGTCTGTGAACTGGCTTATGTCTGGGAATTGACTGGGGACTGTGACTCTGTTTTTATGATTCAGATTAGACTTCTGCTCACCTGACCTAGAACTCTTCTGCAAACACAGATCCAGTAAAAATGTGCAGGCTTCTTATCTATTTCACTTCTAGGAATGCCACGATCAGCTGGCACCATAGGTCTCTGCGAGTCAGGCTATTCTGGTTGCAGCTTTGACTTTGCTGTCTTTTATGGTAACTGCATCCACCTTGCCTTTGGGGATTGAGTGCTCTGATCACTTGGCCCCAGCCCCTGTAGTGTGCCTATGTCACTTAACCTCTTTATACCTCAGTTTCCTCCTCTATAAAATGGGCATCCTCATTGCACCCACCCCCAGGGCTGCTGTGAGGTATAGATGGATTAACATATGGAAAGTAATAGAAGAGGGTCTCAAAGCCCATGTGTCGTTATCAGAATTATTTCATGATGGGGAAAGCTGGAGGAGAGAGGAAGGTGCTGAGCAGACCCACGTGCTCTCCCACCAGTGTTTCCTGAGCACCTACTATGTGCTGCCCACTGTGAGAGCTGTTAGGGTTGAAATAGGGAGCACAGAAGGGTAGGGGCTGCAATCAGGAGCTTAGTTGGGAGACCGTTGTGCAACATGGTTCCAGAGCTTGGGGTGGGGAAGCTCAGGGAGTACAGGTGGCTAGGATCCTGGACAGAATCATGGAAAGGACACAGTAGCCCCAGCCTCTCCTGCCTACTCTGCCTCCCTGGCCTCCTCTGCTTCCCTGGCCTCTCCTGCCTTCCTGGCTTCCCCTTCCGCCCTGGCCTCCCCAGTCTCCCCTGTCTCTCCTGCTTTTGAGGTGGGCCAGGAGCTGCTGGTGCTCACTTAGCCTGTCCTGGATTCTGGGTGTAGCACTTCGATGTCCAGAAAATACCCCTGGGTTCAGCTCATCACACAACCTAGGAAGGAGCTCCACACTGACACTAAGGGTGCATCCTGGGCTCATTCATCAGGGCATGCCTCCAAAATATTTCTCCACGTCTCCTCCCTTTGCCCACCTGCATTGTCTCTGTGCCTCAGCCCCAGCTGGGGGCCTGCAAGGATCCCCTATCTCCTCTGCCCCTGCACGGCTCGGTCCCAGGCAACCTGTCCGCCCACCACGCCTCTCTCACCTTGCCCACCACGCTCCAGACCCACAGTCCTCTTTCTGCTTCTTTCCCAGCCTCTGGGCTTTTGCACACGCTGTTCCCTCTACCTGAACACCCTCCACTGGGCTGAGAACAACTCTCTGAGGCCTCTCTCAGCTGTTGCTTCCTTTGGAACAGCCGCTGCTGCTGTCCCTCTCCCAGCTCCAAGACCGGTTGAGCCTCCTGTCTTTTTCAGTTCCCATGCCCCCAGCACTTCTCCTTGGCCTCCTTTTGCCCAATTGACAATGTCCATTCTCAATGCCTTCTCACCCAGCGCTGAGCCCCACTGGGTGAAGGCAATGCCTGTCATGTTCACCACAATATCCCCTCCCCCATCACCACGACTGGTCCACAGTGATGCTCAAAAAAGATCTGTTGGTAGGCAATGCGAAGGTGCATTCATGTCATCCTGCAGGCGGAATTCTCCACGAGTTTTGAGCAGCCTCGGGTTTCCCACCTCCAAATCATGGAAGACACACGGTAAGAGCAAAGACAAGGTGGCTGTGGCCGATGTCCACCATCTCGGGGCGTCCTTTCTCTTCTCTCCTCCTTGGGCAGGGAGACCATCGGGGTGCAACCTGGCTGGGGCGGGGAGGAGGTGCAGGGCCTGGCCAGAGCGGGCCTGGCCACGGGCAAGGGACAGCGACCTCCTGGGTCAGGACAGGTGAGAACGGCGCAGGCCCGGGAACGGCGTGGCGGCGGTGCGCGTGAGCGGCCAGCAGAGGGCGCCAGAGAGCCAGGAGCGGCCCGCGGAGGAGCCCGCGCCGGCTCCGATGCCCAGCTCCGCGCCGCGCGGACCCAACGAGCCCGCGCTCAGACGCCCCAGCTCCGCCGAGAGGCCGCTCGCTCCGGGTCCTTCTTCCCCAACTGCAGGCAGAGCCCCCGGAGTCATGGCCAGGCCTTCCGGCAGCTCCGAAGTCACTGGCAAGCCCCGAGGCAGGGATGGCCGGCCCAGGAGGGAGGAGGACGACGTCCCTCCCTACGAGAAGAGGCTGCGGCTGTTGCTGGAGGGGGGAAGCGCACAGCCCGAGGACAGGGAGGACGCGCCGCGGCCGGGCAGGGAGGAGACCGGCACCCAGACAGGTGGCGACGGCAGAGGAGTAAGTGACGCGGGCGCGGGGGTCCGGGGGTGCCGGGGACGCGGGGTAGAGGTGGCGGGAGGCTCCGTGGCCGACCCCGGGTTGAAGATGGGAGGGCGGCCTTCATTCTGAACCCATTAGGCAGCACGGGCAGCCCTCCTCGCCGCGGGCTGCATCAGAGCCCCCCTGCCCAGTCTTGGGGTTGCTCCTGGATGCTGTCTGGGAGGCTTGCTCATGGTGACATCCTCATCTCCCCGTGCACGTTACCGCATTCAGAGCTTGGGTCACCTGGACACTGAACTCAGGTGAATTTTCTCTGAGATCCCGAAAGAAGGACAGTTCTCAGGAAGGTTTTCCAGGGCCGATCACGGAAAGGATGAGAAGGGAGAGGTCCTGGTCGGGAACACAATTACGGTGACAGTGTAACACCAGGAAACTTTATTGCGTGAAGTCCCTCTCACTCCCTCTACCTCCCTCTTTTACGTGGACTCTGCCAAAGACCAGGATACCAGAATGCAGTGGAGTGACCAAGTGTAGTGGGACCTTGGGAACGCGAGTCTGGAGCCAGGCGGCTGGGGTTTGCATCCTGGTTCTGCCCCTCCTTAGCTGGCTGACATGGCACAAGCCACTTACCCTCTCTGAGCCTTACTGTCTTCAGTGGCAAATGGATCTGTCAACAGGCCCCATTGCCTGGGGTTGTTACTGCTGAGATTAAGGGAAGCTCGTCCATAGAAGCACTTAGCGTTGTGCCTGGCACATAGTGTATGGTGGATAAATGAGACTTAGGACTAAAACTCATGCCCTGGTGTGTTTTTGCAGTGATGTTTTGTTCTGGGGTGCATTACAAGAGACAAGGTTCTTGGCTGGGCATGGTGGCTCAAGCCAATAATCCCAGCACTTTGAGAGGCCGAAAGGGGAGGATCGCTTGAGCCCAGGAGTTTAAGACCAGCCTGGGCACGGTGGTGAAGCCTCATATCAACCAAAAATAAAAAAATAAAAAATAAAGCCAGGTATGGTGGTGTGTGCCTGTAGTCCCAAGTACTTTGGAGGCTGAGGTGGGAGGATTGCTAGAGTCTGGAAGGTCGGGCTGCAGTGAGCTGTGGTCATGCCACTGCACTCCAGCCTGGGTGACAAAGTGAGACTCTGTTTCAAGGAAAAGAGAGAGAGAGAGACAGACAGATCCACAAGAGTCTTAAGCCAGAATCTTCATGTTAAAATGCCTTCTGGAGGCTAAAAGGATGATATGTTGATAATGAAATATTTAAAAGTCAGAAACGCCACTGAATTTTTTGGTCCACAGAGGGAAATGGGAATCGCATGACCTGAAGGATGATGGAGGAACTGAACAGAAACCATCCTTGTTTCCTGAATCTGAAAGTGGCACCCTCTTTTCACGTTGTCTGTATCTGCTCAGTCCGGCGGCCCCTCGAAAAGAGGCAATCTTGATTTTCAAACTTAAAATTTGGCCCAAAGCCCACTGCTGCCCACAATGCCATCCAGACACATTCCTCTTCCCTTTTAGTTTCTATGGGAATACTCTCTTTGAAGAACCCATGAAGCAGTGTCAGGCTGGTGTGAGGATCAGCAGTGATTTCTTTGAGGAGGAGAGCCCGTTTCTTCACTCACAGGCCATGTCTGAGTGGATCAAGAAGAACAGAGTGCCCTTTTATGAGATTTTGTCTGCGTAGACCATTAGCTTGGTAAAAATGTCAAAACCATCTTCGTTCTTTAATAGCAGATTATTTTGGACTTTTCTCTGCAAGAAGCAGCATGGGCATTCAGATGCTTTTAAGGATAAAATGTTCTTTCTCATCACCAGGCCTGGTGCTCTGGATGGCTGAGGTTTTAATGTGACTTGGTGTTCCTTGGAGTGGCTCCCAGGCTGTGCTCTTGTGGTTGGGTGGCAAGGGGTTGCTTTATTCGGTGGTGGCTAGAGGAGGTTTTAGCAGATAAATCGGGACCCCAGGAGCCCCTGAGTGTCAAGTCCTGCTGCAGGGCATGTGTTTATGGTGGGGAGGTGGGGGGGGGGTGGAGGGTGGGGGCATTGATTTCCTGCCAATATCAGAAGTTTCACAGGCTTCTTGTGTATCCACAAACACCCACCCCATTGAGAAGGCCTAGAAAACCTGGCCCTCCCCAAGCCTTTATTGACCACTTGTGAATGATCCCAAGGTGTGTCTGACCCACAGCTCCTCCTGGAGGGAGAGAAAAGTCTCTCCTAGGTATTTGGTTATCAACCTCAACCACTTGCTGAGCCTTCCCCAAGACCAGGCATCTTGGCAGAGATTTCTGGGTTGTCAGGCAGAACCGAGCATTCGAGAGTAATAACTCACTGGAGTCCCTGAAATCCCTGATGGACGCACCTGGTAAAAGCATCCAGGGTTGAAACCAGATCAGGAAGGTTATTGTCAGCCTGGGGCTCCTGTAGAGGTGCATCCACATTGCAGGGATTTTCCTTCTTGCTGAGGAGAAACCTGGGTTTCTCAGCTTTGGCACAGTCACAACACTTGGGGTGAGACCATTCGTGGTGGTGGGGGAGGGGCTGTCCCATGTATTGTAGGATGGTTAGCAGCATCTGTGGTCTCCATCCTCTAGGTGCCATTCTACCCTCCCAGCTATGGCTACCCCAGATGTCTTCAGATGGTTTCAAATGCCGTGGGGCAAGGGAGTGGTACGTGAGCAAAACCACCCCAGTTGAGAGCCATTGGTCTACACTTGTGGAAATGTTTGAGGGTGAGAGTGTCGAGCTTGGGTCCCTGCTGTACCCTTTATGAGCAATGCGGTCTTGGAAAATTAATAGTACTCCAGGGGCCTCAGTTTTCTCATCTATAAAATGGAGATAAATGAGATACACTTTCATAGGAAGGTTATATGGGATTTACTGAGATAATAAGACAGTACATGGAAAATACTGGGCATAGCATTTATTTATTTTAATTTTTTTTTAAGACAGAGTCTTACTCTGTTGCCCAGGCTGGAGTGCAGTGTCATGATCTCCGCTCACTGCAACCTCCACCTCCTGGGCTCAAGTGATTCTCCTGCCTCAGGCACCCGAGTAAGTGGGACTACAGGTGTGCGCCATCATGCCCACCTAATTTTTGAATTTTTAGTATAGACAGGGCTTCACCATGTTGGCCAGGATAGTCTGATCTCCTGACCTCATGATCTGCCCACCTCACCCTTCCCAAGTGCTGGTATTACAGCCATGAGCCACCATGCCTGGCCAAACATAAACTTACTTTCTTACCTCTTCTGCTGAACTCTATTTGCTTCTTTTCCCACATGTCTTTATCCAGAAGAGCTTTTAGCAACAAAGTTACCCAATGCCCTTCCCTAGTCTCTCCTTGCAACTGGCTCTCAGCAGGGGGTGGGAGGAAATCCTTGACAGAACCAATTTACATGACTGTTTGGAGGACTCTCGCTAGCCCCAGGAGGTGTTTGCATTTTTAAATTGGTTACTAGTGTCAGAATGTTTCATGAGTAAGAGCCCAGCCTCTATGTTGGATGCCCTGAATTTGAATCTCAGCATTGCCGCTTTGTATATAACCAGAGGATGGATTGGGGGACCTAATGGATCTACCATGACATGAACTTGCACCAACATTCACCTGACCTCCAAAATGCCTATTCTGACTGGTAGACCCTAGTCTCATCCTAGTGCCAGTTCACAGCCTGTGTCCAGTGATCCTGCACAGGTCCATTAGTTCCTTTTCTCCTGTTCAGTCATCCTGGTAAAAGGCTGTGTATTCCCTTGGAGGCAGGCTGGGAGAAAGATTGACAGTATTAATTTGTGGCAGTGGAGCAGTGTCCTTTCTGCAGGGGACCTGGCTTCCCATTCAGACAAGGGAATCCGGGTCTGTGAACTGGCTTATGTCTGGGAATTGACTGGGGACTGTGACTCTGTTTTTATGATTCAGATTAGACTTCTGCTCACCTGATCTAGAACTCTTCTGCAAACACAGATCCAGTAAAAATGTGGCAGGCTTCTTATCTATTTCACTTCTAGGAAAGCCACGATCAGCTGGCACCGTAGGTCTCTGAGAGTCAGGCTATGCTGGTTGCAGCTTTGACTCTGCTGTCTTTTATGGTAACTGCATCCACCTTGCCTTTGGGGATTGAGTGCTCTGATCACTTGGCCCCAGCCCCTGTAGTGTGCGTATGTCACTTACCCTCTTTATACCTCAGTCTCCTCCTCTGTAAAATGGGCATCCTAATAGCACCCACCCCCAGGACTGCTGTGAGGTATAGATGGATTAGCATATGGCAAGTAATAGAAGAGGATCTCAAAGTCCATGTGTCGTTATCAGAATTATTTCATGATGGGGAGAGCTGGAGGAGAGAGGAAGGTGCTGAGCAGACCCACGTGCTCTCCCACCAGTGTTTCCTGAGCACCTACTATGTGCTGCCCACTGTGAGAGCTGTTAGGGTTGAAATAGGGAGCACAGCAGGGTAGGGGCTGCCATCAGGAGCTTAGTGGGGAGACCGTTGTGCAACATGGTTCCAGCACTTGGGGTGGGGAAGCTCAGGGAGTACAGCGGCCTAGGATCCTGGGCAGAAACATGGAAAGGACACAGCCGCCCCAGCCTCTCCTGCCTCCCCTGCCTCCCTGGCCTCCTCTGCTTCCCTGGCCTCTCCTGCCTTCCTGGCTTCCCCTTCCGCCCTGGCCTCCCCAGTCTCCCCTGTCTCTCCTGCTTTTGAGGTGGGCCAGGAGCTGCTGGTGCTCACTTAGCCTGTCCTGGACTCTGGGTGTAGCACTTCGATGTCCAGAAAATACCCCCCAGTTCAGCCCATCACACAACCTAGGAAGGAGCTCCACACTGACACTAAGGGTGCATCCTGGGCTCATTCATCAGGGCATGCCTCCAAAATACTTCTCCACGTCTCCTCCCTTTGCCCACCTGCATTGTCTCTGTGCCTCAGCCCCAGCTGGAGGCCTGCAAGGATCCCCTATCTCCTCTGCCCCTGCACGGCTCGGTCCCAGGCAATCTGTCTGCCCACCACACCTTTCTCCTCTTGCCCACCACGCTCCAGCCCCACAGTCCTCTTTCTGCTTCTTTCCCAGCCTCTGGGCTTTTGCACAGGCTGTTCCCTCTGCCTGAACACCCTCCACTGGGCTGAGAACAACTCTCTGAGGCCTCTCTCAGCTGTTGCTTCCTTTGGAACAGCCGCTGCTGCTGTCCCTCTCCCAGCTCCAAGACCTGCTGAGCCTCCTGTCTTTTTCAGTTCCCATGCCCCCAGCACTTCTTCTTGGCCTCCTTTTGCCCAATTGACAATGTCCATTCTCAATGCCTTCCCACCCAGCGCTGAGCCCCACTGGGTGAAGGCAATGCCTGTCATGTTCTCCACAATATCCCCTCCCCCATCACCACGCCTGGTCCACAGTGATGCTCAAAAAAGATCTGTTGGTAGGCAATGGGAAGGTGCATTCATGTCATCCTGCAGGCGGAATTCTCCACGAGTTTTGAGCAGCCTCGGGTTTCCCACCACCTCCAAATCATGGAAGACACAGGGTAAGAGCAAAGACAAGGTGGTTGTGGCCGATGTCCACCATCTCGGGGCGTCCTTTCTCTTCTCTCCTCCTTGGGCAGGGAGACCATCGGGTGCAACCTGGCTGGGGCGGGGAGGAGGTGCAGGGCCTGGCCAGAGCGGGCCTGGCCACAGGCAGGGGACAGCGACTGCTTGGGCCTGGGCAGGTGAGAGCCGGGCAGGCCAGTACCCGGCGTGTCCGCGGTGCGCGCAAGCGGCCGGCAGAGGGCGCCAGAGAGCCAGGAGCGGCCCGCGGAGGAGCCCGCGCCCGCCGGGATGCCCAGCCCCGCGCCGCGCTGACCCACCGAGCCCTCGCTCAGACGCCCCAGCTCCGCCGAGAGGCCGCTCGCGCCGGGTCCTTCCTCTTCCCCAGGTGCAGGCAGAGCCCCCGGAGTCATGGCCAGCCCTTCCGGCAGCTCCGAAGCCACTGGCAAGCCCCGAGGCAGGGATGGCCGGCCCAGGAGGGAAGAGGACGACGTCCCTCCCGAAGAGAAGAGGCTGCGGCTGTTGCTGGAGGGGGGAAGCGCAGAACCTGAGGACTGCGAGGACGGGGAGGACGTGCCGCGGCCAGGCAGGGAGGAGACCGGGACCCAGACAGGTGGCGACGGCAGAGGAGTAAGTGACGCGGGCGCGGAGGTCCGGGGGTGCCAGGGGCGCGGGGTAGGGGCGGCGGGAGGCTCCGGGGCCGGCCCTGGGTTGAAGTTGGTAATTGAGCTGCAAGTCCGGCGGGCGCGGAGTGACAGCTCGTGACGGCCTCCGAGACGCCAGCTGCCCCTTCTCGGCTGTGTGGCTTCGACTTCCTGATTCTCCCACGACATCCCTGGCCGGGAGATCCGCTGGACTCTGTGGCTGGCCAAAAGGAGAGGGGGAGCCCCGCGTCCTGGGGGCCCCTAGCAGGGGAAGTGGCGGTTGTTGCGCTGGGCATCCTGTCTGGGGCATCTGTCTGGGACCCTGTCGGTGCCTCTCACCTGGCGAGGGGCCTGTGGTGGGGTAGGGGGGAAGTCCCTGGCGCCAGGCTTGGCCAAGCCCTGCTCTGCTGGGCTGCAGGCTGGTGGCGCTCACCCAGCTCCTCACCTGTCCCGCATCTTCCTGTTTTTCTTCCCTTTCTGGTTGGGCAGCGAGAGTTGAGAGGAGGCAGATGGCTTCCATCCCAGAAATCGCTCTCCTCTTTCCATCCCTACAGAGAGGGACAGAGAGGCAAAGTTCCTTCCATCCCCCGGGCGCTGTCCCTGTGAGCTCCCGGTGTCCTGCACACGTGGGCCCCTGAGTCACCGGGCCTGTGTGTGTGGGATGGGGCTGCGTAGCCAGGCTGGCCTCCTGGGGTTCACTTTGTGCTTTCCTACGCCTACTCTTCCTGTGTGGCTTTGCTGGCCTTCCACTGGGGAGGCACATGGGTTTGGAGGGCAGATGAGGACCCACTGGAGAGCCGTACCCCTCAGTGAGGGCTGCCACCTTGATGGTTTTTGATGGATAATGGGGTTGACCTCTTTGTTCCTTCCACATGTTTTTATGTTTGACCATTTGCTCAGCTGAGCTTGTCTTAATAATTGGATTCGTGGTTAATGAGCCCCACATGGGAGAGAGGGCGGCCTTCATTCTGAACCCATTTAGGCAGCATGGGCAGCCCTCCTCGCCGTGGGCTGCATCAGAGCCCCCCTGCCCAGTCTTGGGGTTGCTCCCGGATGCTGTCTGGGAGGCTTGCTCATGGTGACATCCTCATCTCCCTGTGCACGTTACTGCATTCAGAGCTTGGGTCACCTGGACACTGAACTCAGGTGAATTTTCTCTGAGATCCCGGGAGAAGGAGGACAGTTCTTTCGAAGGTTTTCCAGGGCCGATCACGGAAAGGATGAGAAGGGAGAGGTCCTGGTCGGGGACACAATTACGGTGGCAGTGTAATGCCGGGAAACTCTATTGCATGAAGTCCCTCTCACTCCCTCTACCTCCCTCTTTTACGTGGACTCTGCCAAAGACCAGGATACCAGAATGCAGTAGGGTGACCAAGTGTAGTGGGACCTTGGGAACGCGAGTCTGAAGCCAGGCGGCTGGGGTTTGCATCCTGGTTCTGCCCCTCCTTAGCTGGCTGACATGGCACAAGCCACTTACCCTCTCTGAGCCTTACTGTCTTCAGTGGCAAATGGATCTGTCAACAGGCCCCATTGCCTGGGGTTGTTACTGCTGAGATTAAGGGAAGCTCGTCCATAGAAGCACTTAGCGTTGTGCCTGGCACATAGTGTATGGTGGATAAATGAGACTTAGGACTAAAACTCATGCCCTGGTGTGTTTTTGCAGTGATGTTTTGTTCTGGGGTGCATCACAAGAGACAAGGTTCTTGGCTGGGCATGGTGGCTCAAGCCAATAATCCCAGCACTTTGAGAGGCCGAAAGGGGAGGATCGATTGTGCTCAGGAGTTTAAGACCAGCCTGGGCAATATGGTGAAGCCTCCTATCTACCCAAAAAAAAAAAAAAAAAAAAGCCAGGTATGGTGGTGTGTGCCTGTAGTCCCAAGTACTTTGGAGGCTGAGGTGGGAGGATTGCTAGAGCCTGGAATGTCGGGCTGCAGTGAGCTGTGATCATGCCACTGCACTCCAGCGTAGGTCACAAAGTGAGACCGTTTCAAGGAAAAGAGAGAGAGAGAAACAGACAGACCCACAAGAGTCTTAAGCCAGAATCTTCATGTTAAAATGCTTTCTGGAGGCTAAAAGGATGATATGTTGATAATGAAATATTTAAAAGTCAGAAACCCCACTGAATTGTTTGGTCCACAGAGGGAAATGGGAATCGCATGACCTGAAGGATGATGGAGGAACTGACCAGAAACCATCCTTGTTTCCTGAATCTGAATATGGCACGCTCTTTTCACGGTGCCTGTATCTGCTCAGTCTGGCGGCCCCTTGAAAAGAGGGAATCTTGATTTTCAAACTTAAAAGTTGGCCCAAAGCCCACTGCTGCCCACAATGCCCTCCAGACACATTCCTCTTCCCTTTTAGTTCCTATGGGAATACTCTCTTTGAAGAACCCATGAAGCAGTGTCAGGCTGGTACGAGGATCAGCAGTGATTTCTTTGAGGAGGAGAGCCCGTTTCTTCACTCACAGGCCATGTCTGAGTGGATCAAGAAGAACAGAGTGCCCTTTTATGAGATTTTGTCTGCGTAGACCATTAGCTTGGTAAAAATGCCAAAACCATCCTCGTTCTTTAATAGCAGATTATTTTGGACTTTTCTCTGCAAGAAAAGCAGCATGGGCATTCAGATGCTTTTAAGGATAAAATGTTCTTTCTCATCACCAGGCCTGGTGCTCTGGATGGCTGAGGTTTTAATGTGACTGGATGTCCCTTGGAGTGGCTCCTAGGCTGTGCTCTTGTGGTTGGGTGGCAAGGGGTTGCTTTATTCGGTGGTGCCTAGAGGATGTTTTAGAAGGTAAATGGGGACCCCAGGAGCCCCTGAGTGCCAAGTCCTGCTGCAGGGCATGTGTTTATGGTGGGGATGTGGAGGGTGGGGGCATTGATTTCCTGCCAATATCAGAAGTTTCACAGGCTTCTTGTGTATCCACAAACACCCATCCCATTGAGAAGGCCTAGAAAACCTGGCCCTCCCCAAGCCTTTATTGACCGCTTGTGAATGATACCAGGGTGTATCTGACCAACAGCTCTTCCTGGAGGGAGAGAAAAGTCTCTCCTAGGTATTTGGTTATCAACCTCAACCATTTGCTGAGCCTTCCCCAAGACCAGGCACCTTGGCAGAGATTTCTGGGTTGTCAGGCAGAATGGAGCATTCAAGGGTGATAACTCACTGCAGTCCCTGAAATCCCTGATGGATGCACCAGGTAAAAGCATCCAGGGTTGAAACCAGATGACGAAGGTTATTGTCAGCCTGGGGCTCCTGTAGAGGTGCATCCACGTTGCAGGGATTTCCCTTCTTGCTGAGGAGAAACCTGGGTTTCTCAGCTTTGGCACAGTCACAACACTTGGGGTGAGACCATTCGTGGTGGTGGGGGGGCATCCTGTGTATTGTAGGATGGTTAGCAGCATCTGTGGTCTCCATCCTCTAGGTGCCATTCTACCCTCCCGGCTATGGCTACCCCAGATGTCTCCAGACGGTTTCAAATGCCATGGAGCAAGGGAGTGGTACGTGAGCAAAACCACCCCAGTTGAGAGCCATTGGTCTACACTTGTGGAAATGTTTGAGGGTGAGAGTGTCGAGCTTGGGTCCCTGCTGTACCCTTTATGAGCAATGCGGTCTTGGAAAATTAATAGTACTCCAGGGGCCTCAGTTTTCTCATCTATAAAATGGAGATAAATGAGATACACTTTCATAGGAAGGTTATATGGGATTTACTGAGATAATAAGACAGTACATGAAAAATGCTGGGCATAGCATTTATTTATTTATATGTCTTTTAAAGATGGAGTCTTACTCTGTTGCCCAGGCTGGAGTGCAGTGGCATGATCTCCGCTCACTGCAACCTCCACCTCCTGGGCTCAAGTGATTCTCCTGCCTCAGCCTCCCGAGTAAGTGGGATTACAGGTGCCCACCACCACACCTGGCTAATTTTTGTATTTTTAGTAGAGATGGGGTTTCACCATGTTGGCCAGGCTGGTCTCAAACTCCTGACCTAAGGTGATCCACCTGCCTCGGCCTCGCAAGGTGCTGAGATCACAGGTGTGAGCCACCACGCTGGGCTGGGCATAGCATTGTAACACAGACAAAGCACAAAATACTTGGGCAATATCTTTTTACATTTAGCTTGTCTAGACTCCATCCTCCATTCCCTCATGCACTGGTGTGGTGCAGACCAGAATATCACCCACCTAGACTGCAGAGTGTATTTGGGTGGCATCTTGGCTTTCTGCACAAGACTTGCCTGTTCCCCACCACATCCCCCTGGTTCTCAGGGTCCAGGATTCCAGGAGGCAGGGATGTGGGCAGGCAGGGTAGGTGGCCCACCCAGTTCCATCCCACGCTGGGGACCTGCAGAGCTGGCTGTCCGAGACAGGGTGTTTGGACCAACATCTGGGTTTCTGGATTTCCATTTGAGCACAGCTGGACTACACAGGCTGAAGCTCTCTCTGCCGAGATATAGATATTTCCCTGGTGACGATCTTTCAAGCTGACATGAAGACATGGCCACCCACTGGAATGTCGTGTGTCTGCTGTGGCGCCCTTGTAATTTGTGAGGCAGGCTCCTGAGGAATGCAGTGCATAAGTGGGAAATGGTGGGAAGTTCTCCCATCCCCCCCGGACGAAAGTGCTGCCTGCGCAGGTTGGTGGACGGTCCTTTGAGCAGGAAGAAGACATGAAGCACATTCCTGTTAGCTATGACAGAGAGGGGCAGGGTACACACTGGACATTTCGCACCCTTCCAAAGAAGCAAGTCTTACTATGCTGGGAGTACTTGTGGAGTGGGGGCTGTGTTGCCCTGGGCTTTAATTATTTCAGGAACATTTAACCACAGGGCAAGCAGGCTGGATCTTGATATGTGTTTCTCAGTTGGAAAGACTTTGGACCATAGGGAGATGTCTTCTCAATTCTTTTAATTTCATTAAGGTGGTCATTTTTCTTCCCGTGGCCTCTGGATTGTGACACAGAACTCAAGGGACAGGAAGGAGATGAGTTGGAGGCTGGGACAGGGGTCCCTGCCAGGGATGCTGGTGACTCACATGACGGTGTTGATGTGTGGAGTCCAGTGCCTGGTTTGGGGAATGTTCGTGGGATATGTTCCAAAGGACCGACGGACCTATCAGGTACTGGAGGTGAATGGTCAAGTCTGATCTCAGGGCTAACAGTGTCTGGAAAGGACAGGAAGTTGATGTTGGACTCATTGGCTGAGGTTGCTGGGGACCTAGGGGGCAATGTGTGCCAGGACAGATAGTTCTGGGGCTAGGAAGGCAGGTTTGGGCTGGAGACCTGGGCTTGGGAGGCATCCCAGGTGGACAGTGGTTGAGGTTGTGGAAATGACCGTGATTGCCTGGGATGAGAGTGGAGACAGACAAGATGGGGGTTTTGCTTTAAAGCCTGGGGAGCCCACCTCCCAGGTTCAAGATATTCTCCTGCCTCAGCCTCCCAAGTAACTGGGAATGCAGGTGCGTGCCACCATGCCTGACTAACTTTTGTATTTTTAGTAGAGATGAGGTTTGGCCAGGCTGGTCTCAAACTCCTGACCTCAAGTGATCGGCCCACCTTGGCCTCCCAAAGTGCTGGGATTACAGGCATGAGCCACCATGCCTGACCATTTTTAAATATTAATTTTTATGAAATATTTTTAAACACATTTTACTGTACATTGGAATAGTCAAGCATGATTTGAAAACTTTATCAAAATCCAATCAAATATCAATTAACCATTTAATTGTGGATAAGTAAGGAGACTGTTTTGACCAGAACATGTTAGAACAATTACCACTTATAGAAATAATCTATGTTTTAATGTTTTAATGTTTTAGTTGAATTAAACAGTCTTTTATATTCTGTCCAGGCGCAGTGGCTCACACCTGTAATCCCAGCTACTTGGGAGGCTGAGGCAGGAGAATCGTTTGCACCTGGGAGACAGAGGTTGCAGTCAGCCGAGATCGCACCACTGTACTTCAGCCAGCCTGGGTGACAGAGCGAGACTCTGTTTCAAAAATAAATAAATAAATAAAATAGAATTCTGAATTTTATTTTTAATAATTATTTTAGTAAAGAGAATGTCTTGTTTTTTGGAGTTGTTGAATTTATTGAATTGGCAAAAATTATGTATAAGAGGTTATACAAAATGACGTGATTGAAGTATGTATACATTACAGAAATGGCTAAATCAAGTTAAATAACACTTCACAATTCAAGATTCCCTCATTTATATAATACTTCATGATTCAAGATTCCCTTATTTTTATAATTATAAATAATTATGCCTTTCCTCCATGAATGTTAGTGGGATTTTTATATTTTTATTGAGATACAATTTACCATAAAATTCATTGCCTTAAAGTGTTCTATTCAGTGGTTATCAGTGTATTCTTAAAATTGTGCACCCCTCACCATTATCTAATTCCAGAATATGTTTATAATCGCAAGAAGAAATCTCTCCTCCTCCCAGTCCTTAGCAACCACTGATCTAATTTTTGTGTCTATGTATATTCGTATTCTGGACATTTACTATGGAGAGAATAATAATTATGTGATCCTTCATGTCTGCCTTCTTTCATTTAGCATAATGTTTTCAAGATTCATCCATGTTGTGGCATAGATTCGTACTTCATTCCTTCATTCAGTGGTCATCAGTATATCCCACTTTAAGAATCCACTGATAGTCACTAAATGGAACACTCTAAAGGAATGAATTTTATAGTAAATTCTATCTCAATAAAAATATAAAACACCAACATTCATGGAGGAAAGGTGTAATTCTGTATAATTATATAAATGATGGAATCTTGAAATACATTTTAAAACGTGCTCTGAGGTAATATGCGCCTCAGAAACGATAAATAAGTCAATTGATAATCTAAATCTCAGGTATAAACCACAGTTTAATATGTATTTATTATAAAGTATTGGTGGATTTTAAAATTAATTTGGGAAAGTTAGATTGATTATTGGTGTTGGTAAAAAAAAATTTCATCGTATGGATTATTTACCATATGGTTGTTTATAACAGACTCTAATGATCCATTGTGTTTCTTTTATATCAGTTGTAATGTCTCCTGTTTTATTTCTGATTTTATTTATTTGGCATTCTCTCTTTTGTTCTTGGTTAGTCTAGCTAGCAGTTTATAAAGTCTGTTTATCTCTTCCAAAAGTCAACTTTTTGTTTCATTAATTCTTTGCATTTTTTAAATCTCGAATTTGCTGAGTTCTGCTCTGATTTTTATTATTTCTTTCCTTCTCCTTAGTTTGGATTTCATTTTTTCTTGATTTTCTTGTTCCTTGAGGTGCATAGTAGCTTGTTCATAATCTTACTATGTTCTTGCAGTAGGCATTTATTGCTATAAAATTCTCTATTAGCACTGTCTTTGTTGTATTCCATAGGTTTTGGTATGTTGTGTTTCCGTTTGCATTTATTTCAAGAACATTTGTTATTTTCTTCTTAATTTTCTCATTGACTCAATGGTTGTTCAGAAGCATGTTGTTTAATTTCCATGTTATCTGTATAGTTTCCAAAGTTCCTCCTAGTATTCATTTCTAGTTCTATTCTATTTTTGTCTAGAATATACTTGATATAATGTTGATTTTTCAAAATTTGTTGAAACTTGTTTTGTGTCTTAACATATGGTCTAGCCTGGAGAATGTTCTATCTGATGAGGAGAAGAATGTGTACTCCACTGCTATTGGATGAAATGTTCTGTAAATGTCTGTTAAGTCTATTTGGTCTGCGGTACAGATTAAATTCGATGATTATTTGTTAGCTTTCTACCTAGAATGCTGAATGTTCAATGCTGAAAGTGGGGTATTGAAGCCCTCAGTTATCATGATGTTGAGGTGTATCTCTCTCTTTACCTCTAATGACATTTTTAATATATCTAAGTATTCCACTACTGGGTACATATATATACATATTTGGAATTTTTATATCCTCTTGCTGAATTGGCCCTTTTATCATTATATGATGGCCTTCTTTGTCTCTTTTTATGTTTTTTTGCTTAAAGTCAATTTTGTCCAATATAAATATAGATGTATTAGGCCATTCTTGCATTGCTATAGGGTTATCATAAGAAAGTACCACAGAATGGGTGCCTTAAATAACAAAAGTTCATTTTCTCACAGTTGTGGATGTTATAAGTCTAAGATCAAGATGTCAGCACATTTGGTTTCTCCTGAGGCCTGTCTTGGCTTGCAGCTGGTTGCCTTCTTGCTATGTCCTCTTATGGCATTTTTTCTGTGCACATGCATTCCTGGTGTCTCTTCCTCTTCTAATAAGGACATCAGCCATATTGCACGAGGGCCATACCCTGGGAGTCTCATTTTAGCTTTATCACTCCTTAAAAAAAAAAACAAACTTATCTTCAAATATGATTACATTCTGAGATACTAAAGATTGGGACTTCAACATACAAATTTTGGAGGAACACTGCTTAGCCCATAACGATGAATTCATCAATAGACTGATATGATCAAGGAAAGAATCGGTGAGCTTAAAGAAGTTTAAATAGCAACTTCCAAAACTTAAAAGCAAAGAAAAAAGAAGTAAAAGAACAGAATATTTAATAAGTGTAGGCCAATTGCAAAAGGAACAATATATGTGTAATGAAGTATCAGGAGGAGGAGAAAGAAAGGAATAGAAGAAATATTTGAAGAAATTCTGACTGAGATTTTCCCAAAATTGAAAATAAACAAAATCTACATATCTAGGAAGCTGAGAGAGTACCAAGCAAGATAAATACAAAAAATTTAAACATAGGCATATTATATTGAAACTGCCAAAAATCAAAGACAAAAAGAAAATCTTAAAAGAAGCCAGGAGGGAAAAAAATCTTTATCTATGGACAACCAAGGATAAGAATTACATCAGACTTCTCTGAAACCACATAAGCAAAAAGAGAGGAAAGTGAAATATTTAAAATGTTTAAAAAAAAAAAGAACACTATCTTAAAACTCTCTACCTAGCAAAATTATCTTTTTTTTTTAGACAGAGTCTCACTTTGTCACCCAGGCTGGAGTGCAGTGGCAGTGACCTTGGCTCACTGCAGCCTCCGCCTCCTGGGTCCAAGCAATCTCATGCCTCAGCCAGCCACCACCACGCCTGGCTAATTTTGTATTTTTAGTAGAGACTGGGTTTCGCTAGGTTGGCCAGGCTGGTCTCGAACTCCTGACCTCAGGTGATCCGCCAGCCTTGGCCTCCCAAAGTGCCAGGATTAAAGGTGCAGGCCACCGCGCCCAGCCTACCCTTTAAATTAAAGTAAAAATACATAATTTTCTTAGGTAAACAAAAATAGAGTTTGTCACCAGTAGTCCTACCTTACAATAAAAGTGAAAAGAAATTCTTCACTCATACTCAATGGTGAAAAACTAAAAGCTTTTCTTCTAAGATCAGGAACAAAGCAAAAGTACCCCTTCTTGCCACATTTATTTAACATGATACTAAAAGTTCTAGCAAGAACAATTAGGCAAGAAAAGGAAATAAATGGCATCCAAACTGTTGGGGGGTGGGAATGAGTAAAATTATCTATTTCCAAATGACATAATTTTTTTGTAAAAAACCCTAAACTTCACTCCCCCAAAATTATTAAAACTAATAACAAATTCAGTAAAGTTGCAGGACAGAAAATCAACATACAAATATCAGTTGTGTTTCTATAGCACTAACAACAAGCAACTGGAAAGCAAGTAAAGAAAATCTCATTCATAATAGCAAGAAAAGGATAAGATACTTAAGAATAAACTTAACCAAAAAGATGAAAGACTGGTACATTAAAAATTGCAGACATTCATGAAAGAAATTAAAGAAGACACAAATCAGTGGAAAGATATCCTATGTTCGTGAATTGGAAGACATAATAATATTAAAATATCCATACTATTCAAAGCAATTTATAGATTATATACAATCCCTATCAAAATCCTAATGGCACTCTTGACAGAAATAGAAAAAACAATCTTAAAATTCATATAAAGCCACAAAGGACCTAGAAGAGTCAAAACAATGAGCAAGAAAAACAAAGCTAGGGGCATCACATTTTCTAATTTCAAAATGTATTATAAAGATAGAGTAATCAAAACTGTGTGCTACTGGCATAAAGACAGACATATAGGCGACTGGAAGAGAATAGAGGGCCCAGAAATCAACTGACACTTATACAGTCAACTGGCCTTCAACAAACATGCGAAGAATATGTAATGGGGAAAAGACGGTTTCTTCAATACATGGTACTGAGAAAACTGAATATTCACATGCAAAAGAATAAAACTGGGCCTGTATCTTACACTACACACAAAAAGCAACTCAAAATGAACTACACATTTAAACATAATTACCTGAGACTGTAAAACTTATAGAAGAAAACATAAGGAGAAACTTTCATGATGTTGGTCATGGCAATTATTTTAACTTATAAATTGTAACAAAAGGATTTGGGAAGGACTGGTAGGTTTAAAGGGAATAGTTATGGGAGATTATGGGTTATAGGCTCCTGTGCATATCTCAGTAACTTCCTCAGTAAAGAAGACATGGCCTTGAGCCCGAATACCCTGGGAAGCTGGAACTAAGACTCAACTCCTTCTGACCCCTTCTCTCAATTAAGGATTCTTTTTTTCTCATTTCACCAAGAACAGAGAAGCAACCAAAGATAGCTTTTCTATTTTTCCACCACCATATCTCTTCACATAGTTTTATCTTTATCCATAATCTACCTTCTCTTCACTGTCTGATTCAAGGCCAACCCCTCCACTTACACTAGATTCCATCCCCAATGACTTTTTCAAGAATTTAACTCCAGAAGTTAAACATTATTTCCTGCATTATGAATCTCTACACCACCCCCAAGCAGGATAATTCATTTTAGGTAGAAATATGTGGTAATAGTTCTCATTTAAAATTCTGTACATTTCCAGCTACTGCCTCATTTACTCCTCTCTTTATAGAAGAAAGCATCGTTTGTCTTTATTCAGCATCTCCACTTTTTCTCTTGCATTCTTTTGCTGTTGTTTTGTTTTTCTGGGAAAGTTCTTTAATGTTTTTAATTTGTTATAAAATATTTCAGACTTTAAAAATAAAAAGTAAATATATTGTGTCATATAATTTGTCTTCTCCTCTTAAAGCCGGAAGCTTCATTTCTAATGATGAATGTCCTTCAGAATATTATCATTGCAGACTGAAGTGCAATGCTGATGAACATGCAATTACATACTGTGCTGACTTCAGCATCTGCTGCAAACTGAAGATCATTGAAATTGACGGACAAAAGAAGTGGTGAAAATGCTAACTCCATCTTCTTCAGACTCCAGGAGCAAAAACATGTCTTAAACTCTCTTATCTACGAATAATTAACATGATGGATGAAAATTATTATAATTGCATGTTTAGATGGTCAGGTGAAAATGAATATAAATTTTATAAATGCTTACACTCTATTTTCATTTGTGCATTTTAACATTTACTCCCTTAATTTACATCCACAGCCACATTGCTGTTTCACCCATAGTACTATATCCCAGCCCTACCACTTATTAACTGTTCAAGCTTGGGCAAATTATTTCTTTTCTGTCTATCTCAGCTTCCTTATTTATAAAATGGGATAGCAATAGGTACCTACACTGTGGTACTGTTAGGATTATGTGAGTTAGTATATGTGAAGTTCTTAAACAGCGCTTGACCCTATTATAGACATTATATAAATGTTAGCTATAATTTCATGGAACCCAAGAATTTGATCCATCCTATTCCTTTGGGGTTTTATATAATTATTCTGTGTTGCCTAAGAGTTCATGTTTGTTAAAATGTTAGGTGGTTTTGAAAATAAGGTATATTTTTCAGGTTATCAGATATATAATTTTATATAAACACAATCTATTGATGCAACATTATTCTATTCCAGTAATCTAGGACTTGATCACTAGTAGTGAGAACTAAAAAGAAAGAAGAGATACAAGGTGAATTTTAGAATTAGGATTGGCAGGATTTATTGGCCATATGATATATTGAGAAGCCATGAATGATGATTCTGAGATTTCAAAGCTGATAAAAAGATGGATGCCAATATAACTCACTAAACTAGAGAGGCCAGAAGAGAAAGTAGGTTGGGAATGTGGGGAGATTCAATAAAGAGATGTTTTGGCATAATAGGGTTTTAGTCATGTAAGGGATATGTCAGTCTACTAGGCATATTTACAAAAGTATAATTTTCTTTTTCTATAAATTAACTGAATTCCTATTAGGAACCTTATTTTGCCTGGTCACAGAAACTGAAACTTAGTCAATTCATAGTTGATCATATCTTCTCCAAGTTATTTTTAAGTTCCAAAAGAGGTAAGCAGTGATGAGGTATCTGGGAGAGCGTTTATTATGTTAACCTACTAAAACATCTTCATTCTCATCTGATCTTCTGTCACTAATCTAGGTACAACTGCTGAGTTCTGTCTCATTCTTATTTTTAATAAAATTTGTAAAGCTCTTTGGGTGAGGCCCATTCTTTGGTACATTGGTTGGTCCTGCTACTCAAGCATCATCCTAGGTCCTTAGGTTATAAGTAAGTCCCAATAAGGGCCACAAAATAGTATTTCTCTTGAACTACTGCAGAGAGCCCAGCCTCATCTCACCTCAAATTCTTTCTAAAAAGTCTTGCATCATGTCTCAGACGAGTCCTAATATGTGGCATCCACTATTTTTCTTGTCTGTTTCTCTGCCTGCAAGTGGTAATGTCCTGTTGGTAGTGGAAGCACTGGGGTTACCTCTCATTGTTGCTGTGGAAGCTGGTACCAAGTGTTTCTGATGCCTTGGCCCTTTGCGTCCCAAGACGTCTGTGAAAGAAAAGAAAGAAAGAGAGAGAAAGAAAGAAGAAAGAAAGAGAAAGAAAGAAAGAAAGAAAGAAAGAAAGAAAGAAAGAAAGAAAGAAAGAAAGAAAAGAAAGAAAGAAAGAAAGAAAAAGAAAGAGAGAGAGAAAGAAAGAAAGATTCTTTAGCTTTTTCAGTGTCACTTCCTTACCATAGGTTCTAGCTCCCCAGGCCCTGGCATCTACTAATTCTTCCTGGCTGGCCCAGACTAGATTCAAAGTAGAATTTTTGCTATATTTCAGAACCCCTTTGTCCCAGGAGACAATATAGAAGAGTGGTTAATTAATTTGGGTTCTAGAATCTCTGTAAGACTTATCAGTCCCAGATGTGTGATTTTAGAAGAATTACTCAAATCTCTGCTTCAACATCTTGAAAATGTGAATTGTGAAAATGTCTAGTTAAGAGATCATTTGTAAGATTAAGTGAGGCAATATTAAAAAAAATACATACTACAATCCTTGATGCCTAAAAGTGCTCCAAATACCAGCTGTTAGGAATATATCTGCAGTAGTTCCCCACCCAGCCACAGTTCTAGTTACTTACAGTCAACCACAGTCCAAAATATTAAATACGCTGGGTGCAGTGGCTCACGCCTGTAATCCCAGCGCTTTGGGAGACCAAGGTGGGTGGATCACCTGAGGGCAGGGGTTCGAGACCAGCCTGGCCAACATGGTGAAACCCCGTCTCTACTAAAAATACTAAAATCAGCCAGGTGTGGTGGCAGGTGCCTGTAATCTCAGCTACTCAGGAGGCTGAGGCAGGAGAATCACTTGAACCTGGGAGGCAGAGGTTGCAGTGAGCCAAGATCACGCCACTGCACTCCAGCCTGGGTGACAGAGCAAGCCTCCATCTCAAAATAAATAAATAAATAAACACAAAATTCCATAAATAAACAATTCATAAGTTTTAAATTGCATGCTGTTCTGAGTAACACAAAATCTTGCACTACGCAGCTCCACACACCCAGAATGTGAATCATCCCTTTGTCCAGTGTATCCACACTGTAAACACTACCTGCCCATTAGTTATTGAAATCATATGCTTCTGAGATCCAGCCACTAACATCACCATGGCTCAGTGACCCAGCATCACCCGAAGGAGATGATCCCCCTTCTGAGCTATGGTCAGAAGATTAGCAATAGCCTAATGCTATGTCACAATGCCTATGTCGTTTTCCTCACTTCCTCTCATCACATAGGCATTATATCATCTTACATCAGCACAAGAAGAAGAGTGAGCATAGCACAGTAAGATATTTTGGGGGAGACAGAGTTCACATTCACATAACTTTTATAGTATTGTTATGATAGCATATTGTTATAATTGTTTTATTATTAGTTATTGTTATTAAAATCTTACTGTGCCAAATTTATAAATTTAACTTTATCATAGGTCTGCATGTATAGAAAAAAAGCACTGTATATATAGAGTTCAGTATTATCGACTGTTTCAAGCATCTACTGGGGGTCTTGGAACATAGCCCCATGAATAAGGAATAACTACTATATATTGTAAAGTTAAAGTATAAACCTAATATCTAGAGTTCATTTATTTATTCAACAAATATACCTTTGGCACTGATGGCCTGCTAGACTTTCAGCCCAATACTGGTGTAAAATGATAAATAAGACAGTCATGGAATCTACTCGGATTTCACAGTCTAATCAGAGACACAAATAATTGATATAGTAACAATTGTGACAAGTGCTATGAAAAAAAAAGGAATGGGTGCTGTAAAATTTGTAATGGGAAAGAGGACCATCTCTTCACAGAGGATACAGAAGCTGCTTCCTTCTGCATCTCCCACTGTTGGCTAGAATACATTTCTGTTTATTAGGATTGTCATTTGGAAAGGCTGCATATTGAATCTGTATGGCTCAGGGTCAGACAGGGACATTTCAATTGCAGCTGAGAGTATGGCAGTTGCAGAACAACCACAGATCAGGAAGATGAGAAGAGTAGCATGATGACCCTAAAGAAATACCAAACCCAGGAGGCAGAAGAAAGAGCCATCTAGTCCTAGCGTGGAGCATATTGTACTTCTCCATTTTCTAATCCCAGAGCACCATGTGGCCTTAGGGGAATATATGGATGAAAAGAAAAAGCTGGTGTGCTGGTAAGCCACATACTTGTTTTCAAATGATGCACACATCTCCCCTCTTTATCTCTAAAGTCTATGAACTAGGTCAGCTCCCAACTCGTGGCACCTACAGTGAACCAGACGCTGAGCCAGGGGAGGTCTAGATAACAAGAGACGATCTCTGACAGTTGCTGAAATTCTTCTTTACCTCTTAGAGCAAAACTCAGAGGCTGTCCTGTTCTGATATTTAAGTAAAAATCACGAATTGCTGGTAGTTGGTGACCTAGTCAGTGAACGAGCTCCTTATCAATAGTGGGAGAATGATAGTAATAGTCCGTTCTGGGGAAAAGAATTTGGCACTGTAATGGTCTTGGGGTTTTTTAACTTTGGCTTTGTAAGCAACATTATTTTTGCTTGGGTTAAAGCCTCTTCCAGCTGTTTATCAACATAGATAAAAGTATATTGCTTTATTATTTCTCCTTGAGTCATATTCAACACTTTCTTTGCATGGGCAATGCCAGTATCCCACTGAGCATGTCCTCTCTGAGGTTGAGGTTTCCAGGTCTTTTTTTCTCAGAGTGATTGCTGGCTTCTTTGGGAGCCTCAGCCAGTAATTCTTTATACTGTTTATGACCTTTATACTCCCATACCTGCTTTTCATGAACCCACGCCCTCACTGGCTGGTTGCTAAGAAATTGGACATGATATGACCAGGCACCCCTTGTGTCAATTTTAGTATGAACTTCCAGCTGGGGCTCACTTGAGACCAAGGTAGGAACCTAAGGTAGAAATGATAGGTTCCTGCCTTGGGCTTTTTCTGTTTGGTAGGTTTTTTACTACTGATTCTATTTCAGATCTCATTATTGGTTTGCTCAGGCATTCAATTTCTTTCCAGTTCAACCTTGGGAGGTTGTACTTTTCCAGGCATTTATCAGTTTCTTCTAGGCTTTGTAGCATGTGTGCATGCAGATGCTCCTAATAGTCTCTGAGGGTTTTTTGCATTTCTTTGGGGTCAGTGGTAATATCCTCTTTCTCGTTTCTGATTGTGTTTTTTTGGATCTTCTTTTTTTAGTCTAGCTAGCAGTCTAAATAAGCAGACTTATTCATTCTTTTAAAGAGCCAACTTTTGGTTTCATTAATCTTTTGTATGGGTTCATGTCTCTATTTCATTCAGTTCAGCTCTGATTTTGGTTATTTCTTTCCTCTGCTAGCTGTGGGTTGATTTGCTCTTGTTTTTTTAGTTCTTCTAAGTGTGATGTTAGGTTCTTAATTTGAGATCTCTCTAACTTTTTGGTGTAGGCATTTTCATGCTATAAATGTTCCTCTTAACACTGCTTTAGCTGTGTCTCAGGGATTCTGGTATTGTACCTTTGTTTTCATCAGTTTCAATGAACGTCTCTTTTTTATTTTTTTTATTTTTTTTTAAGACAGCGTCTCACTCTATCACCCAGGCTTGGGTGGAGCAGGACAACCACAGCTTACTGTAGTCCCAACCCCTTAGGCGCAAGCAATTCTCCCACCTCGACCTCCCAAGTAATTGGGACTACAGTCGTGCACCATCACACCTGGCTAATTTTTTTTTTAATCTTGTAGAGACAGGGTCCCACCATGTTGCACAAGGTGGCCTTAAACTCCTGGACTCAAGTGATCCACCTTCCTTAACCTTCCAAAGTGCTAGCGTTACAGGTGTGAGCCACTGCACCTGGCCCAGTTTCAAAGAATTTCTTGATTTCTGCCTTAATTTTATCCTTTACCCAAAAGTCTTTAAGGAGCATATTGTTTAATTTCCATGTACTTGTATAGTTTTGAGAGATCTTCTTGGTATTGATTTCTATTTTTATTGCATTGCGGTCTGAGAATGTTACTGGCATGCGTTCTTTTTAATTTGTTAAGGATTGCTTTATGGCCAAGCATGTGGTTGATCTTAGAGTATGTGCCATGTACAGATGACAAGAATGTGTATTCTGTTGGTGTGTGGTGGAATGCTCCATAGATGTCTGTTAAGTCCATTTGGTCAAGTGTTGAGTTTAGGTCCTCAATATCTTTATTTGTTTTCTGCCTCAAGTATCTGCTTAACACTGTCAGTGGGGTGTCAATGTCTTTCGTTATTATTGTGTGGTTATCTAAGTCTCTTCATAGGTCTCTAAGAACTTGTTTTATAAATCTCAGTGCTCCAATATTGGGTGCATATATATTTAGGATTGTTAAGTCTTCTTTTTGAATTGAACACTTTATCATTTTGTAATGCCTTTCTTTGTCCTTTTTGATCATTGTTGCTTTTAGTCTGTTTTGTCTGAAATAAGAATAGCAACCACTGTTCTTTTTCTTTTCCATTTGCTTGCTAGATCTTTCTCCATCCCTTTCCTTTGAGGCTATGAATGTCATTGCGTGTGAGATCTCTTGATGACAACATACAGCTGTGGCCCAGCCTTTCTACTCCTGAATATTTGCAAAAGAAAAATGAAAGCATATATCCATACCATGACTTGTACATGAATGTCCATAGCAGCTTTATTTTCAATAGCCAAAAACTGGAAATAATCAAACATCAATCAATACGTGACTGGATAAACACATAGATGTATAGCCATGCAGTGGTGCTCAGCAATGAAAAGGAATGAACAACTAATTCATATTATAGCAAGGACGAATCTCAAATAATTATGCTGAGTAAAAGAAACCCAACAAGAAAGAGTATAGAATATATTATTCTATTCACATGAAATTCCAAGAAAATACAAAGTAATCTATAGTGTCAGCAGAAAAGTTGTGGCCTTTAGACTGAGAGGTGAAAGAGAATCAGGAGGGGAATATTACAGAAGGCATGAAAAAATGTTAGGGGGAATGGATATGTTCATTATTTTGAATGTGACAATGGTCTCACAAACGTATAGATATGGCAAAACTTATCCGATTGTACACTTTACTGTTTGAAGTTTATTGTATGTCACTTATACTTCAATAAAAAATGTTTTTTTAAATAGTAACAATTATTTTAAATGACCTTGACAAAATATTGTGCAACACTTAAAAATACTATTTATGAAGTTTATAGTGACACTGATATATAGTATATATCAAGTTACAAAAGCAGGATACCTAATTATAAGAATATTGTTTATAGCTATGTAAAACAAAATATTAAACAACAAACTAGGCATAAATGAAACTTTCTTTAGAATGACAGTTTGTCTCTGAGAAGAGCAGTTCATCTGTAACTTGTCCATCCTTGTCATGTTTAATATTTTACCAATTTTCTAAAATTAGCAATTACATTTTTATTGGAACAAAAGCCTATCAAATTTTAATTTTACTCATTTAAAAGAGTAAGAGCACATAGTTCTCAGGCCTCCATGTACTTTTGGAAAACCTGGGTGGGAGAACAGTGTCTTTGTCAATAGGAAAAGCTGTCAAACAAGAAAGGGCTGTCCATTTTTTTTCCTCAGATGAGCATTGCCAACACGGCTGCCTCAGGGGTGTTCAGTGTAGCATATCTACCTGAAGCGAGGCATACCCCAGCCCTGAGAGGTTTGTATAGGACTGTGTGCTCAACCTCTTCTCTCTGTTCCCTGACAGCCGATGTCAGACCCTGCCACTAGCCTCCTTAACAGAAGTTCCCAGCCATGAAGCCTCTCCTTGTTGTGTTTGTCTTTCTTTTCCTTTGGGATCCAGTGCTGGCAGGTAAAACTGGCATATTTTGGGGGGTAGGGGTGCTTCATATAGAAGAACAATGCCACTAAACAACCCAATAAACATACACCACCCATGGGCCCTTTAATTTTCAAGCTAGAAAAAAGCATCAACTAGTTTTGATGTCAGCAAGACCTGGGCTTGAATCTGGCTGTCCAACTTGTTAACTATATAACTTTGGACAAAGGTCTAAGCTTCTCTGAGCCTTAGTTTCCTTTTTTTTTTTTGGCTGAACTGATCCGCACCAATGAGCCTTAGTTTCTTCATTTGAAAAATGGAAATATGGAAATGAAGAGTCTCACAAGGATTAAATCAGATCATGTATGGAATATGTCCATACATAATATGAAAAGTACCTGGCTCATGAGAGCTATCATTGTATTTTCATTAGTAATGCCCATCCTGTCTTCCTGCTGTTATTTTGTCTCTAATTCAAGAATGTATCTAAGTATAATAGTCAAAACCAGAAAATAGTGACAACACAATTTGTTAATTTTCTAATATACTGCAGTTTCCTACAGTTAATTTACTATTTGTGAATCCATTAGTTACATGAGGAAACAGATTTAGAACGGCTAGTTTCAAGAGAATCACTGAGCTTTATGTGATAGAAGAAATGCCTGATCAGATGAGATAGCAGCCAGGGAGACATGACAGAGAGTGTGAGTGGCCCTGTGCTCTAGCTTCACCATATCCTTTCCGACTTTAGCAATCTCATCTGGAAAATTCTTTTCACTCAGTGTTACTGAATCAGTCCAGTCAGATTGGTTCATCTGCCTAGATGGACTGAAGTGTTTGCCTGAAGTATTCTCCAGGCAAATGAATCACATCTTCAGATTATGTGACTCACCAGGCTAAATTTAAGAATTCATGGGATCAAGGCCTCTTAAAGCTGCTGATGCAACCAATTCCATTACGGTTTATGGCAATGGATTTGTGGCCTCCAGACAAAGAACCCCATATAGTGTACAATATTCCCTTCAATTCCTTTTGCATTCTCATAACTTGTCATTTCCATTGAAAGTTCTTGTCTCATTTTATAGACCATTATATTTCATCTTCCCAAAAGTGTTACAGATTGTCCTCTAGGGCTTCTGTCTTGCAAACTAAGTAACACTGATCCCTTCTTGTTCATGTAGGACAATTATCCTCCAGGGCATTATGACTCAGATAGGGTATGTGTTTGCTCAAAATTTCTACAGATTCCTTGAGCTTCAATAAGACTTCTCAAATCTTCAGAATTGATTTCATCCTCCTTCAAACTCACAAGACCGTTCCACATTGCAAATACATCATTGCACTTGTCATGTTTTTTCCTCTCTCAGAGATATTTTGTATTTCTTCTCTTTTTGTCTAGAATGAAAATTCATTGAGGTTAAGGTCTATATCATACTCAAATCTGTACCCCAACAGTCCTTGATTCACAGGATTTATAAAAATTGGTTTATGAATAATAATGAGTAAGTAATTATTTAAACAATAATGAATGAATGACTATGTGAATAGCTAGCTTGATTGTTTGGGTTATATTCATTGACAAATTCAGGGAAACTTCCAAATTATTACTTGTTTTAGTCAGCTTGGGCTGCGATAACAAAATTCCGCACACTGTGGCTTAGACAAACTTTATTTTCTCATAGTTCCAGAAGATGAGAAATCCAAGATCAAGGTGCTAGCTGATTCAATTTCTGATGAGAGCTTGCTTTCAAGCTTGTAGATGGCCATCTTTTTGCCGTGACCTTCACTAATAAGACCATCAATCCTATTGGATTAGCCTATCAATCTTATTGGATTAGGGTTCCACCATCATGACCTCATTTAACTTATATTACTTCCTGAAGGCCCTATCTCTAAAGACAGTCACATCAGGGGTGAGGGTTTCAGCATATGAATTTTGGGGTGACACAATTCAGCCCCTACCACTAATTAATTTTTTCAGTTACAGGATCAATTATCATAACCAAATCTCCTTGGTATCCGGTTGGATAAAAATTGAGGGACTAGCAATTTTATGGTCCAAAAAGGCCTGTAGTGAATTATCTTTCTATTCATTTTCCTTCCAGGTATAAATTCATTATCATCAGAAATGCACAAGAAATGCTATAAAAATGGCATCTGCAGACTTGAATGCTATGAGAGTGAAATGTTAGTTGCCTACTGTATGTTTCAGCTGGAGTGCTGTGTCAAAGGAAATCCTGCACCCTGACATAAGAAACCAATGAATGGCCACTATCCTGTAGGCCCTTGATTCTGCCATCTTTCACAAAACCAGGGAATTTAGATCAAACTGTGACACCATGATGTGTCCATGACTACTGGTTTTTAGCATTTTTATAGGCCAGCAGACTCTTGTGGTCTTAAATTTAAAGAGCTGAGCTGTAGCCTTCTTTAAAAGAGCTCGGTTTTTCACAAAAACAATGTAGAAGATATTTTCTCACCTCAACGTGATGTCCAGTGTGCTCATCAGCACCTGTTTCTCCCTCTAATCATAGAGGATATTCTTATTATTTAGAAAGGCTTCAAGGGAAACAACTTTTGACACCTAAGTCGTGTCCTACCTTCGCTTCAGCTTCGCATTTCCCATTTCTGTGAAATTCCCAACTTTAGAGAAGCAGATTTGCCATGGCCTTCTGACAACCTTGTACATCTCTCACATAAACCGCATAGGCAGGGCTTAACTACAGGCTGGCCCGAGTCTGCACTGAGTCTGACCCTGAAGTTCCTTTGGAACAGGAGAGGCCATCTTGTGATGGGCTGGAACAAGGTAATTTCTCATCCACCTCCCTAGTTTCAGTTGAGCAATGGAACTTCCCACCTGAGCCCCTAGGGTTCAGCTACAGGCTATAAGACTGCCGTCCTGTGGTTTAGTGTTGGTTCCTTAGCAGCAGAGTGATGCCACCTCTGCTGCCCGTCATCTGACTCCTCTGGATGGGTGTTATCCTGTGGCTTAAGAGCTAACACCATGCTGATCTTGCTTTGCTATATGTGTAACTAATAAACTGCCTAAATCCATTTGGACTCATGATTTTCTTTACCAATAAACTTTATGAAGGTGTAACAGGAAAACTTAGCAACTTCTGTCATGTTGCTTCTGACCCTACTGGCTACGCTGGTGAATTCTTGCTTGATTTTTCAACAACATTCACCCTTATGGATGCATGAATGTGTGAGTTCTGTATCTGCTGCTCACGATAAAGACGGGGTGGCAAAGGAGAGTAGATTCTGGCTATGGAGCAACTTTCACGATCTTCAGTGCTCGATATGGCTCAGGCTCTCTAGTGATGTGAGACTGAGAGTGTGGGGCTCTTGCCGCAAATAGCTGGTTGCTGATGTGGTACAAGGAAAAGGATACAGCGTCTTAGTTCTGGGGCTGAGATGACAGTACTGCCTGCCCAACCACACATGGCTGCTGGGAAGGGATGAAAAGAGAACAGCAGGTGAAAAAGCATGAGGGGTTGTAAGGAGTTCTGTACTTCCAGCAAATGTCCAACCTTTGAGCAAATTCAGTGTTGGTGTCTTTGGAGAGGAAGGTACTAAAAATCCAGTAGAATGTGTCCTCTCTGAGGCCCAGACTCCCTATGTAGACTGTAAGGAGTTTGGTTAAAATTGAATGGGATCAGAGATGGCCTGGAATTGTAACTATGGTTACTAAGTGTGCAGAGTAAATGCATCCAGACATGGCTAGGAAAACTGTCAGACACTGAGGGAGACAGAGGGGTCCCTACTGGAAGAGCACCAAATCTTCTGAAACTTTGGCCTCATAACGTCCTGGACAGTCTTAGGCTTGCTTTTCATCTCACTCCTCCTAGTTGGGTGCAAGTTCTCTACACATACAGATAAAGAGAAACCTGAAAACAATCCAGCCTGCTGACAATCTGAAGAATGAGGTGTGATGACACTTTACAGACTAACTAGAAAGCTGATCCCCAAAGCCAGGGAGTGAATCTACGTTCTCTATGCTAGAAAGTACTCTCTGGAATCTGGCTAAGTCCTGCATGGACAGAACTTTCCACTGCTACATGATATCAAAATAAGGCTATTACATCAGGGCCAGGCAACCTCTATGCCTTAGACCCTGCTCTACTATTCGCACTAGCCAATATTAAACCTGCTTATCCCAACTCCCTGCTCCTTCCAACAGAAATTTGCTAATCCTGCACTGCCTTCACCTTACCCTTGACAAGCCATATACCCTGTCAGGAAATGAACTTTGTAACAACCAAGGTAGCTGCAAACTTTATTCTTTTGAGAGAAAGTGTGTATGTTATATGCACACCCTCCAGCTTTGCTGAAGGAACCTGAACAGATATTCACTAACTTTGGTTGGTCTCTGTACATTGACACTTCCAAAAGAAATCCAATTCCAAGATCCAAAGCTTTTTAAAAAATAATTTAATTATTTACCAAATCTATCTGTATGGAAACAAAATGGGGAAGGGATTTGTCACAATATGGAGCAAACTCTCTTCAAAATTCTTTCTGAATATCGCTCCCTGAAATCTTACTCATTCAGTAGTGAAAACTGCATTGTCTAAAAGCAACATCTAGAATTTATCTGGGATATCTAGAATTCGTAATAGAGATTCTGAGAAGCCTCAAGGGTAAGAACAAGCTCTGTCTTTAGGGAAACTCATTTTTACTTAGAGCTAATTTTTGACATTTTTTCCAATTTTATTGAGATATGATTGCCAAATAAAAATTGTATATTCAAGGTGCAGGACATGGCTTGATTCCATATGCATCATGTAACGATTACCACAAATTTCTATTGTTTCTAAGCCACCCCACCTGAGAAATTTTGCTACAGCAGTTCTAAAAGGCAGAGAGAGCATCTTATATTTTCTGTATTCTGATAATTTGACATCTGAAGTCTTGTTGAACCTGGAGGGTCTGCCCCTCCCAGAGTTAGCCAACTCCTAGAGACAGTATGCTTTTCAAATCATACTTGCCCACAGTGTGCTTTTCAAACCAACCAATTCAGAGTCCACACCTCAACCACCTCCTTTATCAGGCCTTCATACTACGGGACCCTATCCACTCACCCTAATCACCCAAGTACCAGGCAATCAGGGATATTCCCTGGACTCCAGCACCTGCTAAAATTATTCGAATTTTAGCCAATCAATTTAGAGGTTTATTTTGTTAAAGTTAAGAAAAGTGGCCAATGACACAGCCTCAGGAGGTCCAGCTTAATTTTATGCATTTTAGGGAGACAGAAGTTACAAGCAAAGACATAAATCAATGCATGTAAGCTATACATTGGTTCACGGGGCACGGTGGCTCAAGCCTGTAATCCCAGCACTTTGGGAGGCAGAGGTGGGTGGATCACAAGGTCAGGAGATCGAGACAATCCTGGCTAACACGGTGAAACCCCGTTTCTACTAAAAATACAAAAACTAGCTGGGCATGGTGGCAGGTGCCTGTAGTCCCAACTACTCGGGATGCTGAGGCAGGAGAATGCCTTGAACCCAGGAGACAGAGCTTGCAGTGAGCCGAGATCACACCACTGCACTCCAGCCTGGGCGACAGCGCGAGACTCCGTCTCAAAAAAAAAAAAAAAAGAAAGATATACATTGGTTCAGCCTGAAAAGCAGGACATCTCAAAGCAGGGGGAGGGGAGCTTCCAGGTCATAGGTGGATTCAGAGATGTCCTGGGTGGCATTTGTTTGAAGGAGTTAAGCTCTGCCTAAAGAGTTAAAGTCAGCCTAAGTTAATTTAAGGTAAGGTAAGGTAAGGTAAGGTGGGAGGGGGTGGGTGGGATTGTGGAAGGCAAGGTCCCTGTCGTGTAGATGAAGCCTCTAGTTTGCAGGCTTCAGAGAGAATAGATGTGAATCTCTCTTATTGGACCTTAACCCATTTCCTGTTTGCCCTGAGAATATTCTTGTCTCTAATCCTAATGTAACATATACATTTCTGTTGCATTAGGATTACAGACAATTTCTGTTTGCAAATGACTCCAAGAACAGTTTTTATATTTTATTTTCACATTGAAAGTCAGTCAGATTTGCATCAGCTTCAAAAAGCATGTTATATAAAATCATATGAGTACTGGCCATCTGCACTTTTTTTTTTTCTGAATGGGCAATGGGTTAAAAAGTGTCAGACTCTCCTGAAGAGCCCTAGTAAAGGAAGGAGATTCTCTACAGAATGTAAATTTCCCCATCAAGAGACAGCTTTGCAGGGCTATTTCAAAATATGTCAAAGAAATGTATTTCAGGATAAAATACTTTTATTTTCTTTGGGGCCCACTATCTATCATATGATGTTATACCAGATTCAGTTTGGAATTTGGCACAGTCTGTTTTCTCAGCCTTAAGATCGCTGTTTTAATGTTAATGCTGGTCAGTTGTGTCTAAACTCCAAAGGGAGGAAGATATAATAAGGGATCTGCAACACCTCCCACCTTCCCATCATTGCCTGATATAAGAATAGCTACTCCTGCTCTCTTTTGATTCCCATTTGCATGGAATACCTTTTCCCACCATTTTACCTTGAGTTTGTTTGAATCCTGCTGTGTTAGGTGAGTCCCTTGAAGACAGTGGATATTTGGATTGTGATCTTCAATCCATTCTCCCATTCTGTATCTTTTGAGTGGAGCATTTAGGCCATTTACATTCGATGTTAATATTACATTCTATGTTAATATTGAAATATGAAGTACTTTTCTTCATCATGTTAATTGTTATCTAGATATGTTTTCTCACTGTGTTATTGTTTTATAGGCCTGTGAGTTTTAAGTTTTTAAGAGGTTCTATTTTGATGTATATTGAGCTTTTGTTTCAAAGTTTAGAACTCCTTACAGCAGTTCTTGGAGAGCTGGTTTGGAAGTGACAAATTCCCTCAGCATTTGTTTGTCTGAAAATAACTTTATTTCTCCATTTACAAAACTTAGTTTTGCAGGATACAAAATTCTTGGCTGACAGTTGTTCTGTTTAAGGAGGTTGAAGATACAACCCCAGTCCCCTGAGGTTTCTGCTGAGAAGTCTGCTGTTAGTCTGATAGGTTTTCCTTTGTAATTTCACTGCTGCTTTTTTCTTACTGCTCTTAGAATTATTTCCTTCATGTTGACTCTAAATAGCCTGATGACTATATGCCTTAGTGAATGTGTAATGAATTTCCCAGGAGTTCTTTGAGCTTCTTGGATTTGCATATCTAGATTTCCAGGCAGGCGAGGGAAGTTTTCCTCAATTATTCCCTAAAACAGGTTTTCCAGACTTACTATTTTCTCTTCTTCCCCAGGAACACCAATAATTCTTAGGTTGGGCCACTTTACATAATCCCATACTTCTTAGAGACTTTGTTCATTTCCTTTTATTATTTTTCTTTATTTTTGTCTGATTGGGTTAATTCAAAAGTCTTGTTTTTAAGCTCTGAAATTCTTTATTCTACATGTTCTAGTTTATTGTTAAAAGTTTCCACTGTAATTACAAAATTACAGTGGAAATTTTGTAATTCCCTCAGTGTGTCTTTCATTTCCAAAAGTTCCATTTGTTTCTTTCTTGATGATACCTATCTCTCTGGAAAATTTTTCATTCAAATCCTGAACTGCTTTTTAATTTCTTTAAGATGGTTTCCACCTTTCTCCAATATCTTCTTGAGTAGCTTAATAATCAATCTTCATATTTCTTATCTGGTATTTCAAAGATTTCATCTTGATTTGAGTCCATTGCTGGATAGCTAGTGTGATCTTTTAGGTGTGTTATAGCACCTTGTTTTGTCATATTACTGGAGTTATTTTTCTGGTTCCTTCTCATTTGGATAGACTACTTCTTCTCGTTATTCTTGAATTTATATTTGATATGACTGTGTTTCTCTTATTTGCTTGTTTGTTTTTAAATTTCTTTTTTCCCCTTAAGGATGAGACTTTAATTCTTATAGTTAATTATAGCCTAATTCAGTTCTTGGTGCTTTAGAGGGTGAAGACCCTTGGTTATAGAGAGTCTTTGTATGATGGTTTTCTTATATGCTAGTTGTAGTAGCAATGTGCTCAGTGTGTGAGCAAGTTCACTGTGTCCTATGGGGTTGGAATGGTAGAGGTCTCTTAAAGCTTATCCCATTCCCCCATAGTGTGGACTTATTTATTTATTAATTTTCCCCCAGTATTTTATTTACTAATTTGATAGTTCAGGCTTCAGGCCAGTAGGGGAGGTGTCCCTGGGTAGGAACCAGCTGTGGCTAAAGCAGGTGGGTGAATGATGTCCCAGGCTTGACAGAGGAGGCCAGAGGAGCTCTCAGTGAGTTACACTGGGGTCTTATTGTGGGAAGGGTTGGAGCCACATCAGCCCTGCTGCCAGATCACCAGGAAAGTTACCCACCTCTCAGGCATGCTCCTGTCCCAGTGTTCCTGCTGTTCAGGAGCTGACTGACAGGCCTTTTTTTCATGACCTTTTTTTCATCTGTAGGAATGTTGATGTTCCAAATAGAGAGGAATTGTGGCTCTGCCTCTCATGCAACCTTGAACCTAGAGGGTGCTCCTCCTGTGGGGATGTGTTCCAGGAAGACTGTCTATAGTTGCACCCACACTAAGCTCCCATGGGAGAAGCCCAACTGTGCCTATGGTGGTGGATAACATGGGAAAGACTTCCTTTTCTCCAAGACCCTTCACATGCGCCAGAGCTGTCTGACTGTTGGGATACAGTGAAGACCTTCCTTGCTGAGCCCAGCACTTCAACTGTGTGTCTACTGAAGGAAGCCTTCCATCTGGTGCTCAAGGCCTGCCTCCTGGATTCTTTTGTCCCACAGGGTGTTCCCTTGATGTGATGCAGTCCTCCTTCCCCTGCAAGTGGGAGTCCCTGGAAGTCCCTGGGAGCCAGGTCACTGTGAGTGTTCTTGCTCCTCTGGGTCTAGCTGCCCAGAGAAGTTGACACACTCGAGGCTGGTGTTGGGGAATGTCTGCAAGGGATCCAGTTATGTGACCTATGCTCAAGTTTCCCTGCAGTGGGTAGCAGCACCAGCTCTAATGGGAGTGGCAAGGTTGTGACACAGATTCTGTGAAATTCCTTTGTTATTGATAGCCTTAGTGTGTTAGCTTTCTTGAATGCGGGTTATAGTAGTAATGAACTGGTCATGTGGACGGACTCAGGACCTCCTGTTCAGCCAGAGTGGTGCAGGCAGCAGTGATAGCTGAGATCCCATAGCGGTTTTCTCCTTCCTGGGTGCAATGTTAATCTACCAGGAGATACTGTCAAGGACTGTGTGGGTTGGCCTCCAGCTAGGAGGTGGCGCTTGCAAAAGAGCAGCAGCTGCGGTAGTAGCCCTGGGATTTTTGCTTGCCTGATGTTGCCCAGAGGGGGATACTCTGGTTTCTCCGGACATGGGCGGGGCCATGTCGCTCCCAGGAGACTCTGTCCTTTGCGTTGAGTTACCAGGGCGGGTGGCCGGGCAAAGCCAGGTAGGGGCTGGGTCGGGAGGGCCTGCACACTGGTCTCCGTGTGCAGAGAAAGAAGGAGCTTCTATGGGTATTGGGGGATGGGAGCGGGTCTCAGGCCACTAGGTTAATGTTTCAGAGGGCAGCGTTGCTGCCCCTGCTGCACAGAAGAGTCTGTGCAAGAAGTAGGGAGTAGCAGGCGGTGGTAAGCTCCACAGTTCCTACCCACTTGACAAGGCAGATCCACTCCCACGGTGTTCCACTGGAAGCAGCGAGCTGAGTTCCTGTCAGCCTGTAATCAGAACTCGCGGCTGCCGGGAGTCATAAGCTTTCCCCGCAGAGATTGCAGTCCAGGCGTTCAGGCCACGCCCCTCCCTGTCCGCTGCAAAGCCGGCGTGTTCCCGTGGCTCCTGCACTTGCAGTTTCTGCACCCACGACTTCTGCACCTACGGCTCCTGCACTTGCAGCCCGCTTTTCACCCTCCCCGCCCCGGCCCTGGCCAAGGAAGTTCGTCCCCACCGAGGTTGTACTGTGAACCCCGTTGGGAGATTCTTTCAAACTGCAACCAGCGCCTGAACTTTGTAGCTGGCCGCAAGGCCTCCTGTGAGGAACAGTAAGGAATGGCTGCACTTAATCTACGCTGGGATCTGGAAGTGCATGCAAGGGTCTCCCCCTAAAAGTATGGAATAGTTTATAGTCCATAACCATCCCCAAGTCGGTTCCTGCGTTAGTTCGGGTTAGGGCTTCCCCGCCAGCACCCCCACCTTGTGTCCTGGACTTTCAGGATCCCTAGTGGGGATGTGTATCCCAGAGGCAAATTCACTCTGTCACACTCAGGGGACTCGCAGCCCTTCGACTGACTCAGTGTAGGCTGCAGTCTCCTGCTTCCTTCAAAACATCAATAGATTCCTATGGTTTTCCTGTTCAGTTATTGCGTTGCTTCTCGAAAAATAGTTCACAACGTGAATCTGTACACACTATTTTGTCCTTCCAAGTGGAAGAGGTATGCTAGCAGTTCCTCTAATCCACCATTTTGGAAAAGCATTCCTAATTTTTCAAGGATAGAAACATTTTTATGGCCTGGTCATCCTAAATAGCACAAAACGTCTTTGTCCATTGCAAACTATAACATACTCAATATTTCAACTTAAATATTTTCAATATGACTTTCACTTCATTGTTTTCAACATCAAACCACGAGTGTTCATTAGTAGGTTCCCAAGTTAGACAATCCAATAGAAAAATGGACGAACGTCTTGAAGGGTCATATCACAAATAAGGATATCTAAATGGCCAATAAACATCTGAAAAGGTGCTCAGCTTCATTAGTCATCCATGCAACACAAATCAAACCCCATATGTCATCACTATATTCTCCCTAGAATATCTTTTTAAAGGCATAAAATACTAGATGTGGACAAGAATGTAAAGCAACAAGAATGCTCACACATTGTGGATGAGAGTATAAATTGGTACAACCAATTTGGAAAACAATCAGATGCTATGTATTTACTAAAACTGAATGTATGCATAGCCTGTGCCCTAGGAATTTCTCTCCTAGGTATATAACCCCCACAGAAATCCCTGCACCACAACCCTATTTATAAAAGTGAAAACTGGAAACTACAAATAAGACCATCTTCACTTACAATATTCAAATAAATTGTAATATCTTTCCCAATGTATTACAGTATGCCATTGAGAAGGATAAACTACAATTACATGAAACAGATTAATAAACTTCACAAAAGTAATGTAGTGGGGAAGACGCCAGACACAAAGGAATACCTACAATTCCATTTATATAAAGTTCAAAAATAGATGTCAGCGCCTTCCTATTAAAAGTCAGGCTAGGAATTATTTTGTGTGGAGTAGTGACTGGTAGTGCCTGGGATGTTGTAACATTCTTTTGTGGGGGCAGGATGCTGGTTACACAGGTGTGTTAAATTTGTGCAGTTCATGAGGATGTTTACTCATGATTTGTACATTTTTTAATTGTATGTTATACTTCAAAAAGTTCTTAAGAGACTTTTAAGAAGCGACAAATTAATAAAAAGAAAAATACTCAATACAAGGAATTAGAGTATTTCTGTAAGAGAGACAATAAAGAGAAATACAGCAGACACAGGAACACTGATAGGCTAAAGCCATTGTTTTAATCGAATGGTGCAACTGAGAGGGATCTGGGTTCCCAGAGGAAATCAGCAACAGCTTTCAGGTACTCACAACTATTTCCCAGTCAGTATAGGTAAATATTTTGGGTTTACACAGCACAAATGTATAGTATCACACAAAATACGATATTGTTCGTTTTTTAGACATTTTGGCCGGCAAGTACCTTGCAGTCGCCAACATGAAGCAAAGATTTTTTGTATGTAGACATTGGGTCCACTTCTACCTGCCAAGAGAAACAAAGGTTAATGCACAGTTAGTGTCCTGAAGTGTCATGTTGTCATGGATAAAATTAGACCTCAGACCATAGTTTTCACTTTTTAATAATGAATTAGACGCGATCAAAGATACTCAAGACATTTTATAGCTGGATGCCCCTTTTCAGTTGCTCTTACCTTGTTTTCCAGGGGCCCTATTATAAGCCATTATATGAATCCACAATTAGTTACATGAATTACTGATCAACTGTGTGGAGTTAACAGGACCCAGCATATTCAGCTTGAGACTATTGGCTTCAGAAAGAATATTCAGACATCGAAGTCATCCCAGGAGCCTGCAGAGGTCCCATACCAGGAGGCATGCAGGGTCTGGAATAGCTACCTGAGGCAGTTTGTGATTATCAAAGTGTCAGCATAAAGAAAGAAGGATCACTGAAGTGGAATTTTAGAAGCCTGCACTTCTACCCCTGTATTCCCCAAAAACATTCTGCATGACTTTTTGTCAAGTGCTTAATCACAAGGTACTTAAGAAGTACCCATTCTCCCATGGGTACTTTGCACCCATGGGAGAATGAGTGTGAAATGGTTTGAAATACCTGAGACAAATATGGAAATTTATTGCTAGTAATTTTTCTACACCTTAAGAACTGGGAGCCTCTGGAAACCAGAGGGTGGAGGAGGGGTAATAGGAAGGCAGTTTAAGAGGGTAAGGGTGGCCCTGAGTTGCCCCTACTGTATCACCTGCTCTTGCATGCTAAGTCTTATCAGTTTCTCCACCCAGGTGCCCCCATGAGTCCATGGATTGAACCTTTGTGGTGTGAAAATAATCAATGTGGTATGGTCAAGGGCCGTTAGCAGGCAAACTTGCCCACCATGTGCTCCCTAGACCTCAGGCACTTTTCTGGGGACAAAGGAGTCCAGTAGAGACACACTGCAAAGTGTCGGAGGTCCCACCATGCAGGACATCAGCCATCATCTCAACATGGTCCTCATTCGTATCTGTCTTCGTTTTATTTATTTTTTTTAATTTTTATTTTTGAGATGAAGTTTCACGCTTGTTGCCCAGGCTGGAGTGCAATGGCACCATCTCAGCTCACTGCAATCTCCGCCTCCTGGGTTCAAGTGATCCTCTTTTCTCAGCTTCCCGAGTAGCTGGGACAGGCATGCGCCACCATGCCCGGCTAATTTTGTATTTTTAGTAGAGACGGGTTTTCACCATGTTGGCTAGACTGATCTCGAACTCCTGACCTCAGGTGATCCACTCGACTCAGCCTCCCAAAGTGCTTAGATTGCAGGCGTGAGCCACCGCGCCCAGCCTCATATCTGTCTTTTAAACACTTCACACTTGGTCCTTGAGTGATACGCTTTATATATGAAGGTTTGAGGCAAAGGGTAGGGGCTCTCTGCTGACCCCAGAAAACCACAAGCAAAACAGTTTTGAGAACCTCCACTTTAGTGACTGAAGTAGACTCTTCTCATTATCACCAAGTTGCTGGCTTCTGTCCACAGAATGTAAATTCTGACCTCTCAAACTGATGTTTCATAGGACCTCATCATGCTATAAGTTAGTGTAATACATCTTAACCAGCTGTGTCTGTGGATTCTGCTCAGCATAAAATTTACCTTGGCTTCTAAATGAGTGAAAAATAACATGGGTGGCTGACTGTAGAAGGCAAGTTCTAAGAGCCCTCAAAGAACAGTCTCCTTCTCATCCCCAAGTCCTCGCTATTCTTTGAAAGTCTCATCTTTTTGCTCTGCCCTACTTCTGCCAGTACCAACAGTCCAGCCTTCCCCTCAAACTTCACCAGCTCCTCAAACCAAAATCCATAACCAGTTTCTTTTCTGAAGAGAGCTACCTCCTGTTCTGTGTCCTTTGGATCTTTTCTCCATTCTCTGGACCAGCCCAGCATGTCCATCTCTGCTCACTTTCCTCCCTGTTGCAGCTTCCTTTGTCCAAGTCCTGCCTTTTTCTCACTCTTGTAGAACCTCACACCTTTTTTCCCTTTACTATTCCTAATTCTACAAGGTGGGGACTCCATTTTACCTGGTGGAACATAGAAGAGTAAGTTAAGGACCACGAGGGCCAAGAGGACGCTCCTTGTGGCCATACCAATCAGCAAAGAAGCAGCTGTGACTCATCGGAGAGTCACTCTCTCCGCAGCTTTGAAGAGACGGGGAGCTGCATGGCTAGTGAACCTTTTGGAACAAGAACATCTGCCTGCTCCACTGAGCAATCCAATCAGCAAAATGTCTGTTTGAACATGACATCCCTTCATTAAAGCACACTTCCTGGGTGCCACATGCATGCTAGCAACTGCATGAACACTGTGTAGGCAGCCCTATTCTAGGCCCTGGTAGGGTGCTGTGTAGGTGTCTGTGTATCTTCATTGTACATCCACTAAAATGCCTATAGTGTGCAGAGAACCATAAGGCTGCCTTACATAGTTGACAAAGAGTTTGTTTTTTTTTTCAACCTTACACACACACGAAGTCCAGGTAGGCATGATTCTCTCCATTTTAAAAACAAAAATAAAGAGTCTCAGGTAGAAGAAATGACTTTCTCAAGCTCACATAGATCCTAAATGGTAGCAACATGATTTATAAGCAGGCTTCCCTGACTCCTATATACAGAAGTACTAAAGTATGGCCTTGCCCAGTTCTGGTATAGCTGTAATGTCTTTAGGAAAATAAGAGCTCCTCAAAAACAGCATGGAAAAAGCAAGTCCCCATAACACCCGCAACATGACCCAGGGAAAAACACTGAGTCTATGGCTCCCCATTGAGCATATGCTGTGTGCCGGGTAATGGGGGGGCATACAAAGAATTTATGACAAAAGTCTTGCTTGGAGGGACTAAAGTCGACAGTGTTTGACAGTTTTTGAAGTGTTTTAAGTTTTTCAGCAACTTTATCTGATACTGTATGAAGAACACAAAACCCAGAATCAGAAAGTCTTTCTGGTCTGGACTCTGCATGCAGTAGCTTGACAAGCTTTTAATAAAGCACGTACTTTACCTCACTGACCATCAGTTTTCTCACTTGGAAAGAAGGTTGTACACCTGGCCAGGTGCAGTTGCTCATGCCTATAATTCTAACGTTTTGGGAGGCTGAGGAAGGTGGATTGCTTGAGCTCAGCAGTTCAAGACCAGCCTGGGCAACATGGCAAAACCCCATCTCTACAAAAAATGCAAAAATTAGCCAGGCATGATAGTGAGCGCCTGTACTCCTAGCTACTCAGGAGGCTGAGGTGGGAGAATCACCTGAACCCAGGAGGTCAAGGCTGCAGTGAGCCATGATTGCACCACTGCACTCCAGCCTGGGTGACACAGTGAGACTCTGTCTTAAACAACAACAACAACAAAAAAAAGGTTGTACTCCATCATTCCCACCTATCAGGAAGGCTTGTCGCAAGGCCAAATGAAGTAACTCTTAAGGCCAGTCCTTTATAGAACATATAGAACATATATTTAAGGAACTATTAGACTCATGTAACAGAAGAAGACATTTAAAACTATAGATATTGGCCAGGTGTGGTGGCATGTGCCTGTAATCGCAGCACTTTGGGAGGCCGAGATGAGAAGATCGCTTGAGGCCAGGCATTCAAGATCATCATGGGCAACATAGTGAGACCCCTTTCTCTATTTAAAGAAATAAAACTAGACATGTTGCTTCTCCAGCTAGAGAGTGAAATAGCCAGGACTAGGAACACATGCTTCCCTCTCTCTGTCCCTGTTTTATTCACAAGAATGCATCAAATGTATGCCACTTCAATGGACTCTTGTTTTCCAACTTCAGGATGTTTGCGATGTGGTTGAGATTGCACATCTGTGAAAGACTCATAAAGAACTGCAGAGCAGAAAATCAGTAAATAGAGAAAGAATAGAGGACCTGAGTTTTGAGGAGCACAAAGAGAAAAGATTAAGCAAGCACAAATGCATTAAGGGACTCTCCTGAGACCCACTTTCCAACCTGCAGCATTAGGCACAGCCTGATTTGCACTCTCTCAGCTGCCATGGTCCTGATCTTCTGTTCTCCAAGAAACTCCCTCTGTCTCCATCTCAACCCTTCCCACTGTGCCGTCCAGAACCACAGTTCTACTATAAACATACCTTCTACTTTATGTCTTCCCCAAGAACACTCTTCCATCTCTGTGTCTTGGCAAAATGCTAGGTCCTTCTCTAAGGACACTGCTTCCTGGCAGCCTTGGTGACTGGAAGCTGTTCATTGACCCAGGCTCCACACACCAGAGGACAAGTAAGCCCCACTTCACAATCTCCTGAACGATACCTGAGATGATCCTGACACCGCCTTTCCCTCACCCTGTCCACATTGAATTGCTCGTCAAACGTTCCCAGTTCTGCCTTCAGCATGCGTTTCACACTCGCCCATTTCCATCTCCACTGCTGCCACTGCGTCCATGCCATCACCTCTGTCACCAAACTCAGTAAATGGCCTCTTAAATGGCTCCCATATCATTTTTAGATATTTACCATTTATTCTCCACTTGGTAACCAAAATGACCTTTTATAAAACTGAAATTGATTTATGCATTTGCCCTGTGGAAAATCCTTCAGGATGGCTTCCCCCTGGCCCCACTCTTCACAGGTCAGGACTATTACAATTCAAGGTGAGTTTTAGGTAGGGACATAGCCAAACCATATCAGCATCCTCTCCAAGTATTTGCTTCTTAAGATGATGTTCTTGTTCTGTATCACATCACAATCTTCCTGGATTGCTTTGTACCTTTCAGGCACATTGTCAGAGTCTTTTCCACAATTCTACCTTCCCTTTTCTTGCCATAAATGCTGATGTGAGGTTTGCTCCTCAATCTTATTTTCTTCTTACTCTTCTGAATCTCTCTTGTTGAATTCATTCATTTTTATGACTCTTTGACTTTTGATTCTAAAATTTATATATGCAATCTCAGTTCCTCTTTTAAACTTCCCAACTGTCTACTTGGCTGCTCCACCTAGACATCCTACAGGAAGCTCAAACTCAACCTATCCAAAACATTACTAATTTTTTTCTCATCCTTCCTCCCAAAACCTCTGGTGTTTCCAGTGAACTTCACCACTGAACCCACAAACTTAAATCAGAAACCTGGAAATTATCCTAACTACCTTTCTCTTTCTAAATTCCACAGATATTAAAAATCAAGTATTTATTTATTTTATTTCTTATTGCTCTTGAGATGAATATTCTCCTTTTTACACTACTGCCAATACTCTTACTTTACTTCTCACTTGATCTTGGAGTCATAAAGCCTTGTAATGGGTCTCCATGACTTTGATTTTACAACACCCTAAACCCATATTAAGACAAGTGTGGACTTGATTCCCCCAGCTTAAACTCCTAAGCACAGCATTAAAATACCCTTAGTGACATTATGCTAAGTGAAATAAGTCAAGCACAGAAAGACAAATACCGCATAATCTTACTTATATGTGGAATCTAGAAAAGTCAAACTCAGAAGCAGGGAGAAGAATGGTGGTTACCAGAGGCTAGGGCCAGGAGTGCAGAGAGGGGAGATATTGGTCAAAGGGTACAAAGTTTCATTTTGTCAAGACGCCTGAGTAAAGACATGGGACACTCTCCCTCTCCAGAAAAAAAGAACCAAAATTGTGAATTACACCTAGGATAGAACATCTATGAGAAAACTCCAGAGTTAAACAGAGAAGTTACAGGAAACACTGGAGCCATAGAAGGAGCAGGATGTGGGTTGGCTAGGAGCCTGGAATGGCTCCCATTTGCTGGGAAAAGGTAAATGAGAGCCTCTCGGGGGTTCACATCTCCATCTCAGACTACTGTAACCCTAGCAGCAGGAGGGCTTTTATCCCACGTGGGCCCTGAGATTAGCGTGGGTGGTGATCAGGATACCTCTCAAGGGCATTGCTCCACACAGGGAAGTCATGTTGAGTTATACACATCTCCTGAGATCTAAGCGGCTGCAGCACAGTGCTAGTGCAAGCGCCCAGCCTCCACCAGAATGAATCCTGTCCTGGGAACCAAGAGGCCCCACATCTCCACAGAGGAGAACCCCCACTGATATCCCCTGACGTCCACCCAGATGGCTGCAGTGGCTCGGCACTGGCTGAACCCAGTGATGCTACAGAGTCCTCAGCACTTTAGCCCAAGTGGAGTACTACTCCCTGGGGAAAGGATGGTGCAGTGCACCCAGGAGACTCTCGCAGGGACAAAGGGAGCCCTACTGGGAGCTTTCCAGAGCCTGACAGCTCCCGTCTGGGACTGTAAGAAGCAACCCTGCCCCCACCAGTAGAATGACATCTATGCTTGGGCTCACCCCCTAGGCCACTGCAGCAGCTGCTGGTCCCGCCAGGAGTCAAAACAAGTTGGTCTGAGAGCTGCCTCTCTGGATCTGTGAATAACACCCTGCCCTCACTAGCAGTACAGCCCCTGTGCTCCAGCCCATACACAGAAGGTGGGGTCTCTTCCTTTACTCCCATGCACAACACTACAGCTGCTGCTGCTGCTGCTACTGGCAGCCAATGCGAGTGAATCCAGGAGCTGCTTGTCTGGGTCTGTGAATAGCGACCACTCCCTGACCAGCAGCAAGGCCTTTGTGCTTGAGCTCACATGCAGAAGGCAGGATCCCTCCGCTGCCCTGAACAACACTGCAGCCACGAGCTGAAGCAAGCACTACTCAGAGCCTGAGAATTTTCTGCTTAGGGCTGTGATCACCAACCTCATCCCTATCAGAAGCACATCCTCTGTGCTTTCGTTTGTGTTCTGAATACAGGCTCCCTCCCCATATACACCATGGCAGCTACTGCTACTGCTGGAAATGAAGTGTGAACTCCCAGAGCCTGAGAGCTCCTTGCAAGGGACAGTTGAGAGCAACCTTACCCATACCAGCAGCAGGATTGCTGTGCTCTAGCACAACCTCTGAGGTCAGGCTCTCCACTCACCACCACAGATCGCTCAGCCCCACCTACTACAGCCTACACTCCTGCACGCCACCAAAGCCTTGACGTCATGCCCCCAGATACTGAGCACCCCATCTGAAGACTAGGAATTACCCGATCCATTCCACCATCTCTGGTCCTTGTACACTCCTCCTAGGGACCTGAAGATGGGCCCACCTAGCCTGCTGCCAACACCACCAACCACAGCCACCCACATGTGTTGCCTAGGAGCCTAGAGACTAGCCTGCCAAGCCCATCATAGCCACCACTAACATTAGGAAGTGCACCTGGGAGCCTGAGTGTTATCCTGCACCACTGCTACCCTCACTCACACTATTCATGCTGCCCAGGGACCTGAGAACCTACCCACCCATCCAGCCCTCCACTGCCACTGCCAGTACCAAGAAATCTGCCTGGGATTGGCCCACCTGGACCTGCTAACACTGGTGCCCACATACACCATCCAGTGACCCAAGGTCACGTATGCATTGTCTGTCATTATCACTACAAGGGCTTGAGGAGTGGCCAACCTGGCATCCCTAACCCCAGCAAAGCCTCACCATAGCTTCCATTAGCAACTGCAGCCAAGCCACTGAGGAAATTACAGATACCACTGATGCTATTCACAGCCAAAGAGATTCATGGGATGGGGAGACAGGTCCTTGGGATTTTACTGTTGTCTAGGAAGCAGAATCTTTTCCAACTTTATTTCGTGTAAAGTGTTCATTACAGCATGAATACAAGATGTATTCAATCCACAAATACAACAGCCCACAGGCATTCAGGAGGTTGTACATCACAAAAGAGAAAAATCAAGACTAACAGCATAATGAACTGTTGTTTGGGGGAATTTGACCATCTGATTCTAAAATCTGTATGGAAATGAAAAGAACCAAAAATAGCCAAGACACTCACACACACAAAAAAGATAAGTGGGAAGATTTGGCTCTGTTGGAGACAGACTCATAGATAGATAGATAGATAGATAGATAGATAGATAGATAGATAGATAGATAGATGATAGATAGATCTTATTTAAAAGTTTATTAACTTATTATGAAGCTATAGCAGTAAGACAGCATGGCATTAGTGCAAGTATAGACAAATAGAACAATAGAACAGATTAAGGTTCCCAGCATCAGACTCACGCATATGTGGAGCCTGATTTAAAACAAAGGTGGCACAGCTAGACAGTAGAGAAACAACAATCTTTTCAATAATTTTTGGTCTTGAAACAATTGGTTTTCCATAGGGGAAAAGAAAACTAAATAGGACCCCTAATTTATACCATACACAGAAATCATCACAGGTGGTTATAGAGCTAAATGAGAAAGAAAAATAATAAAGAAAAAAGAAAGATAATATAGGAAATAGTTTTATGACCTGGGAGTAGGGAAAGATTAGTAAGCAAGAACCAGAAAATTAAGAATATGTGTGCTTACTGTATTGGCTGGGTGGGGTGGCTCATGCCTGTAATCCCAGCACTTTGGAAGGCTGAGGCAAGTGGATCCCCTGAGGTCAGGAGTTCCAGACCAGCCTGGCCAACGTGGCAAAACCCCATCTCTACTAAAAATACAAAAATTAGCCAGGTGTGGTGGTGGGCACCTGTAGTCCCAGCTACTTCGGAGGCTGAGGCAGGAGAATCGTTCGAACCCAGGAGATGGAGGTTGCAGTAAGCCGAGTTTGGGCCATTGCACTCCAGCCTGGGTGATGAGCAAGACTGTCTCAAAAAACAATAATAATAATAATATTGAGTACCTACTGTATGGCAGTGTGCGTGCAAAGCATTTTATAAGCTGTATCTCATTTCATCCTGAAAAAAAACCACGCATAACCTTCCAATGCACTTTTTGAGGAGTTCTTGAGGCTGAGATGCTAAATAATGCATCTGAGGGTCTAGGCCTGCAAAGCAGAGTGTACCCAGGAATACCATGCTCCACTGACACACCACACACAGCCCTGTGGTTGTTGGCTGCCTGCGTAAAAGCCTGCCTTAAGGGTCAGAACAAAATCAAAGTTAGTGTCATCTTCACCCTCAGACATCCCTCATCACCCCAAGAGAGACAGGCCTAAGGGCCCTTCTCCAGGGCTGAGTCTCTGTCACTCCAGAGAAGCCCTGTCTGGCTCCACTCTGGACACTGTGCATCCAACCTTGAACACAGCACTGAACCGACTCTTCTAAGGGAGAGTTTCAACTCCTCAACTCCAAAAAAGAAATCTCTCCTAGAACCTTCAGAGTCCCCTCATCCTAGCCAACGTTTCATACCAGCCATTTGGAGAACAAAGTCCATCAGTGAACTTTTCCAGGACTTTTTTTTTTTTTTTTTTTTGCAGTATCTGCCTTCAGCCAGGTAAATAAGTCAGCTGCTAGACAAGGAAGCTGTCCCTTCTCCACTAGTTCTGAGCCCCTACCTTCTCTTGGTCAGGCCACTGGTTGACAATTTGAGAGACTCCGTGTGTCGGAACTGTCTTTCCAGGCTTAAATTCAGCCTGTGTTTCATAACACCCTTTCTCTGCGCTCCTGAGCTTTCAGTGGTGCTCCAGAGGAAAGGAGAGACAGAGCAGACATTTTCACTGCCATGTTTATATCAAAGTACATTTGAAGGCAGAGGGAAAGCGCTCAGGCCTAGGCATGGGGATCCTGGTCTTTTCTCCTATTCTGCTATCAGGAAACGTGACAGCCTTAGCTGAGTCTCTGGTTTTCCCGCGGTTTGTAGAAAAGGAGGTAGCACTGAAAGGCCAGGGCCTTTTCTTCCTCGAATTCTGCAGAACCCTGTGATCTCCTCAGTCTGCCCCTCCAGGAAGAGTGAGGCCAGGGTCCAGCCCCACCCATCGCAGCCCAGCCCAGCTCTATAAAGGAGCCTCCCAGGCAGACACCACTGGGAGTTCCAACTCTGTGCCCTCTTCGGCCATGAACCTCTGTCTTTCTGCATTACTCTTTTTCCTGGTGATCTTACTGCCTTCAGGTAAGACAGTGGGCGTGAGTCTGAACATAAAAGTGGGTGTTCCCAAAGATTGAGATGCTTAAAAAACCCTCTAACTATAAGCCCAGCAACAGGACACCAATATCAAATGGGCCACCATGTTAGGGGCATGGTGAGCGGACCCCAGCTCCTGCCCTGCTCTGCTGTTGCTGCAGCTGGAAGATCTGCCAGTGCACCGGGGACGGGGGTGGATGTCATTGTGCACACAGATCGTGCAGCCACCCAGATTCCTATCTCCCCTCCAATGCCTCTGGCTACCCTGAGCTTTATCTGCCTTGCTGAGTTGTGATAAGAGGTGAGGTAAATCACAACTAACAAGCCATCAACCAGGAGGTGATGGCAAGCCTAGGATTTCTCCCAGCCTCATTAAGATTAATTTTTCTTTTCTGTGGTCTCTCCCCGCTTCAGGAAAAGGTATGTTTGGGAATGATGGAGTCAAAGTTCGCACCTGCACTAGCCAGAAAGCCGTATGTTTCTTCGGGTGTCCGCCAGGATACAGGTGGATTGCGTTCTGCCACAATATTCTGTCTTGCTGTAAAAATATGACACGTTTTCAACCCCCGCAAGCCAAAGATCCATGGGTTCATTAAAAGGATATGTGAATGGCTCAAAGTACTACACTCCTAATCTGTGTGTCAGGATCTTAGAGCTCGTAAGTGAGCCATGGGCAGAAATGAGGACCACATTCTGACAATTTACTGGCAAAATTCCAGAAACATTTTGTAAAGGCAGCACTGCCATGAAATGCATCCCCTGTTATTTTTCCTACCCTCCCATCTCCAATCACTCATTCCTCTTTCAAATTCAAATTCAGGCCAGGCGCAGTGGCTCACGCCTGCCCGCCTGTAATCCCAACACTTTGGGAGGCTAAGGTGAGCAGATCACTTGAGGTCAGGAGTTTGTGACCAGCCTGGCCAACATGGTGAAACCTCATCTCTACTAAAAATACAAAAATCTTCCGGGTGTGGTGGGTGCATGTAATCCTAGCTACTCAGGAGGCTGAGGCAGGAGAATTGCTTGAACCCGGGAGACGGAGGTTGCATTGAAAAGAGATCACGACACTGCACTCCAGCCTGGACAACAGAGTGAGATTCCGTCTCAAAAAATAATAATAAAAATTCAAATTCTATTGATTAATACAAGTTCACAGGCCCAAGCAATGATATATTCTGGCCATAGAAACAAAAGCTAACCACACACCAGTCACACACTTGAGTGGTTTACATCTATTAGGGAAATTACTCCACACAATAAAATCTACAATTTCTCCCATTTGGCAGATGAAGAATATTTTCCAAGGTCACACGACAAGAGTTAGTCCCAGGTTTAAATCCACAGAGTCTGCACGCAGTGTCTTGAGTGTAAAGTTGCACCACCTCTCCATTAGTAAGCATGGGAATCAAGCTAGATTGTGGTTCCAGTGAGGAGGCAAGAATCCAACTAGACCCCCCGAATGGCAAGACCCTCAATGCTCATCCTGTGGTTTAAAGCCATCATGCTTCTGGTTGCCAAGTTGCTTTCATGGCTCTGTACTCAGTGGCTTTCACGAGTCCCGATCGGTTTCACCCTAAAATCCCACACACCGAACATGCTACTTTCACCAGTGCGGTGACACACTGGACCCTACACCCATTCCAAACCTGCAGCTGTCTGAAGGCAGCACTGTCCAAGAGCACGTCCTCACCATCCACTCCAGGGTTCCCACCTGGAGGCAGAGGCCTCGGGTCTGCATTGAGACCCTCCTCATTCTCTACTAAGAAAACAGAAGGGCAGCTGAGTTTTGGATCTCCCTTCTCCACAAACATGCCTAGCAGGCACACTCTGAACCTCTGCACCAAACGCTAAGCAGGGGTGAGCCGACTGCTCAGAGCCCAGCCTCAACATCGATCACCCAAATTCCAGCAAAGAAGAAAAATCAGAGATCATCATGGTCCATGAGGCGAGCCTCCGAGGGTATCATGCTTCAGCTGATCCCTTCGGGTCTGTGAGTGTGTCTACAGTGGTCCTGTGGCATCAGACCACCTGCACGTGCTCATTTCAAACCACCCCCTTATCAAAAAAAAAAAAAAAAACAGGGAAGGACATTGCAAAAGTTCACAAAACAATATCAATGCAATGAAATTAACATAAAAATAGAAAATAAAAGAGAAAACTGGGCGAAGGGAAAAAGCAGATATTCTTTCACCAGATGTCAAAAGGATCTAATGCTCAAAAAAGCCAAAAACTCCAACCCTTTTCTTGCAGTTTCTAAGGCCATGGTCACTCCAGCCTGGTGGAGATGCTGCTCTAAGTTTGACAGTGGGGTGCAGAAAAGACACAACTCTCTCCAGCAGCATTCAGAGAGGACTGAAACGTTTACAATTACTTTTGCTGAAAACCCACACAAGAAACAAGAATACTAAATTATCACACACAAACAGCATAATGTATTGACCCTGTAGCCCACTGGGTGTGGACTTTGAGTCAATGGGCAGTGTCTCTGAGGGGGCCACAGGTGTCAATCTCACTCTCCAAGTCCCAGGGCACCCATGAGGAGGGTCCAACATTTAGGCTTAGAGACCTATATCCCCAGAAATTTTACTGGGGTGAATGACAGAATCACATGGGTGCCATTGAGATATCAGTTCGTCCCGGTGCAGCAAACTGTTTCAGGGCCATGACTGGACAGAACAGCCCTGCAGAGCCCCCTTGGTTTATGGGCACGTCTCACATCTATTCTGTGGGGGTAAGATGTATTCCCAGTACACTCTCTGTATGCTTAAGACATCCAGAGTTAATGTCTGTTACTTGAAACCAAGAAATCTGGCCAGGTGCGGTGGCTCATGCCTGTAATCCCAGCACTTAGGGAAGCCGAGGTGGGAAGATCATCTGAGGTCAGGAGTTTGATACTAGCCTGGCCAACATGGTGAAACTTCATCTCTACAAAAATACAAAAACTAGCTGGGCTGGTCTCGAACTCTTGACCTCAGGTGATCCATCCACCTCGACCTTCCAAAGTGCTGGGATTACAGGTAGGCCCACCGCAACTGGCCAAATCACATATATTCAAAAGTACTCAGCTGTCAAATAATAATCACTGAGGACTCCCCATCCTGTGTCTGTCAAGTCACATTAAAGGGTTCAGATCTGGAGCCACGGCACTTTTCCAAAAGCCAGCATCTCTGCCTTTCAAGATCCACGTATGCAGAAGCTCAGTTTTGTTCAACAAACGTCAGAGGCCTCTTACCACCCAGTTCCTGATTTTGCATCTCAAGAACTCCAAAAACCATGCTGGCAACAACCATTTTTAGTGGAATGAGCAAGTGCGAGGAGAGGAGTGAAAAGGAGAGGGCGCTGTTGTATTATTGCCTCTGTGGAGCCCTTCTAGAAACCAGTTCAAGTTCTCCCTCTGGTCATTGGTCTGGAAGTGAGGGGACCTGAGAAGAGCAATCAACTTCTGCACAACAGAACCAGGTCATGTTGTGTCCCCCGAGATCATTATGATGTCCACCATCACTGAGATGGTGTCAGACCCTAAGAAAGGAAGGATTCTGTTAGCAAGACTAGCTGTCCCTACCATTGGATGTTCAGAGATCCCGAATAAGAGCAGAGGTCTCATCAGTTTCCTGAAATTGGCCTTTGGCAGGGAGCACATGTCTCCCATCTCCACGATAACCACCCACTGTGCTGGGCTCATGCCCAGACATCCCAGCAGACGGGACTGAGCATGGCATGGCTGGTGGGTCACAGGCAGACCCTGAGGTTCAGGCCTGGCCTGTTGGAAAGTACGGTCAGCCACAGCGGTATAGAAGCTAAATTCCCTGCCTTCTTTCCCCCGACCATCGAGCAATAGTGAGCGCCACCTGTCGGATCCAGGTGGTGTGTTATCCCCACAAAATCTAGGTGGAAGCCTCTGCTGCTCAGGCCTTCTCTGCTAGCACCAGCAGAGAGCTTCTGACCCGATCAGGCAGGAAAGCCTGGAGTCAACCTGTTGGGACAATAGTGCCTTCCTTATCTGCTGGTGCTTTGGTTTGGGGACACGGACAGCTTTTTTCTCAAATTATGAGACATCCCAGCTCTTCTTAGCCCACTCATCTGCTTCTGAGGACAAAAGCAATTCCATCGCACAGAGTTGATGGGAGTAGCAGTTCCTTAAGCTCCCTCCGAAAGATACCTGAGTGCTTCATATTGCAGCATATTTCACAAGCCATGCCAACCCTCACAGTTAGGGGTTTAAGCAGCCAATGCCAATGGCCACATGCTGAAGGGACAATGACAGTATTCTAGACCTCAGTTACGGCTTCTTCTTTTTTTTTCTTTTTTGAGATGGAGTCTCGCTCTGTTGCCAGGCTGCAGTGCAGTGGTGCGATCTTGGCTCACTGCAACCTCCACCTCCCAGGTTCAAGCAATTTTCCTGCCTCAGCCTCCTGAGTAGCTGGGACTATGGGCAAGAGCTACCAGGCCCAACTAATTTTTTTGTATTTTTAGTAGAGAAGGGGTTTCACTGTGTTGGCCAGGCTGGTCTTGAGCCCCTGACCTCAGGTGATCCACTGGCCTCAACCTCCCAAAGTGCTGGGATTACAGGCATGAGCCACCGCGCCCAGCCTACGTCATGGCTTCTTAACTCAGGCTGGAGCCAGGACGAGGGTGCAATACAGGAGCAATTGACTGTGGGCATGAGGTGTTCAGATGGATTCCTCGCCCTGATTCCTGAGGTTGTATGTGAGGAAGTCTTCCAATCTTATTCTCTAAAATTGGAGCAAATTGGCCGGGCGCGGTGGCTCACGCCTGTAATCCCAGCACTTTGGGAGGCCGAGGTGGGCGGATCACGAGGTCAGGAAATCGAGACCATCCTGGCTAACACGGTGAAACCCCATCTCTACTAAAAATACAAAAAATTAGCCAGGTGTGGTGGTGGGCACCTGTAGTCCCAGCTATTCCGGAGGCTGAGACAGAGAATGGCGGAGCTCGCAGTGAGCCGAGATCACACCACTGCATTCCATCCAGCCTGGGCGACAGAGTGAGACTCTGTCTCAATAAAAAAAAAAAAAAAAAAAAAAAAAAAATGGAGGAAATTGGCTGGGTGCAGTGGTTCATGCCTGTAATCCCAGCACTTTGGGAGGCCAAGGCGGGCAGATCACGAGGTCAGGAGTTCAAGACCAGCCTGGCGAATATGATGAAATTCCATCTCTACTAAAAATACAAAAATTAGCCGAGCGTGGTGGCAGGTGCCTGTAATCCCAGCTACTTGGGCGGCTGAAGCAGGAGAATCGCTTGAACCCAGGAAGCAGAGGTTGCAGTGAGCCGAGATGGCACTACTGCACTCTAGCCTGGGTGACAAAGCAAGACTCTGTCTCGAAAAAAAAATATTGAAGCAGATTACTCAACTAATTGCCAACCCATCAGGGGACCTGATAGTGTAAAATCTTTCATAACTAAAGTACAGGTGTAAAAACTAACATTCAGAGCAGGCAAGACATTTTCCCAGGACCACACAACTCATCAGTGTGCAAAACTGGGATTCAAACACAGATCTAGCCACTCCCTTTCTGCTTCCTGATCTGTAACATGAAGCCTCAGTCTCTCTCAGAGCACTGCTGGAACAGGAAGGGGAACAGGTGAACTGCAGCTTTCTGGAGATGTGGAGTCAGGTTAGAAAAGCATGGGTCAGGATGTCAGGAGAAATTTTCCCTTCAAACCGGACCATGAGGCAGGGATCCTTAAGCTCATAGCCTGGGACTTTGACAGGACCTGACAGGTTGAACCTCGTCTGAGAAATTCCCTTCCCAGTATCTGGGCAGGAGATCTCTAGCTTCTGTCTGGTTTCCCCCACAGGTTAGCACTGCTCAGCTCTGCTCAACTGGGGAGCTAGACAAGAGAGGAACTGAGAAGAAGGAGAAGCTGCAGAAGAAACTGACCTTTCTTTCAACTGCCCTGGAGTTAGCTCACTCCCAGAGGGATAAAAGACCTTGAATCAAAGTCTTTGGGCTGCATTTGATGGTGCTTTTCCTCCCACAACCTCAGGGGCAGGCTGACTCCCAGGTGCCTGGCTGGCTCCAACCTGAGTCCTGACAGGTGCAACCTGTATCTTGATGGCCTTCGATGGGCCTGGAAAAGGGCAGAAGGAGTACAAATGTTGCTGGTGTCTCAGGTCTCTTTCACAGACCAAAACCTCCCTGGAGTAGGGAAAGGCGTTTATTGGATTTGGCAGATTATCGAAAGCCTTACACCCTCTCCGTGTACACTCACGAGGCCCTGTCATCTGCAGCTGCAGCTGGGCCTCCTGACACTGAGCAGGTGTTCTGTGTAGAATGCGCCCTTCACACACACCAGAAATCAGTGGCTTTCTGACTTTAAAAGTAGATGTCTTGTGGGCTTGGTAACCACAACCTAAATGGTTTCTAGGGAATGCAGCCAAATCAACTTTCTGAACTTCTATTTGCTGGGTTTGTTTCATCTCAAATGCTGAGAACTGTGAGCCAGGCCCAAATATAAAAGCCCTTTGGGGCTGAGTGCAATGGTTCATGCCTGCAATCCCGGCGCTTTGGAACTCCAAAGTGGGGCAGGTTGCTTGAACACAGGCATTTAAGGCCAGCCTGGGCAACATGGCGAAACCCCCTATCTACAAAAAATACAAAACTTAGCCAGGTGTGGTGGCTTGCACCGGTACTCCCAGCTACTCAGGAGGCTGAGGTGGGGGGATCACTTGAGCCTGGGGAGACTGAGGCTGCAGTGAGCCATGATCGCACCACTGTGCACAGCCTGGGTGAGACACCAAGACCCTGTCCCAAAAATTAAAATTTAAAAAGCCCCTCAGGAGACCCAGCCTAATATTACTGAACATGCTTGTGCTTTTCTTCACCTTTGCTCTAGGGGAATCTAAAATCCCTCCCAGTTCTGCAATTCCCTGCTGTGGGCTCAGAAGCCTTAGTTATTCTGGAAGCAGCAAGAGGTTCATTTTAGGCCAAAATCTATTTATTCTTCTCTCAATGTCTTTCAAAGGAAAATGGAAAGTAATGCAGTGCTCCACATCTTCATTGAGGAAGAACATGATGTGTCCCCTTCGTTTCTCTAAAGGAAATGCTGCTTAGGCAAGTGTCTAAGCCATGAAGATCCCCCACCCTCGCTCTCACTCTCCTTCTCTTAGTCCTCTCTGTCTCACGTAAAGCAGACTCTTTGGAGGATACACAGAGTTATTACAAATAAATACTGGGTTGTGCTGGCCCAGGGTATGCTGACTTTCTGCTCAGCCCATGGCAAACCACCATGGCTAAGAACTCGTTCTCCACACCCCTCTACCCGCTTAGCCCAGGCAGCATCCTGACCTGTGCCTGCAGTACACCTGGTGTGGGACTCAAGAAATATCCGATGACAGAGTGCATGAGAGGCAGTAGGGACAGGGCAAGCAGGGAGCACATGCTGCTCCCAGGGCCGCTGGCTGCCTGTCCTGGGAACAGGGGCCTGGGATGCCACCCAAATGTCATCCATGGGCGCAGGACCATGGGCTGGTTGTGAGTGGGCTTTAGTATTGAACAGCTGGATCTCAAACCTGATTCTTCCTGAGCCACTGATTAGCTGGATGGTTATGAACGAGTCATTTAACCTCTATCAGCTTCAATGTGCTCTTCCCTAAGACAGGGATAATAAGAGAAGTTAATTCACAGGACTGTTGGGAGGATTAAGTGAGCTTAAAAAGTACTGAGCATGGCGGTTGGCAAATAGCAAGTGCTCGATGAGTATTAACCAGTAAATAAGCACTCAGCAGGTAGTAGCTGTCGCTGCTGCTGCTGCTGCTGTTATTTGCAAGTGGGTTTTGCCTTCTAATTCTTGCCGAATTATCTTCCCGCTGCGCCACATCAATGGCACGATGGGTCAGGGCAGCCACCTCCAGTGCCCCGTAGGCTCAGATTCACTAACAGTTAGAAGCACCTGTTCCTAGATGTACCCATTAATGGACAGGAGAGTCTGCGGCCCACCCATTAGGGACAGAGTTCCCACAGCCATCCTGTCTTCCCAGTCATAGCAGCACCCCTCCCCCAGAAGCACCCTTCCCTCAGCAGCCTCACACCTGCCTGCTAGGAGGTCGTGTGGCTCATGAGCAAAGCCCAGGTCTGGGAGCCGGGGGTTTCCTCACCCATGCACTGACCGTGTCTATGACTCTAGGCACGTCACCTCAACTGCCTGCAATGTGAAGGCTTGGACTGAGGTACCATGGTGCTACCTACTAAGGAAGAAAGAGGGCACCAGTCTAGAAAACATCTGGAGACAGTAGACAGTGCCCAGGAAGCACCAGCTCATGACTAGCATGGAGGCATTGCAGAAATACACAGCACAGGGCCGGGTGCAGTGGCTCACACCTGTAATCCCAGCACTTTGGGTTGCTGAGATGGGAGGATTGCTGGAGCCCAGAAGTTCAAGACCAGCCTGGGCAACATAGTGAGACCCCATCTTTACAAAAAATTTACAAAATTAGCTGGGCGTGCTGGTGTGCATCTATAATCCCAGCTATTTGGGGGTCTGAGGTGAGAGGATCGCTTGAGCACTGGAGGTCGAGGTTGCAGTGAGTCATGATCACACCACCATACCAATTGGGCAACAGAGTGAGACCCTGTCTCTTAAAAAAAGAAGAAGAAAGAGGAATATGCCGTGCCCCATGGTCAGTTTCCTGCCAGGGGTGAAGGGAAGTGGCATCGTCACAAGAGAATTTCAAAACAATCATAAAAGCGACTAGGAGTCAGTGTATTATTTATTATTACCATGCTCCAGCAATTCTAGACAAGGTCAGTGATAACACTCCCGGGGGTGGGCGAGGGCAATCAGTCCCACTGTCCTCCACCTTGGTGTGCCATCGCCCGGGGGCCACAGCCTCCCACCTCTCCGATTCACGCATTCCCTAAAATGCTCCATGCCAGGGCCCAGCCCCCTTTGCCAGAATCACATTATTTTTCTCTCTGCTCTGGCTGCTGAATGCTCCCCACCCTATCTCACTAAGATCACCTCTAGCTGGGAGCCCTCAACCCTCTTGGGCTCCTGATGTTCCTTTCAGCTTTACTTCCTGACTGTGCCCACTCCCTGCTCTGTACCTGGCAGGGAAACTGGGAAAGTTTCCGGCATCAAAACGGAGTCCCTTGTGTTAAAAAAACCTTAACAAGGCCGGGCGTGGGGGCTCACGCCTGTAATCCCAGCACTTTGGGAGGCCAAGGTGGGTGGATCACCTGAGGTCAGGAGTTCAAGATCAGCCTGGCCAACATGGTGAAACCCCGTCCACTAAAAATACAAAAAAAAAATTAGCCAAGCATGGTGGCACATGCCTGTAATCCCAGGTACTCAGGAGGCTGAGTCAGGAGAATTGCTTGAACCCAGGAGATGGAGGTTGCAATGAGCCAAGATTGTGCCACTACACTCCAGCCTGAGTGACTCTGTCTCAAAAACAAAAAAACCTTAACAAATAGAGCCAGGGAAGGTTGAGAAGGGAGGGTTGTCTTGCACAAATGCCCAATCAGAATTATCACAAAAACCCTGCAAAAACCACAACCTTGCACAAAAGCCGTCTCAACCTTACACACACACACACACAAATATTTTTGTGAGGGCAGCTGTCCGGCAGCTTCCTGTCCAGCCTCAGACAGGTGCCACCCCTGTTATTGATCCTTGTAGCCAAGGATAATTATCTGAAAACAATTATGCGATCTTCCTCATTTTTCCTTTAACAACATTTGTCTTCCTTTTTCCCAATATGCACATAGTTTACTAGGACACATGTAGACATGTAGCCCCATTGCAATGCTCTATTCCCCCCAAATAAACATGATTTTTCTAGAAAAAAAAAAAAAAGGAGAGAAAAAACATTGTTTCCCAAACCTGCATTACACTTCTCAGTTGGATGTATTCCCATTGCAATTCCCATTCCTGAATAAACATCATTTTCTTTCTGTCTGTTATCTAGGTTGAAAAAACATAGCCAACAAAAGAGAATATAGGCTTGAATATTCATTGCACCAGCTCTGAAATCATGAGCTATTCAAGTAGACTCTCTGAAGCTCGGTTTTCTCATCTATAAATGGAGATGGTTTGTGCCATACCCACTTGTGAAGATCTACTGAGATACTATATATATGAGTCTTTGAAAGAGTTACACAAGTATGAGTTGCTTTTTGATTTGTTTATCACCATTTTCATTATTTTGCTCAGCTCAAGCCCAGCCCTGGGACCCTGACAAGTGCTGGGCCAGGCAAGGCCAGGGCCAAAGATCTGCTTGGAAAATAAGTGGGAGGAGTCGCTGGAGGAATGCTTCCTCTTCTCTCTGTATCTATGTGCTTTCTGCTGTCCAGGTCCTCCTCCCTGAGCTGCCCGAGAGCTTCTGGGACCCAGGAAGTTTGGAGTCACCTTCACACGCATACTTAGGCCTCCCTGCATCACCCACCTGCAGAGTCAATCTCAATTCTCTAAGAGCTGCTGGAACCAGGAGGAGGGGCTGCCCAATGTTCCCGGGTGGAACAGCCCTGAGGACATTTCTATGGGAATTTCCCGGGTACCCTGGAGGGAGACGATACCCTTTCCCACTGAGAGAAGAGGTTTGGGAAGGAAATGAGGGGGATGGGAAAGGTTCCAAAATGGAATCATGTGTGAGATCTCAAGGGAACAGGCTCAGATGTAAATTTCATCATCAGCTGATCATCTAGAGCCTGCCTGGAGTCAGCGGCAAGGCTGTTTCTCCAGATGCTGGGAGGGGGGGTGCTGATATTGAACATCTGCATCCCTGCTGTGAGTGGCCCCAACAGAGAGCCCCCAAGGGCCTTGGCCATCACTGCCCCCTGCATCCGGAGCCCTCCCCAGGACCCATGAGCCCCCAGCTGAGTGTCCAGGGAGCCGAGGAACTGCACCTGAAGGCTTCTCCCAACAGCACTCTTGAGCGAGGCCCTCACCCACAGAGCACGGCAGGATTCATGAGCTGCTTTCACATAACGTGGACAGAGTTCATTATTCCATTTTCTTTTAGAGAAGGAAACCGCAGCTCAGACAGTAAAATGATCTATACAAAGCCATATAGCTAGTGAGTAGGGGAGCTGGGAGTCCAGGCAGCTGTCCTGACTCGCAGTCTAGCGCTCTTTCCATTCGAATGCAGTGAAAAAAGAAGAACCAGGTTGATTATTTTGGCCTAAGCTTTATCATCTATTAAAAGCTAATCCCAACCCCATCTCCCCAAACTCTTGCTGCCCGGAATGTGTCCAGAAAGTACTCATGGGCTCAAAGATCGAACTTCCAGGGAAGAGAGATGGACATTGCAATTTCTGCCGAGAACCTCAGGACACATATTCCACATCCAACCCTGGGGACCTCCCAAGACAAGTGAGCTCGCTCCTCTTCTCAGCCCTCACTCTGCTCCGATCTCCAGGCTAAAGCACCCAGCTGCTTTGATTCCCAGGACACTGCTCAGAGCTGTGTCTGAGCGGCCCCCACTCCTGCTGCACTCCCATTTGTTTCAAGCAGGATATTTCACATCTGGTCCTGCCCGAAGACAGAGAAAGAATGGGATGCTCTTGTCTCTAATCTCAGATTCCAAAATTCCATGAATACAGCTTGAGACCAAACTCATTTTGTGGGAGTTCACACCACTGACTACTCATATGAATTTTCTATCTACAAAAGCCAGTCATGCTTTGTCTCAAAGATGGTAATTAACCTTTACCTTCCCAAAATGGATGCTTATGGTACTGATTTTGGTTTTACCTGAGGGTGCAACCTTCCATTTATCCCAGTTTGACTTCATTTTATTAGACTTGGCCTCTCATGCCAACCTGTTGAGATCGTCTAGGTTTCAGATTCTGCCACCCTCTGGCGTGGCAAGAAACTCATTGTAGGGATGGGAGAGATGGACAGCACCTCTCCCAGGATTTTTTTCTTTAAGAGACAGAGTCTTGTTCTGTCACCCAGGCTGGAGTGCAGTGGCACCATCATGGCTCACTGCAGCCTCAATCCTCTGGGCTCAAGCAATCCTCCCATCTCAGCCTCCTGAGTAGCTAGGACTACAGGTGTGCACGACCATGCCTGGTTAAATTTTAATTTTTTATAGAGATGGGGGGAGGGTCTCACTATGTTGCCCAAGAAGGTCTCAAACTCCTGGCCTCAAGTGATCCTTCTGCCTCAGCCTCATGAAATGCTGCGTTTGGATTACTATTATTTTGGTAGAGAGGTGCAACCAGCTAGGCTTAGGGAACGCCTGTACCCCGCGACTTCATCCTGGGATCCCTGTCTTGAGTTGTGTAAGTTTGGGGCAACAATGAGTAAACTATGAGGTGGGGGAGGTCAAGCTTTATAGGCTTCTGCCCTTGTCTACTGCTGGTTACTTCCTCCTTCACCGGAGCACCTGCCACCCCACTCTCAGCAACGTTCATCTCGAAGAGGCTGAGACAAGCTGAATCCACAAAGGGAATCTCAATTGTAAGGATCAACAAACTTTTTCTGTGAAGGCCAGAGAGTAAATATTGTAGGCTTTGCAGGGCATGCAGTCCACATCACAACTACTCAACTCTGTGATGGAGTCAAAGTAGCTGTAGACAATATATGTGTGAAGCCGTGTTTCAATAAAACTTTATTTATACAAACAGACAGTTGTCAGATTTAGCCCACAGGGTGCAATTTGCCAACTCCTACTCCAGTGGGATATTTCAGCTGCTGTGGCCTACCACAGAGCGCCACACAGAGAAGCTTGCACCAAGACTCTGCCCTCAAGCAGCTTCTAATCTACACGTTTGTGAAAGATGAGTAAGTATAGGAAGGGGGAACATGTAATAATATTCTTTCATATCATCACAGCTTTTCCATTCACTCCTAGAGGGTTTACCCTGCACTCGCTGTGTGCCAGGCACTGTGCTCGGCCCGTGGGAAGGTAGAGATAAAGTCCCCACACTGCCCCAGGGAGTGCCCCATTCCCTCTGGAGCTGTGTGAACAAGGCTCTGGCCTTCTCTCCAGGAATACCAAAGGGAGCACAGAGACCAGAGGGCAAAGGAGGAACGGCAAAAATGGAGTGCCTAAATCACCTGCACACCTTCCGTCCTCAGCCCTCCGGTGTGACTTTGGATGACTTATGAGCTCTAAATCTCAGCTCCTCCTCCTATTTGAGGAAACAATGCTTATCCCCAAGGATTGTTATGAAGCTTAAATGACACATGTGCAAAGCACAGGGCCTGAAACAAACTAGATGCTTACTAATTGATACTTTTGTTTCTTTATCTATGAAAGGATAAAAAAAATACTTCCCAATGGGGCTGTGCAAGATGGATCACACCTGTAATCCCAGCATTTGGGAGGCCAGGGTGGGAGGACCACTTGAACCTAGGAGTTCAAGACCAGCCTAGGCAACATAGCAAGACCCTGTCTCAAAAAAAATTTTTTTAATTTAAAAATAATTTAAAAATTTTTCAAAAAGCTTTCTGATGAACACTACTGCTGACCATTCCATGCAATTCTGAGTAGTGTTATTCCCTCTAGAGCATCCCAAAATGCCAAAATTCATTCATTTATTCATTCATTCAGGTATTCTTCTTACAAACATATAATTCTCGCCTACTATGTAAGTACACACCCTCCAAAAAGCCTGGAGGTCTGTCCTCTTTGAGTTTACAGCATAGTAGAGATGATAAACTAAAAAATAAATAAAAATAAACAAGCTAATAATTACAAAAATGGCAATTGTTTTGAAGGAAGAGTGCAGGGAAAGATTTATATATGTACATGTGCGAACGTGTGTACATACATATACACATGTAATGTGCTGCACAACATACGTACCACACTCAGATCAAGGTATCAGATGTTCCCACCACCCCAGAAAAGTCCCTCATGCCATTCTCAGGCATTAACCCTACCAGAGACAACTACTACTCTAAATTCTGTGACCATCAGTGAATTTTGTCTGTGGCTGAACTTGGTGTTAATGGAATCACACTGTGTGCAGTCTCGTGTGACTGGTTTCTTTTGGTCAAGGTTATGTTTATTAGGTTCATTCTGTTTGTGGAAGAGCAGTTCATTCTTTTTTATTACTGTCTATACCACAATGTATCTGTTCTCCTATTGGTGAGCATTTGGCTTGCCTCCACTTTTTGGTTATTAAAAATAGAGCTATTGGCAGGGGGCGGTGGCTCATGCCTGTAATCCCAGCACTTTAGGAGCCCAAAGTGGGTGGGTCACCTGAGGTCAGGAGTTCAAGACCAGCCTAGCCAGCATGGTGAAACACCGTCTCTACTAAAAATACAAAAAAATTAGCTGGGTGTGGTGGCGGGCGCCTGTAGTCCCAGCTACTTGGGAGGCTGAGGCAGGAGGATTGCTTGAACCAAGGAAGTGGAGGCTGCAGTGAGCCAAGATCATGCCATTGCACTCCAGCCTGGGCAACAAGAGCAAAACTCTGCCAGGAAAAAAAAAAAAAAGCTGCTATAAACCTTTTTGTACACGTATTTTTTTTAAATACATGCACTGATTTCTTAGTAAATACCTGAAGTTTCCAAGTTGTTCGCACCAATTTAATTCTCATCAGCAAAGAGGGAGAGCTCCATTTGCCACACATCTTCACAAACACTCAGCATTGTCTGTCTTCTACATTTTCACCTTCTGGTGGGTGTGTAGTGGTATCTCATTGTTTTTTCATGGGTTTTGTTTTGTCTTGTTTGAGACAGAGGTTCCCTTTGTCGCCCAGAGTGGAGTGCAGTGGTGCGATCTTGGCTTGCTGCAACCTCAGCCTCCCAGCTCAAATGATTCTCATGCCTCAGCCTTTTAAATTATTTTTTGTTTGGCAGGGCACGGTGGCACATATCTGTGATTCCAGCACGAGTAGCATGCCACTACACCCGGTTAATTTTTGTATATTTTATAGAGATAAGATTTCTCCCTGTTAGCCAGGCTGCTTTCAAACTCCTGACCTCAGGTGATCCACCTGTCTCGGCCTCCTGAAGTGCTGGAATTACAGGCGTGAGCCACCGTGCCCTGCGAAACAAAAAATAATTTTAAAATTATCCAAATGTGTCTCTTTAAAAATTTTTGTTGTTGTCGTTTTGAGACAGAGTCTCCCTCTGTCGCCCAGGCTGGAGTGCAGTGGCGCAATCTTGGCTCACTGCAACCTCCACCTCCTGGGTTCAAGCGATTGTCCTGCCTCAGCCTCCCTGAGTAGCTGGGGCTACAGGCATGCGCCACCACGCCCAGCTAATTTTTTTTGTACTTTTAGTAAAGACGAGGTTTCACCATGTTGGCCAGGCTGGTCTTGAACTCTTGACATCAGGTGATCCACCTGCCTCGGCTTCCCAAAGTGCTGGGATTACAGGCGTGAGCCACCGTGCCCGGCGAAAAATATTTTTTCACTTCCATTTATCCAACAGTTCCTGCTGTTTTGCATACCTGGCACTAAATGTCTTCTTCCGCTTTCCTGTTCCCCACTTCTTTTGTGGGATCCACTTGAAGCCTCCCTTGTGGGCTGTGACTCTTTCCTGCCACCAGGTGGCAGACTTTGCCTGCTGTGCCACCTCTCCTGCCTGCTCAGTGTCGGTGGGAGTTGGGGGTGGACAAGCTGATAGAGTTCTGTATCTTTTCTGAAGTTCTGCTTGGCGATCAATTGCTTCCTTTTCTTTTTGGTCCTCGTGGTCAGCACAATGCTTCGGATAGAGTCAGCATTCAATAACAAGCAAAGCAGACACAGTTTTTGTTTGTAAGTTAAAGTTCTAGAGGCCTATTGCATAACAATGTGTGTCTATGTAACATGACTGAACCGTACTCTCAAAAGTGGTTATGAAGATAAATTTCATGTTATATGTTTTGCAGCACAATTAAAAGTAAAAAATAAAAAAAAATAGGCCGGGCACGGTGGCTCATGCCTGAAATCCCAGCACTTTGGGAGGCCGAGGTGGGCACATCACCTGAGGTTGGGAGTTCGAGACCAGCCTGACCAACATGGACAAACCCCGTCTCTACTAAAAATACAAAATTAGCCAGGCCTGGTGGCACATGCCCGTAATCCCAGCTACTCGGGAGGCTGAAGCAGGGGAATCGCTTGAACCTGGGAGGCGGAGGTTGCAGTGAGCTGAGATCGCGCAATTGCCCTCCAGCCTGGGCAACAAGAGTGAAACTGCGTCTCAATAAATAAATAAATCAGGCCTTTCTTTACCCAACCCCAACCCCAAGGTGGCGCTCATCATCATGTGCTTACACCTCCTGTTATCATTTCTATCAAAAATAATAACAATAACACAAAATTGAAAAGCAAAGTAGATTAATGGGTTGGGCACGGTGGCTTGTGCCTGTAATCCCAGCATTTTGGGAGGCTGAGGCAGGTGGATCGCCTGAGGTCAAGGGTTCAAGACCAGCCTGGCCAACATGGTGAAACCCTGTCTCTACTAAAAATACAAAAATTAGCTGGGCGTGGTGGCCTACACCTGTAATCCCAGCTACTTGGTTGGGAGGCTGAGGCAGGAGAATCGCTTGAACCCAGGAGGCGAAGGTTGCAGTGAGCCGAGATCGTACCATTGCACTCCAGCCTGGGCAACAGAGCGAGGCTCGTCTCAAATAAATAAATAGATAAATGCAAAGTAGATTAATGAAGGCAAAGCCTCTCTTTGCATAATTTCTCTACAAGAATGTCCACTCTCCAAATTCTCTGTGAGCTGTTTGCAGAACGTGACAGTTTACAGCAATAAAGGCACACGAGGTTACAGCTGTGGCCTTCCTCTCGCAGCAAGGGGGAGCTAGGGCCCAAATAAACATTCAAACCAAGGAGCACAGCAGTGAGTGGCCTAATGGTGGGATAGCGGGAGGCTGCGCACTGGGTGAGGCCGTCCCAGGGGAGACCCTCCTGCCACTGCTGGGTCTGACGCAGGAAAGCAGCCCCTGCTGTGGGCCCATGAGACAGCTGCCAGAAGGCCAAGCTGCCCATGACAGCTCCTTCGCCTGCAAACACACACACACATGCCTGGAGATGGATCTGGCAAGGCCCTTGGAAATCACCTCTGAAGATGAGTAAACTGAGGCTCGGAGAGGCAAAGGAACATTGCCAGGACCACACTGTGAGGGAGGCCAGAAACCGCACTGGATCCCAGGTCTGCGGAGGGGCAGCCCAGTGCCCCATGCACCACACCATGTGCATTTAAGGAAGGAAGTTGGCAAAAACGATGGGTGGAAATCAGTTTCTGACCACTTAGAAAGTGGAAATCCTTAGCAAAGATAAGTTGATAAGATGTATCAATTGGGTTTAATTCTGTAAAAAGTTGTACATTCAAAATGTATATAAAAGGAAAGACACAAATTTGGAAAACAAGGCAGGTGGAGGCAAAACAAAAATATTAATAATAATCAGTGAAGAGAACAGCACCGTGCTGGCCCAGTGGCTCATGGCTGTAATCCAAGCAATTTGGGAGGCTGAGGCGAGCAGATCACTTTAATCTAGGAGTTCGAGGCCAGCCTGGGCAACATAGAGAGACCCTCCCCCCACCCGCACATCTCTTTAAAAAATAAAAACATAACTGGGGCCAGGTGCAGTGGCTCACACCTGTAATCCCAGCACTTTGGGAGGCAGAGGTGGGCAGATCACTTGAGGTCAGGAGTTCAAGACCAGCCTGGCCAACATGGTGAAACCCCACACTAAAAATACAAAAATTAGCCAGGTGTGGTGGTGCGTGCCTGTAATCTCAGCTACTTGGGAGACAGAGGCAGGAGAATTGCTTGAACCTGGGAGGCAGAGGTTGCAGTGACCCGGGATCGCACCACTGCACTCCAGCCTGGGTGACAGAGTGAGACTCTGTCTCAAAAAAAAAAAAAAAATGTAGCCAGATGTGGTGGCGCACACCTGTGGTCCCAGCTACTCCAGGGGCTGACGTGGGAGGATCACTTGACCCCATGAAGTAAAGGCTGCAGTGAGCCAAGATTGCACCATTGCACTCCAGCCTGGGTGAGAGTGAAATCCCTCAAAAAAAAAAAAAAAAAAGAGTACCAAGAGAACAGCACTGAAAGATGTTAGAGACTTGGATGCAGTCAGCCTGGGCTCTGCTCAGTGTGTCACTTACTAGCTACATGACATTAGGAAAGGTATTGAACTTTCTGAACTTCAGTTACTCACTGGTAAACAGAAAAATAATAATTGCACAATACAGCATGAGGAAGTTAATGCAGTTAGCCCAATATCTAGTACCTCATGTGAGTTCAGTAGATGTTGAGTGCATCTGATTCTATTCATTGATGATAAGAATTGATAGCACATGTCAGACCTACACCCAGATTCCATTTGACAAGATAGAATTTATGAAAAATCCAAGCTTTGCTGAGGTCTAGATAGAAAATTTGCAAACTGCGTAGGGCTTCCCTCAAAGAGCAACAAATCACAGAAGCGCCAGACAGCAGGGCCAAGTGTTTACAGTGCTGAATGCCCTTTCAGTCCTTTTCATCTTCCATAGACTGTAGGACAGTGTGTCTTCCAAGATGCGTGCTCACATCCGATCACGGAGGAAATCATTCAAAACATTAGCTAGAGAACATTAGCAAGAAGCCTACAGACCGCCCCGCCCCACCCCCCTCGCCCCGCCAACCCCCCACCGCCCCGCTGACATTTCAACCGAGCTCCTGTTCTCCCTTCCTGATTATCTAACAATGCACAGGCCCTGCCCTCGAGCCACCCACCCACTGCCTCCCGAGCGATGGGCACTCCCAGACAAGACCCAGGCTTTCCTCCCTGCGGCGCCAGCCTGGGAAAAGCAGACAGAGCACGGGCCCTGATGGCCCCTCCGCCGGCTCCCCCAGCCCTTCCCTTCCCTGGCACCAAAACAGATGACTTCATCTGAGGGATTCAGCTATCAGCCAGCCAGCCCTCCGGAACGGGAGCGGAAGGGAGCACCAAGGCTGGCCTCTGCTCTGGTTACTTTGGCACAGGACGGGGCTCTGTGGAGTGTCAGCCACAGCCTTCAAATCAGAGGAGCCACAGCCTTGCTCCAGGGTCCCTGCCACCCGGGGCCAGCACTGCCCCTGCACGTGGCCGCCTCTCCCAGCCTGACCTCCTCCCTCCTCCACACTGCGCTGGGGTGCACAGCAGCTGAGTTAGGAACAGATGACAGAGGAGCCTCCCTTTCTGAGTCCTTGCTCCCCGTCCTGAGCCCCCAGGCTGCTGACCACAGTCCATTCATTTGGTCCACGTTGAAAGTCTCAGTGCAGTCCAGTCGTTTTTAATCCAGAGCAGGAATTAAAGCCTCGATCACTGTCTAGATCCGGGTGTCCACTCTCCTGCTCCTCAGCCCCCTTCCTTGACGGCACCATATGTGACTATGGAGGGGCCCGCAGGGAGTGTGGGGAGAGTTGCTCAGGCAGGTAGTGGCCCCAGGGAAACGGCTACATCCCACCTCGGCATGTCACTGCACTGGTGGCTTTACTGTTGGTCTTTTTCCACCTGGTCCAATGCTTTACAAGTACTGGTGGCTGCCCTGGACGGAATGGAGCACCCCTAAGAGGGCACACACTGGAGTTGGGCTTGGGTTTCCCACAGCCATGTGAGCTTGCACCAAGTAAGTTACCTAACCTTGCTGGACCTCAGTGCTCTCATCTGTAAAACGGGGACATAATTGTTACCATCTCAGCGCATTGTTGTGATAATTACTACTTTATGCCCAGTGCATAGTAAGCACTCAATAAATGCGAGTTTTTTTGTTTTGTTTTGTTCTAAATAGAGTCAGGGTCTCCCTCTATTGCCCAGGCTGGAGTGCAGTGACACGATCATAGCTCACTGCAGCCTTGACCTCCATGAGTTACTTTTGTTACCTGGGTCTGTCTGGTGGTGAGGGTTTCTATGATATATGATGGCCTTGGTGGGGTAGTCAGCTTCAGCCGGACTTTCTCAGTTCGACTACACCACCCTTCGAGTGTATAAGTGGGGGCTCTGGACCCCCAAGGTAGCCCCGGACTCCTACGTGCTGGATCGTGGGTTTCAGGTGTCCTTCTCTGTTTCAGCCTGGGATGGGACACACTGCAATTCCTGGTGTCCAGACACATCAGAATCACTAGATGGAGAAGTAGGCTTTGCCCAACATCAGAAGAGAACTGGGCCTGGCATGGCAGCTCACACCTGTAATCCCAGTACTTAGGGAGGCCGAGGCGGGTGGATCACTTGAGGCCAGGAGTTTGAGACCAGCCTGGCCAAAATGGCGAAACCCCATCTCTATTAAAATTACAAAAAATTAGCCAGGCATGCTGGCACATGCTGCTTGGGAGGGTAAGGCATGAGAATTGCTTGAACCAGGGAGGCGGAAGTTGCAGTGAGCCAAGATTGTGCCATCCTGGGTGACAAAGTGAGACTCGGTATCAAAAAACAAACAAACAAACAAAAAACAGAAGAGAACTGTGTCATGCCTCTTCTGCACCCAGAGGGGCAGGTGCCAATGGATGGAGAATGCTCTTCCCTTCTCAAAGCTCCCCAAGAGGGGCAGGTGCCAGTGTATGGAGAATGCCCTCCCCTTCTCGAATCTCCCCAAGTCAATGTTCTCACTCAGACACCACTCCCTGGGAGCAACTTCCTATGCATCTCAGGGCCCCAGAGGCCAGTTTACTCTGTTGAGCCTTTGTGCAGGCTCTGAGTGACTCTCGTTCACCTCTTTGTGGCTGGGACTCATCTCCATGGTAGAGCCTGCTCCTGTCTCTTAAAGGGTGGGTGTGGGACAGGGTCAGGGAGTAACCCCAGGAGCAGGAAGGGCCGTGGACACTGTTTCTCATCAGATTTCACGTTTTTACCCATCTTCTGCCCACCTCTGAGGGATCCTTGCATGTGCATTAGGCTCTTCTCTCTCTCTACCTGACTAGCGTGCGTTCCCTGCCCCACGACACCTCCGCAGATTGGGAGGGTGTTTATGGGTCTCCATCTTGTGCTTGTGAACATGGAAAGGAGAGAGCCAGTGACCACCCCGCCAAGCAGCTTTTCCCAAAATCAGATCAGGGTCTTCTGGTTCTGGTTTTGGAGAGGAGCCCCGACGTCCAGCCAGTTACCCCAAGAGAGGATGCTCACTCTGTCCCTAGAGTGACAGTTGAGTAAGGTCCCAGAGGGCTGACCTCCACGCCTCTCTCTGCACAGCCTGGGAGTCATGGTTAGTGATGACCTGCAGAGATTCCTGCTGAGGCCACGGAGGCCCTGCCATGCGCTGAGCACTGGGGAAGCCCCCAGGCACCTACATGCCCCTAGACGGGAAGACCCTCCAGGCCCACAGTCTTCATGAGATGCCATTTTTTAATGGTGAGAATGAGTGTTGGCGAAAGTGCCCATCAACAGACACTGCCACGCTTCACGGGGAATAGCAAACCCGAAACAAACCTTTTGGGACGCAACTGGACTCTGTAGCTCAAAACACTTAAAAACCAGGTCCCAAAGGCACTTCCAGTGTTCTCCTTGACCCTCCCCTCTCATTTCAAACCTCATGTCCAACTCAAATCTCCTCTCAACACAACTCCAAATCCCTGGCTGCTCTCCTCAGCTTCATTCCTGCCCTGACCCCATTGTTTGCGTTTGGTTTTCTGTGCACCTGACATTAACCCTGAATTGTCTTTTTTTTTTTTTTGAGATGGAGTCTCACTCTGTTGCCCAGGCTGGAGTGCAGTGGCGCAATCTGGGCTCACTGCAACCTCCGCCTCCTGGGTTCAAGGGGTTCTTGTGCCTCAGCCTCCCGCATAGCTGGAATTACAGACACGTGCCACCATGCCTGGCTAATTTTTGTAGTTTTAGTAGAGATGGGGTTTCACCATGTTGGCCAGGCTGGTCTCGAACTCCTGATCTCGTGATCTACCCGCCTTGGCCTCCCAAAGTGCTGGGATTACAGGCATGAGCCACTGCTCCCAGCCTAACCCTCAATTCTTTTACAAAATTTTGGCTTGGATTCACCTCTCTGACTCTTCCCAGGACAGACGGACCCAGGTAGGATGCTCCCAATGGCCCCTCATGGCTGAGCACATGGCACCCGGGATGTGACTGCTACTGCCATGAGGGTATCAGCTATTCAGTAAATAAGAAAGTAGGCCAGGTGCGGCGGCTCACACCTGTAATCCCAGCACATTGGGAGGCCGAGGTGGGGGGATCACTTGTATTCAGGAGTTTGAGACCAACCTGGCCAACATGGAGAAACCCCATCTCTACTAAAAGTACAAAAATTAGCCAGGTGTAGTGGTGTACACCTGTACTCCCAGCTATTTGGGAGGCTGAGGCAGGATAATTGCTTGAACCTAGGAAGCGGAGGCTGCAGTGAGCTGAGATTGCACCACTGCACTCCTGCCTGGGCGTCAGAGCGAGACTCTGTCTCAAAAAAAGAAAGGGATGGAAGGAAAGGAAGGAAGGAAGGAAGGAAGGAAGGAAGGAAGGAAGGAAGGAAGGAAGGAAGGAAGGGCGGGCGGGTCTAGGTTGAGGACAATAGCTCACACCAGTAATCCCAGCACTTTGAGAGACTGAGGTGGGAGGATTGCTTGAGCCCAGAGGTTCGAGACCAGCCTGGGTAACATAGTGAGTCCCGGTCTGTACTAAAAATTTAAAAATTAGCCCAGCCCAATGTGGTGGTGTGCACCTATAGTCCCAGGTACTTGGGGGGCTGAAGCAGAGGGATCTCTGGAGTGTGGGAGGTTGAGGCTGCAATGAACTGTGATTGCACCACTGCACTCCTGCCTGGGTGATAAAGCAAGACCCTGTTGGAAAGGGAAGGGAAGGGGAGGGGAGAGGAGGGGAGGGGAGGGAGGGAGGGAGGGAGGAAGGGAGGAAGGAAGGAAGGAAGGAAGGAAAGGAGAAAATAAAAAGTAAAAAGTCAGGCCAGGCGTGGTGGCTCACGCCTGTAATCCCAGCACTCTGGGAGGCTGAGGCAGGTGATCACCTGAGGTCAGGAGTTCAAGACCAGTCTGGCCAACATGGCAAAACTCTGTCTACTAAAAATACAAAAAATTAGCCGGGCGTGGTGGCTTGGTGGCGGGTGCCTGTAAACTCAGCTACTTGGGAAGCAGGAGAATTGTTTGAACCCGGCAGATGGAGGTCGCAGTGAGCCAAGATCACACCATTGCCCTCCAGCCTGGGAGACAGAGCAAGACTCAGTCTCAAAAAAAAAAAAAAAAAAAAAAAAAAATCTGAGGGTTTGGGGTTTCAATCAGACTGGAGAGAAAATGACTCGGGCTGTGTCTAAGAAAAAGGCCAGTAACTTCATCAACTAGAGCTAAAAATATTAGGCATATATACAGGCAGCCCATAACCAACTTCCAGACAGGCTGCCCCTCAAGTCCACCCTTAATGTTTCTTTCCCCCTTTTTAACAATGTGACATCTACTACCAGTGTTAGGGGCTGCGTAGTGCATAAGTGCAACTTTCTCTGTCCACCCCTCACTAAGGGTGTCCACAGGGGTCTAAGTCCTGAGAGCATGCCTTCCAGAGCATCTGGCCTCCCTCTCCTCCCTCTCCTCCCTCTCTTCCTTCTAGGGCGCTACCATGTGGTGCAAGTTTCCAAGAACATGGCCCATGGCTAGGACCCCAGATTTCAAGTCCAGAGACCTGGGTTCTTTCTTTCCCGTCTGTGCGACCTTGAGTGAGTCATTTAACCTTTGTAGGCTACAGTTTCCTCATCTGTGACAGATACAAGAAGTCTTGCTCTTTCTCCCTTCCAGGTGGTAGGAATCAAACAAGACCACCAATGTGGGCGACTCCACACTCTTCAATGCCTGCCACAGTCTCCAGGTTTCCAGGCAGAGTCTCCCGGGCTCCAGCCTCTCCTCCCAACCCTGGATATGGGGACAAGGAGCAACCTGATCCCGGGCCTCAGATCAAGATAGAACTTCCCGCCATCCTGAGGAAGTGAGAGCCCCACTCACCACTCCAGACGCCCTTCCCCATGACTTCACTTGACATGCAGAGGAAATGACGGCTGGGCACAGTGGCTCACGCCTGTAATACCAGCACTTTTGGAGGCCAGAGCAGGAGGATCACTTGAGGCCGGGAGTTTGAGACCAGCCTGGGCGACATAGCAAGATCCTGTCTCAAAAAAAAATAAAAATTTGTTTTAAAAGAACTTTTAAAAAGAAGACAAAATGACTTAAAATGGATAACAAAAGCGACCTGAATCCGTGGGACCAAGACCATAAATATCAGGGAGAGCTGCAAGGGGCTGTGTGCAACTGCTTGCACCACAAGAAGCGGGAGAGACCGTCTAGACTTGCAGTGGCAGGTGAGCCCTGGAGGGCCCCCGAGATAGTGAGGTCCTCGGATGCAGGAAAGGGGCTTGTTCTTTGTATTCTCCAGAACTAGCAGAGTCCCAGGAACCTCCTAAACTGCTGAAGAAGAGGCGCAGGATAGAGCCTGAGAGGTGTGGGAGAGGAGGGATGCAGCGGAGGAAGTGGGCGGCCTTGTTTTCAGGCACCATCCTGCCTGTGTGCCCTGGGAAGGGAAGAAAGGGAGGAAGGAGGTTTCCAAAGCTGCTGTGGCCACCCACAGGCTGAGCCACCTCGCGTCCCTGCTTCCTAGCGAGATTCCTTGGGCCCCGCCAGTTACTCTAATGACTCTGATTTGCCCCACCATCACACTCCCGGTGATTCTGGGCACCGGTCTGGCGCCGGTGTATCCCCAGCACTGCCGCCGCCGTGAGCTGCATCCCCCTCCCAGGCCCCAAGAGCGCCTCTTGCCATCACTGTCTGCCCATTGGGTCTGCTCAGAGCTGTGCACCCACTGCTGGACCCCACCCCAGAACAGCCATCATTGCGGAGGCTTCTCTGGAGGGGCGGGAGAGGCCACAGACAAGCTGTCGGGCTGGGTATTATTGTCCAGACCTGAGAGGCCACTTATCTGAGCAGCCCACACAGGGAAATGAGATAGTCCAGCACTACTTTTCCCACTAATATTCTTATCTTGACTGGAAAGAATACTGTGTTTGTGTGTGAAGACGTGCGCATGTGATTTTGCAAACTCCTGTGTGTGTCTATTTGAGTGTTTTCATCCCATGACTTCTGACCACATGTCTATACATTGGGACCATTTTCTGTGAATCATGTCTGCCTGGGGCGTGCTGTATGAGAAGGAGACGGCAAGAAGGGAGACAAGAAGTGGAGGATGCTAAGGAGAAAGACAACAGTCAGAGGGAAAAAACATTTTAAAAATGGAAAACAACTAGTTTCGGTAAAAGGATGAAGCAATGGGTATTTTCATACACTGATTATGAGGGTGTGTATTGATACAGCCCTTATGGAGAGTAATCTCTAAATGCTAAAATGTTGAAATGTTAAATGTGTCTTCTCTTGATTGGAAGTGTACCTTCCATATCTTCCCAAGAGAAATGCTTGCATCTAGACACACAGAAATATGTACAAGAATGCTCATGCAGAATTCTCTGTAGTAGCAAAAATTATAAACAACCTAAATGTTAATTGACAAGGCAGTGGTTAAATATAGTATTTTGTTGTTGCTTTTATATCTTTCCTTTAGTTTTTTTCTTTGTTTCTTATATCTGATGTTTCCTTAGATAAATTATATTATAGCACAGTATAACAATGCTCTGGAATACTATGTACCAGTCAGAGAGAACAAGAAAAGTCTTTATACCAGAATGAAAAGATTCCCCAAATATGTAAGTTTTTAAAAATTGTAAAATGTGTATGGATTATACCATATAAGCAACAAAAAGGAAAAAGCACATATATATGTGTGTGTATGTGTGTATATATATCTCGAGAGAGAGAGAGAGAGCAGGAAGGAGTAAATGCTAAAATGACAGTGGTGGTCACCTCTAAAAGGAAGGACTAGAATTGAAGGTGGGAAAAGTATCTTTTGCTTTCTGTGCGTTATCTGAATTATTCTACAATGGAAGTAAGTTTCTGTAATACTTATGAAATTATAAACACTTTTTGATTTTTTAAAATCAGCAAGAGTAGAATCCAGTCACTGTAGATGCTACGATCTAAACAAAAGCCAAGAAAGAAAATAAATACCTTGTTTTCTGTGGCAACTGTGATGTAGCCTGATTCCTCTTCTCCAGGTGAGGTGGAGAGGGACACAGGAGCAGAGGCAGGTGGGAAGAAGGCAGCCGCAATGCCAGGACATCCTGGAAAAATAGCTACCACTGCAGAGAACTCGGGGTCGGGGGTGGCTGGAAGTGTTCCTCAGTGTTAAATTCAGAAAAGGGTTTAATTTGGGTCAACATTGTGTCTTTATCAATGGCGAAACTGAGGCCTGGACTGAGAAAAATGAGGTAGAGTATCACACCCAAAGTAAAAATTAATTTCTGCAAGTCTACAATTATTTCTCTTTCTCTCTGTGTAAGTGGAGGAGGAGAGGGAAATTCAATCTGTAGACACCAATGAGTGTTCATTCCTCCTCCCAAGGAGAAATTCTGGCAAAGTTCTTGAATGTGAGCCGACCCACAGATACTGACGGCCAGCACGATCCAAAATCTAACTCTATGAGGAGAGAGGGGAACCAGGAAGCCTAGAACCAGAAGCTGAAGACTAAAGCTCCCAGCGCCTACTGAACCACCCCATCCCAAATCTCCTTGTCAAGATGGCAACTTTATTCAGAAGGGGGCTTCCAAGGTTAAACAGAGCTATTGAAGAAGAAATCATCCCTCACGCCTCCACCACAGGCCCAAAGAAGAACTATAAGAGGATCCTTTGGAAAATGAGATTGAATTTTGCTCTTGTGGCTACAAGGAATAGAACCAGCATCAAGGGTACATAATGTAATAGTTCTTTCAACTAGTGTCTGTGAGTAGATAAACTCCATCTTTGTATGAACATGTTTTTGGTTTTTTGGGTTTATTTTCCCCCCGTTATTCTCGAGCAGTACCCAGTTTCGTTGGGTATAAAATTCCAGATCACCAGTCATTTTCCTTCAATGCTTATTCCATTGTATTCTGGTTTTTTATAACTGTTTAAAAGTCTATTGACCACCAAAATGCTGTGCCTTGGCCTGCTAATCCATTCTTTCTCTCTAGTTGCTTTAGAAATTTTCCCCCTATCTTTGGTATTCTACAATGCACATGGAAGTCAATTTTTTAAAACCTTTTTAGGACTTGTGTTTCCTGAATCTAAGGATATCTGTCCTTCATCAATTCTGAAAAGCTCTCAAGTATTATCGCTTCAAATATTGCCTTTCCCTAATTCTTTGCATTTCTCCCTTTTGCCTTAGTTTAAGTTCCTATGAAAGCAGAACCTGAAAGGAAGACTTGAGTTAATTTAAGAGGTGATCACGGTGAACAGAAGTGATGGAATCAGAAGAATAAAACAGAAAATCCAATAAAGTTGGATTATGAGCTGGCTACCACTGAGATTCACTGGGGTTCAGTCCTGCTGAGGATTCTTTGAGTAAATTAATAGAAAATGCCTTATATTGTCTCACCAAAGGACAATTGAGTTGATACACTTATCTACTTCTTCTCATCCCTCATTAGTTGAGGGCTGCTGCCAGCTGTGTCAACACCTTCAAAAGTCTGAACTATTTGTGCATAAGCTAAATGGGCTTTTGCAGTGTTGGGAAAAGCCCAGAGTCAGAAGAACAGAAAGACACTGTGGTCTGCAGTTGAGAAGGGATGCCGGCATTGCCCATGAAATGTACATGAAATGTTGGCATTGAACTGTGGCTGCACAAAATCAGGTGGGTCAAGCGAATTAACACAATGCATTACCAGCATCATCTTCAAATTTATAGTGAAATTTCTCATTTGATCTTTCATATCTCTTGGCTTCATTTCTATATTTTTCATTGCTTTTTAGCTCTGAGCCTCATATGTGGCAGTTTCCTCAGATCTCTATTCTCATTTGTTGATTTTCTATTTAGCCGTGTGTAAATAGCTCATCTTTCTCATAATAGCATTTTCTTATAGTTTCAGCTCTCATATGTTTATTTGCTTGCTTTCACATTGTACCATTATCTCAGTATCTTTGGCAGTAATCCTGCTATTCATTGTGCCTACTGGCTATCATGGCAGGATATTTTTCTATGTGTTTTGTGATGTATTTTCAGTGTGGATTTATTGAACTTTAATTTACTGAACTTTAATTTATTGAACTTTAATTTATTAATTTATTGAACTCTAATTTACTGAACTTATTTTCAGTGAGGATTTACCACCGCACTCCTTGCCATTCTATTGTAGAAATTTATTGAACTATTAATTTATTGAACTTTAATTTACTGAAGTTATTTTCAGTGAGGATTTACGAATTCACTTATTCACTTATTTCAGTGAGGATTTACCACCCCACTCCCTGCCATTCTATTGTAGAAATTCTACACACTGGGAAGAGAATCATGTACTTTACTATTTGATTCTTCCAGATGCTCCACGAAGGATATCATAAACTTGGGATCATTTTTGTCTATTGTGATAAAATACACATAGCATAAATTGACCATTTTAAACACTTTTAAGTGTACAGTTCAGTGGCATCAAGTATATTTGCATTGTTGGACAACCATCACCACCATCCATTTCCACAACTTTTCCATCATCCCAAACTGAAACTCTGTGCCCATGAAACACTAACTCCCCATTCCACTCTTTCCCAGCCCTGATAACCACAATTCTACCTTCTGTCTCTATTAATTTGACTATTTTAGGTACCTCATGTAAGTAGAATTATACAGTATTTGTCCTTCTGCATCTGGCTTCTTTCATTTGGCACAATGTCCTCAAGGTTCATCCATGTTATGGTATGTATCAGAATTTCCTTTCTTTTTTAAGGCAGAATAATATTCCATTGTATGTATATTCCACGTTTAGTCTGTCCATTCATCCATGGATGGATATTTGAGTTGTTTGGACCAATGTTTAAGTGAATTTCTCAGCTTAGGTTTCGGTTTATTACATGAGAGATATTTTTTCCCCACCGAGAGCCTAAGCAACTGAAGTCTCCCTCACCAGCAGGTAGGATTTGTCTGGTCCCCCATTCACTGAGCAGGCAGCTTTTCAAGGGTCCTGACTTTTGCACAAATCTCAGATCCAGCTCCCCTTTCTAAGGCCTCATCACCTGTCCCCATGAGCGTGCATCAGAATGTGCCCCACCCAGGCTCCAGCTCCCGCACATCAGCTCTCACACTTGCCACTCTACCTTTCTTTTTGTTTCTTGTGTTTTTTTTGTTTGTTTGTTTTTTGAGACGGAGTCTCACTCTGTCGCCCAGGCTGGAGTGCAGTGGCATGATCTCCGCTCACTGCAAGCTCCACCTCCTGGGTTCACACCATTCTCCTGCCTCAGCCTCTCCCAGTAGCTAGGATTAGAGGCGCATGCCACCACGCCCGGCTAATTTTTTGTATTTTTAGTAGAGACAGGGTTGCACCATGGTCTCGATCTCCTGACCTCGTGATCTGCCTGCCTCGGCCTCCCAAAGTGCTGTGATTACAAGCGTGAGCCACCACGCCCCACCGACACTCTACCTTTCCATGTCCTCTTCATCTCTGGCGCCTGGGACTCCCCTTTCTTGATTTGAAGAAATGGTTTTCAATCTTGGCTTATATTTACATTCAACTGGGGACATTTTTTAAAATCCCAAGACACAACCCAGACCGATTACATTCAAACCTCTGGCATAAAAAGTGAGGTTTTAAAAATATATTATACAAATAATCATACAATAGGTACCTGGATATGTAAAAACTCATAAAGGTATAACTTGAGTTATCAAAATATCATGAGCCCTGCTCTAGTACTGCTGCCTGTGTTAGGTGCTTCTGGACTCTGGTTCTAACAGTGGGAGGTTGTGTTTGTGATCATTCTAGGCACAACTTTAATCTGGAAATAAAATAGTCATTTTGGCTTTCTCTTTCAGCCTCCTACCTGAGAGTTTCCCAATTCTAAGAACATTCTGATGTTCTATGCCACATCTTCCTATGGGGTATGAACAATTTTTCAATAATAGCAAATAAATGAGTCTTCTCAGTGTATCTTCATCTTGTCACTACTGTTGAAGAGCGTGATTCTCCTCTAGCCTATACATGAGCTTCGACTGCTGTTCAGTTACTCCAGTAAACTCCAGGATACTTATTAATGATGGTAACAGCAGCCAACAAGTATTAAGAACTTTTGCTATTAAACTGCCCTGCTACCATTGGGACCAAGAATCTGGACCACAAATTTTCCATTTTTGTTTTTTATTTTCCTTCCATAAATGTAAGTATACAATATATAATGAATATAAAGTATATACTATATAATAAATATATAGTATAATATATACTGTATATTATTACTATTAATATAAACTATATGTTTATTATGAACGATTTTAAACTTAGAGATAAGCACAGAAAAACAGACCTCAGTAGGACCACCTGAAAGATTTAATAGATGTCAATACTTTAGCACACTGGTATCGGATCTTTTGAAAGAGAAACCAAATTGTGGCCAGGCATGGTGTCTCACGCCTGTAATCCCAGCATTTTGGGAAGCCAAGGTGGGAGGATTGCTTGAGACCAGGACTACCCTGGGCAACATAGTGAGACTCCCATCTCTACAAATAAGTAAGTGAAAAAAGAAATGGTTAAAGATAAAACTAAAACCCTTACCACTCCTTCACCCCTACCGAACCCAAGGGTAACTACTATCTTGAAGTTATGTTTACCATTTCCAAGCGTATTTTTCCTCTTTCTACGTGTGCATATATTCATAAATAGCCTATGATGCATGTAAATTTTCTACACAAATTCGATTGTGTTGGAATGACGGGGAGTGACCGAATGGCTGCCTGCTCACGTGCAGCCCCTGCTTGCTCCAGTAGATGTCACTCGGGTCCCAGTCGGCGAGGGCACAGCTGTTCTGTTCTCAGCAGCGAGTTTGGGATTCCCTCTGTGGTAGTGCTGACTTGCTTTGCAGTCTGAGACTGTTCACCTGCAAAATGCAGTAGCTTTATTTTTCAAAACGTAAAGTAACATCGGAAACAATGACACCTCGAATGATTTCAGTTGTGACTGGGTGCGGTGGCTCACGCCTGTAATCCCAGCACTTTGGGAGGATGAGGCAGGTGGATCACTTGAGGCCAAGAGTTCGAGATCAGCCTGGGCAACATAGCAAGACCCGCATCTCCAGCAAAAATACAAAAATTAGCCAGTCTCATAACCCGGTCTCAAAATACATAAATAAAAATTTAAAAATAAAATTTAAAAAATTAACAAAAAGAATGATTTCTTTACCAGAGAGAAAGCTCAAGAGAATGCAAGCACAGGGCAGAGGACGAAGAGCTGCGTTCATGTCCCTCTTGCTCAGCCGAGCAGCAGACAGGGCTTGGGCTGGCCAGGCCCCCTCCGCCTCAGTGCCCTCCTCTGAGAATGGAAGAGTTGGACTGATTCAGGGGTGGCAAATCATCCCATGTCACATGCCACCTCTTGTCCATTGACAGTGGCTCCCTGGAGGCTGTTCTGGGCAGAGAAAGAAAAGGTTCAGTCCTGGACCAGCAATAGAGGGGCATGAGAGGGACAGGGCAGCATGCATGCTGCTGACCCAGGAGGCCACCTGAGGCCCTCCCAGCATAAAACCCACCTCCTGCCCTCCCCTGTGTGCTGGGGAGCAGCCCAGAGATGCAGACACACGGCCAGGACCATGCTCCCATCTGGGTTGCACACAGGTGTCATTATTTTGGAAGTGGTGTGGCTTACTTTCAGGCCCAGGAAGGCTTAGGAAGCTTGACCTCACAGGTGACAGACTCAGGACCAGGGAGCGCAGAGCCTGAGAAATATCCCCAGGTGCTGTGTGTGCTGTGATCAAGCTCTGGTCTTTCCCACCTGAAACCGCCAGCAGATTAACCCTGGCCCCCAGGTCCACGGCAGAGCCTGAACACACATCCACAACTTCCCCACTCACTCAAACTTGCCAACAGATCCAGCAAATTTGGTGAAACAAAAACAAGTCCAGAGAAGTAAGTGCTGCCAGTTTGATATGGTTCCAGGATGCAGTCATGGCCGGTGTCTTCCTTGGGACATCTGTTGGTCCTAGTGACTGGCCTGGAGGCAGGGGCATGGACAAACTGGTCCCTAGGGCACACTCCAGAGGGCTGAGAGCCCCACTGGCTGAGCCAAAGGCACCAGCAGCCTCCCTGCCTGCTCCTCCTCCTGGCCCCTCCCTGACCTGCCCTCTTGCTGGCCTCAGGGCCCCAGGGGAGGCCTAAAGAGGCCGTGGGAGTTTGGCTACCATTATCCGGCCCTTATCACCACTAACGTTCAAGCTGACACTGAGCCCACTTAGTTCAATGACAAGGAGCTGACCTGGGGGTCACGCCTGTCTCCAGAGAGCCGGTGCTATCTCGGTGACCTGCGGAAACCTTGGCATGAGCTCATGTTTTCTGACGACAGAGGACCCCAGCCATATCACAGGCCCGCGCCCCCACCCTCCGCATCTGGCATGAGCCGGGTGAAGGCTTTACCATTACTTACTGAAATAGCAACACTGATAACCACAGCAGACACAAAGCTCATTGATGAATTTCCATTCAGAAAAGCACCTACTCCGGCCCTGCCCACTGCCTGCCTGTGTCCAACGCGGTGGACAGCCAGGCACAGGCAGAGCCCTTCTTGGACACAGCCCCAAAACATCACCACCCCCAACCCAGCCCCCGTTGTTCGGGAACAGGCCTCAAAATCTGGCCATAAACTGCCCCAAGACTGGCCAAAAACAAAATCTCTGCAGCACTGTGACATGTTCGTGATGGCCGTCACACCCATGCTGGAAGGTTGTGGGTTTACCAGAATGAGGGCAAGGAACACCTGGCCCACCCAGGGTGGAAAACTGCTTAAAGGCGTTCTTAAACCACAAACAATAGCATAAGGGATCTGTGCCTTAAGGACATGTTCGTGCTACAGATAACGAGCCAGACCCATCGCTTTACTTTTGCCCATCCCTTTATTTTCCATAAGGAATACTTTTAGTTAATGTATAATCTATAGAAACAATGCTTATCACTGGCTTGCTGTCAATAAATACATGGGTAAATCTCTGTTCCAGGCTTTCAGCTCTGAAGGCTGTGAGACCCCTGATATCCCACTCCACACTATATTTCTGTGTGTGTGTCTTTAATTCCTCTAGTGCCACTGGGTTAGGGTCTCCACGACTGAGCTGTTTTCAGCACCCCGTGAAGATACGATGTGTCCATATGCCGTTAGAGGAATATGTATCCCGAGAATTCATGCTACAGCGCACTTTCTCCTCACTTGGGAAAATGCCTTCAGGATAGAAACCTTGTTTGATATATTTGTATGTTCCGAAATTGTCCCCCGCCTCACCAGCACAGGCTGTTCAACATAAACGGGCTGGGTTGAATTGAATCGGGCAGTGTTGACAGAACACAGGACCAGGAAGCAGGTCACCCAAGCTGCTGGCCCTGCCATGGCTCCTGGTGGACGTGAGGGAGGTGAGTTTCCTGTCTATGCTCCAGGTGGAGTTACATTATATGGTCTTAAGATCTGTCTATTAAGAAGAGCACTTAGTGCATTTACATTTAATGTCATTACTGACATATTTGAGTTAAATCTACCACTTCTTTTGTAATTTTCTTTTTTTAATTTAATTACTTATTTATTTATTTATTTTTGAGATGGAGTCTCACTCTGTCGCCAGGCTGGAGTGCAGTGGTGCGATCTCTCCTCTGCCTCCCAGGTTCAAGCGATTCTCCTGCCTAAGCCTCCCAAGTAGCTTGTACTAGAGGTGTGTGCCACCATGCCCATCTTATATTTGTGTTTTTAGTAGAGACAGAGTTTCACCATGTTGGCCAGGATGGTCTCAATCTCTTGACTTCGTGATCCCCTAGCCTCAGCCTCCCAAAGTGCTGGGATTACAGGCATGAGCCACTGCGCCCACCTCTTTTGTGATTTTCTGTTTGTCCTGACTGTTCTATGTTTGTTTCTCTGTCTCTTCTTACCATCACTTTTTTTATTTTTTATTTATTTATTTTTTTGAGACAGGATCTCGCTCTGTTGCCTAAGGCTGTAGTGCAGTGGCATGATCTCAGCTCACTATGGCCTCAACCTCCTGTGTTTAAGCAATTCTCCTGCCTCAGCCTCCTGCATAGCTAGAATTACAGGTGGAAGCCACTACACCCAGCCAATTTTAAAATTTTTTGTTGAGACGGTTTCACCATGTTGACCAGGCTGATCTCAAACTCCTGGGCTCAAGCAATCCACCTGCCTCAGCCTCCCAAATTGCTGGGATTACAGGCATGAGCCACCACACCTGGCTCTTCATCACTTTATTTAATTTTATCATTCCATTCTTTCCCTCTACTAATTTGAAAAGTATATGCGCTATTTTATCATGATTACCCTAGCAATTAAACATACAGAGTTAACTTCTCATCAAAGTGTAAAATTGAGTGCTATTGACTGCGAGTGGTGGCGCTTGCGTGTAATCCCAACATATTGGGAGGCCAAGGTGGGAGGATCATTCTATCTCAGGAGATCAAGACCAGCCTGGGCAACATAGCAAGACCTCATCTCTGCTCAAAATAAAAAGTTAAATAAATAAATAAATAAAAATTAAAAATGAGTAGGGTGTGGTGGTAGTGCACATGTGTGGTCCCAGCTACTATGGAGGCTGAGGCAGAAAAATCACTTGAGCATGAAAGGTTGAAGCCATAGTGAGCTGTGATCATACCACTGCACTATAGCCTTAGGCAACAGAGCGAGATCCTGTCTCAAAAAAAATAAATAAATAAAAAATTAAAAAAGTGATGGTAAGAAGGAGAGAAAAACAAACATAGAACAGTCAGGACAAATAGAAAATTACAAAAGAGGCAGGCACAATGGCTCACACCCGTAATCCCAGCACTTTGGGAGGCTGAGGCAAGTGGATCACGAAGTCAAGAGATGGAGGCCATCCTGGCCAACATGGTGAAACTCTGTCTCTACTAAAAATACAAATATAAGATGGGCATGGTGGTACACACCTGTAGTCCCAGGTACTTGGGAGGCTGAGGAAGGAGAACCGCTGGAACCCAGGAGGTGGAGGCTACAGTGAACCAAGATCGTGCCATTTGACTCCAGCCTGGGTGACAGAGCAAGACTGCATCTCAAAAAAAAAAAAAAAAGAAAGAAAGAAAGAAAGAAAGAAAGAAAGAAAGAAAGAAAGAAAGAAAGAAAGAAAGAAAGAATTTGATTACCTTCCGAATTCTATTATAACCTTTTTTGTCTGGCTACTTTAAGATTTTTTTCTTTGACTTTGGTTTTCTTCAGTTTTATTAAGATGTGTGGAAGTATGTTTTATTTATTCAGGTAGCGATTTATTCTATTAGATTTGATTTGTGGATTTGAGCGTTTTATCAATTCTAGAAAATAATTAACTATTATCACTTCAAGTATTGCCTCTATTCTATTCTCTTTTCTGGGATTCAACTAAACTTATTCTGTCTTCTATATATCTTATCCTTTCTTCTCTGTTTTCCATTATCTCATTTCTTCATGTCACATTCTGCTTAATTTCTTCTGGATAATTTCCTACTCACTAATTCTCTCTTTAATTGCTTCCAATCTGCTGTTACGCCCATTCATTACTGAACTTTTAATTTTCAGTTATTGTATTTTTCATTTGTACAAGTTCTTTTTGCTTCCTTTTAAAATCTGCTGTGTTTCAAAGTCATTGAAAGAGAAGGAAAAAAAATCTGCTATATTGCTCTTGAAAGTTTCCTGCAGATATTTCCTAGCTTCTTCTATATTTCCTTAAGCATGCTAATTATATTTTTGGTGGGTTTTATTTTTTTGTGTGTCAGTGGGAGAGTCCCTCTCTGACTATTCCAGCAGTCAAAGCATTTGTAGGTCTGATTCTCTTGCCTGTTCTTTCTCCTGGTTCTCCTCACAGTACCTTATTTTCTTCTGGTGTCAGGTTACCTTTCATTGTGTGCTGCTCATTGCACTAAAAATATATTTATAGTAATCATTTCAGGTCCAGGATGACACTACCTTGCTCCAAAAACGATTTTGCTTGCCTCTGCAGGGTGCCTAGAGGCTCCCATTAATATTGGTAATATCACCCTCTCACCTTCCAGATTTTAGGAACAATATCACAGAAGGGGTGTACACTGCCTGCGATACTGGGAGTAATAGCATTCTCTTCTTCCATGAATATGAGGAGCAATATCACCGGGTGGATGTACACCCACTGCTATACTGGGAGTAACGTCATACTCCACCCCCTGGAGATTATATTCGGATAAATATCACCGGGTGGGTGTACACCTACTGTGATATTGAACGGAATATCATGCTCTCTCCCTCCCTGGACATTAGGAACAATATCACAGGTGGGTGTACACCCACTGAGGTATTAGGCGTAATATTAGTATTCATTATTACTCATTTATTATTCATATGAATATGAATTACCAATATTAATATTTAGAAATAATTGCTACTAAAAAGTTTTCAGGTTACTAATATTAATATTATTAGGAGCTAATATTACTGTATTCTAATGAATAAGATCAGTATCAGTTATTAATATGGGGTGTTATTAATCAATATCAATCATTTATTGTTATTGTTAGTATAACTATTTAATATTCATTATCATTATTATTGGCATTGATTTTAAAATTATATTATCAGTTATTAATACTGATAATTATAATTAATACCAATAAATACTAATAATTATTAGTAGTAATTAACAATTGATACTATTAATTGATATTAATTCATAATTGATATTAATTCCGATAAGTAATATTGCGCCATTCCACACAGTATCGCAGAAAACGTACACGCCCCCCGTGATGTTGTTCCTAACAGCCAGAGGTAGACGATGCCATTACGCCAAATAACGCACCGGGTGGGCATCCCTTCTGTGATCTTGTAGCTAATATCCGGGCGCGGAGAGGACGGTATTAATCCCAATAATCCAGAACGTGTAGACCTCCCCTGTGTTATTGTCCCTAATATCCGAAGGTGGAGAGGAAGATATACCTCCCAATTTCTCAGGGGTTGTACACCAACCCTGTGACATTGCTCCTAATGTCCAGGGGTAGAGAAAATGACATGACTCACAATATGGCAGGGGGTGAACACCCCCTTCATGATATTGTTCCTAATATTCAGGGGGGAAGAGTATGATATTCCTCCCAATATCACAGGGGGTGTACTCCCCATATCCCAGAGGGTGGATAGTATCCCGATTTGTGATGGACTCCTCCACGATGCGGGGAGTAATGTCATCCCCCTCTCCTTCCCTTGCTATTACGATATACATCGCAGCGGGGCGGGCAACCCCCACGATGCGGGGAGAAATATGACCCCCCCCACCACTGATATGACGAGCCACATCGCAGGGGGGTGGACACTCCCAGTGATGCGGGGAGTCATATCTATCCCCTTTCCCCATGGATATTAGGAGCCACATCGCAGGGGCGTGGACACTCTCCGCTGATGCGCAGAGTAATTTCAATCCCCGTCCCTCCCTTCATGTTACCAGCCACTGTGGACACACAGTGTATTTACCATATTTCCAGTAAGATCATCTTTTCCATTGAACCTTATGAACAAGATCACAGAGGGGTGTACACCTCCTGCGATATTGGGGGTAATATCATTCTCTCCTCCACTGCATACTGGGAACAATATCACCGGTGCTTGTATTCCCCCTTCCATCTTGGGAGTCATATCATACTTGTCTTCCATATATTAAGAACAATAGCAAAGGGGGGGTGGACACTTTGACGATATTGGGAGTAACACCATTCTCTCTACCCCTGGATATTAGTAGCAATATCACAGGGGGATGTGCATTTCTTGTGATATTGAGAGCAGTATTATTGTCTTCCCCGCTGGATATTAAAAACAATACCACAAGGGGCGTCAAACCACCTGCCAAATTTGAGCGAGTGTTATCCTCTCCGCCCCCCTCCGCCCCCGGATATGAGAGACAATAACACAGGGGTAATGTACACCCACAGCTTTATTAGGAGAAGTGTCATCCTCTCCTCTCTTGGATATTAGGAACAATATCACAGCGGGGGGTGTACTGCCTCTGCGATATTGGGAGTAAAATTATCCTCTCTTCCCCTGGATGTGAGGAAGTGTATCAGAGGGGGAGGGTTAACATTCCCTGCGATATTCAATGTAATCTTATGCTCTCCCTCCCAGGGTATTAAGAACAATATTACAGGAGGGGTGTACACCCTCTGTGATATTGAGAGTCATATCATCCTCTTTTGCTCTGGACATTAGGAACAATATCACAGGGCTGTGTACACCCCCTGCGATATTGGGAGTAATATCATCCTGTCGACCTGAGGAGAGAAGCCATTTCTCTGCTGTCTCCTGTCTCTGAAGAGAAGGAGGAAGTAAAAGTTGAAAAACAACAGGAATGAAGTCGGTGGCAAGACCAGCCGGTGGCACTGATGAGCCGGCCTGAGGTGAAAAGATTAACCACCCCCACTCTAAGCGCATGTGCTCTCAATCCATCACGATTCTTTCACGTGGAACCCCTTAGCGTTGTAAGCCCTTAAACGGGCCAGGAACTCTGTCTTCCTTTGGGGGTCGGGCTCTTAAGACAAGAGTCTGCCGACACTCCCGGCTGAATAAAAAAATCTCTTCCTTCTTCAATCCACTGTTTGAGGGGCTTAAAATCTCTTCCTTCTTCAATCCACTGTCTGAGGGGCTTATTCTGCAGCTCCTCCTGCTCCATTTCTTGGTTCACGTGACTGGGAATCCAACCCAGGCAGCGGCACTGAGAGCGGCAAAGCCTAACCACTAGACTACCAGGGGGACCTAGAACCTTGTGGGAAATAGATTGCTCACAATTAGAAGTGGGTTGGCCATACGAAGGAAGCCTGGACATGTCCCTTGTTTTTAAGGTGTGGCACGAGGTAACTGGTAAAGGATACCTAGACCAGTTTGCATACATAGACACTTGGTGACAGCTGGTGCTAGACCCCCCACAGTGGCTAAGAGGGCAGGCAGCAGCAATACTAGTACCAAAGGGACAGATGGCTAAGGAAGGATCCTGCTCCACCCACCCAGAGAAATCAGCTGCTGAAGTTCTGCTCCAGCCAGCATCAGAAGATCCATTGCAGGAGATGGCACCAGAGATCCCAGTGGTGCCCTCCCCTTACCGGGAAAAGAGGCTCCCCACTCTTGAGCCATCAGTGCTTGCGCCTCTGTAAGACAAGCATATCCCCAGGCCACCCAGAGTAGACAAGAGAGGAGGCGAGGACTCAGGAGAAACCCCTCCCTTGGCAGCTCATTTAAGACCCAAAATGGGGATCCAAATGCCCCTGAGAGAGCAGTGGTATACAGGGATAGATGAGGATGGTCATCTGGTGGGGAGGTGTGTTTTTGGGTACCAGCCCTTCACCTCTGCCCACCTTCTCAACTGGAAAAATAATACCCCGCCCTATACTGAAAAGCCACAAGCTCTAATTGATTTACTCCAAACTAATATCCGGACCCACAACCCCACCTGGGCTGATTGCCACCAGTTGCTCATGTTCCTCTTTAACAGAGATGAAAGGTGGAGAGTGCTCCAAGCAGCAACTAAGTGGCTAGAGGAACACGCACCAGCTGATTATCAAAACCCCCAAGAGTATGGAAGGACCCAGTTACCAGGAACTGACCCCCAGGGGGACCCACATGAAAGAGAGGATATGCAAAGGCTAAACCAAGACAGAGAAGCTCTCTTGGAAGGATTACAGAGGGGAGCTCAGAAGGCCACAAACGTTAACAAGCTCTCTGAGGTCATTCAGGGAAAAGAAGAAAGTCCAGCACAATTCTATGAGAGACTGTGTGAGGCCTATGGTATGTGTACTCCCTTTGATCCCAATAGCCCTGAAAATCAGCGCATGATTAGCATGGCTTTAGTCAGTCAAAGCGCAGAAGACATTAGAAGAAAACTGCAGAAACAGGCTGGGCTTGCAGGGATGAATACATCGCAATGATTAGAAATAGCTAACCAGGTGTTTGTAAACAGGGAAGCAGTAAGCCGTAAGGAAAACAGCAAAGAGAATGAACGTCAGGCCTGGATAAATGCCAACCTGTTTGTTAGCTGCAGTAATCAGAGGGGTCACCACAAAGGGCAAGGGAAGGGGGGCCCCGGGAAAGAAACTCAGCTTGGCTGTCAGAGTTTGCAACGTAACCAGTGTGCTGATTGTAAAGAAATAGGACAGTGGAAGAACAAATGCCCTCAGCTAAAAAGAAAACCAGGTGACTCAGAGCAGGAGGCCCTGGACAAGGAGGAAGGGGCCCTGGTCAACCTGGCAGAAGTGTTTCTGGACTGAGGGAAACCGGGCTCAAGTGTCCCCAAAAAGCCTCTGGTCAGAATGACAGTCGGGGGTAGAGACATTGATTTTCTTGTAGATACCGGTGCTGAACATTCGGTAGTAACTACCCCGGTCGCCCCCTTATCCAAAAAGGCTATTGACATCATCGGAGCCACGGGGGTTTCAGCAAAGCAAGCTTTCTGCTTGCCTCGGACTTGTGCTGTAGGAGGACATAATGTGATTCAGCAGTTTTTGTCCACGCCTGACTGTCCCTTGCGCTGGTTGGGAAGAGACTTGCTTAGCAAGCTGAGAGCCACTATCTATTTTACAGATCACGGCTCTTTGCTGCTAAAGTTACCTGGAATGGGAGCCATTATGACCCTTACGGTCCCCTGAGAGGAGGAATGGAGACTTTTCTTAACTGAGCCGTGCCAAGAGTGAAGACCAGCTCTGGCTAAGTGGTGGCCAAGAGTACGGGTGGGACACAACCCTCCAGGGTTGGCAGTCACCCCAGCCCACATATTCATAGAAGTGAATCCTGGGGCCCAGCCGGTTATGCAAAAACAGGACCGGGTCCCCAGAGAAGCCCTTCAAGGTATCCAGGTCCATCTCAAGCACCTAAGAACTTTTGGAATTAGAGTTCCTTGTCAGTCTCCATGGAACACTCCCCAGGTATCAGTGCTCCCTCAAGCACCTGATCTTGTACTTCTTCTAAAGAAGAAGAGGACTTTCTCCAGGTAGAGGGAAGGACAAGTGATGGAGGAAGGATGGATTTGGTTACCAGACGGGAGAGTAGCTGTGCCACAGCTGCTAGGAGCTGCAGTTGTACTGGCTGTGCAAGAAACCACCCATCGAGGTCAGGAGTTACTGGAAAAGTTGTTAGGCCGGTATTTCTACATCTCGCCTTTGTCAGCCCTTGCCAAAATGGTGAGGCAGCGGTGTGTTACCTGCCGACAGCATGATGCGAGGCAAGGTCCAGCCGTTCCGCCCAGCATACGAGCTTATGGAGCAGCCCCCTTTGAAGGTCTCCAGGTGGACTTCACAGAGATGCCAAAGTGTGGAGGTAACAAGTATTTACGAGTTCTTGGGCGTACCTACTCTGGGTGGGTGGAGGTCTATCCAACATGAACTGAGAAAGCTAGTGAAGTAACCCCTGTGCTTCTTCGAGATGTGATTCCTAGATTTTGACTGCCGTTACGGATCGGCTCAGATAACGGGCCTGCGTTTTTGGCTGCCTTGGTACAGAAGACGGCAAAGGTATTGGGGATCACATGGAATTTGCATGACGCCTCCCGGCCTCAGAGTTCCAGAAAGGTGGAGCGGATGAATCGGACGATCAAAAATAGTGCTATTGTCTTCCCCAGTGGATATTTGAAACAACACCACAAGGGGCGTCAAACCACCTGCTAAATTTGAGGGAATGTTATCCTCTCCCCACATCCCCCGGCCCCGGATATTAGAGACAATAACACAGGGGTGATGTACACCCACTGCTTTATTGGCAGTAATATCATCCTCTCCCTTCTTGGATATTAGGAACAATATCACACTGTGCGTGTAGGCGTGTCGCGAAATTCAATGGAATGTCATCCTGGCCTCCCTGGATATGACGAACAATATCACGGGGGATGTACAATTTCTGAGATATTGGGAGTGATATCATCCTCTCCCCTCTGGAAGTTAGGGACAATATCACAGGGGTAGTGTACACCCTCTGGGATGTTGGGACTAATATCATCCTCCTGCCCACTGGATATTAAAAACCATATCACAAGGGGCGTGTACACACACTTCGATATTGGTATGAATACCATCCTCTCCCTCTTTGGATATTCGGTGCCATATTTCAGGTGGGGTATACACCACCTGATTTTGGTGTATACACCAATACACCACCAATATTGGAAGTAATATGATTTTCTCCCTGTTGGATATCAGAAACAATATCACAGGGGGTTGTGAACAACCCCTGCGATATTTGGAGTAATATCATCATCTCCCTTCATGATTATTAAGAACAATATCGTAGGCGTGGGGGGTGTACACCCCCTTTCATACTGGATATCGTCCTCTTCCCCCCTGGATATTAGGAACAATATCAGGAAGGGATGTACAGACCTGGCGACCTTTGCTGTCATAGAATTGTCTCTCCCCTAGATATTAGGAAAAATGTCACTGGGGATGTGAACAGCCCTGTGATATTGAGAGTAGTATCATCCTCTCCTCCCTTGCATATTGGGAACAACATCACAGGTGGGGTGTACTGCATCTGTGATATTGGGAGTAAAATTTTCCTCTCTTCCCCTGGACATTAGGAAGGGTATCAGAGGGGGAGGGTGTACATTCCCTGTGATATTCAGCGTAACCATGTCCTCTCCCTCCCAGGGTATTCAGAACAATATTACAGGAGGGGTGTACACCCTCTGCGATATTGAGAGTCATATCATCCTCTTTCGCTCTGGATGTTAGGAACAATATCACAGGGTTGTGTACACCCCCTGTGATATTGGGAGTCATATCATCCTCTCTCCCTGTGGATATTAGGAAGAGTATCACAGGGCTGTGGAAACCCCCTGCGGTACTGGGAGTAATATCATCCTCTCTCCTTCTGAATATAGGAAGATTTTCACAGGGGTGTGTACACCCTCTGCGATATTGGGAGTAAGATCATCCTCTCCACCCAGGAAATGACTAACAAGGTCATGGGGGTGTGTACTCCCCCTGCGATATTGGGAGTAATGTCGTCTTCCCCAAACCTGGATGTTAGCAACGAGATCACAGAGGGGCTGTACACACCCTGCGACATTGGAAGTAATATGATCCTCTCCCCACCTGGATACAGGGAAAGATACCACAGCGCGGTGATACGTTTCCTACGCTGTTGGGAGTAATATCATTCTTTTCCTTTCTGGATATTAGGAAGAATATCACAGGGGTGCTGTACAATTACTTCGATATTGGGAGTAATATCATCCTCTATTTTCCTGGATATTGGGCACGAAAACACAAAAGGGTGTACAACCCCTGCGATATTGGGAGTAATAGCACACTCTCCTTCCCTGGATGTTAGAAAACAATATCATCAGGGCTGAACACCCGCCGCGATAATGGGAGTCATATTTACTCTTTCACAGGCCATTTGGAACCATATCACAGGGGGTGTTTACAAACAGGGGTGGTGTACACCCCCTGTGATATTGGGAGTAACATCATTCTCTCCACCTCCGGATATTAAGAACAATATCCCGGCGGGAGGTGCTACACCGCCAGTGATATTGCGAATAATGTCATCCTCTCCTTCCCTGGATATTAGGAGCAATATCACAGGGGGGATGTACACCTTCTGTGATATTGGAAGCAATATCATCCTCTCCCCCGCTGGATATTAGAAAAGAATATCACTCACTGTGTACACCCACTGTGATATTAGGAAGAATATTGCAGGGTGTACACCCACTCTGACTTTAAGAGAAATAGTTCCCTCAAATGTCCCAAACAATATCACAGGTTATACAAGGATATTTCCCTAGGATATTACAAATACTATCACAGGGTGTACATGCACTGTAATATGAGGAATCGTATCTCCCTAGGTGATATTAGGAGTAATATCTACCTAGTAGATAACAAATAACATGGCAGGGTGTACACCCACTTTGATATTGGCTGTAATATTTTTCTAAGTTGTTACAAATAAGATCACCGGGGGTACCAACATGGTGTACACTCACTGTGATATCAGGAGTCGTATCTCTGTAATATATTATGAATAATATCACAGGGTGTACACCCACTGTATTATTAGGAGTAAGATCTCTGTAGGATATTACAATTAAGATCACAGGGTGTAGAGCCACAGTGATATTAGGAGAAATATCTTTCTAGGATATTACAAATAATATCACAGGGTGTACGCCCACTCTACTGTCAGGAGCAATATCTCCCTAAGATATCAAAAATCCTATCACAGGGTGTCCAATCTCTGCCTTCCAGGTTCTAAGGGATTCTCCTGCTTCAGCCTCCCGAGTAGCTAGGGTTAACGCCACCATGCCTGGCTAATTTTTTTTTTTTATTTTCACTGGAGACGGGGTTTCACCACGTTGGCCAGGCTGGTCTGGAACTCCTGACCTCAGGTGATCCATCAGCCTCGGCCGCCCAAAGTGCTGGGATTACAGGTGTGAGACATGGTGCTGGGCCAGGAGTTATAGATTCTGTTCATTTGGAAACACAGCTCCCATCTTTCAGTGTGCATGTACTTTTATGAAGAAATGATGTCAGAAAACCGAAGGATGATAATACATATGAAAAGTAACAGGCGTGTGAAAAGGTCTTCCGATTGAGAACTGTAAGGTTCGATTTCATTTTCAGATAATGGGGTCCTAGCTCTTGTGTCGTCCTTTTACATATTCTACATCAATGGAAGTTGTAGCACGGTGTCAGAATAAAATAGAGTGTATTTCATGGCTTCTTAATTTCTTTCAATTAGACTGAGATATTTTTCTTAAAGAGAGAAGGACATTTTCATTGCATTGTATTTTTTCTGAAAAGAGTAGGCCGTATTTTACTGAGATCACGGATTTGTTATATATGAAGTTTTAGTCTTCTAATGTTCTTCAGTGGATATTCTCTAAAGTAGTATATACAGAAAGCCTCGTATAGCAAAAAAGTAAATCACGTAATAATTCTAAGATTTTTGGAATTGTCACAACTGAGAAACATTGCTGGCGGTGTATGGTCTGCAAGTGTGAAGATGTTCCTTGTGAATTGCTTGCATCTAGCATTAAGGGCTGATTTTTAACTTTTATTTTTCCAATCCTCTTTCCTTCTCAAGGTGTCCAAGACACACAGGGCCACGGAATCTCACAGGTGTCTGAGAATTTCTCCTCTTGGGACTCTCAAAGGATCCAGAACTGCAGCCAGTCCTCGCTTTGCTGTCCCTGTTCCTGTCCATGTATCTGGTCACGGTGCTGAGGAACCTGCTCAGCATTCTGGCTGTTAGCTCTGACTCCCCGCTCCACACTCCCGTGTACTTCTTCCTCTCCAACCTGTGCTGGGCTGACATGGGTTTCACCTCGGCCACGGTTCCCAAGATGATTGTGGACATGCAGCCGCATAGCAGAGTCATCTCTCATGCGGGCTGCCTGACACAGATATCTTTCTTGGTCCGTTTTGCATGTATAGAAGGCATGCTCCTGACTGTGATGGCCTATGACTGCTTTGTAGCCATCTGTCGCCCTCTGCACTACCCAGTCATCGTGAATCCTCACCTCTGTGTCTTCTTCGTTTTGGTGTCCTTTTTCCTCAGCCTGTTGGATTCCCAGCTGCACAGTTGCATTGTGTTACTATTCACCATCATAAAGACTGTGGAAATCTCTCATTTTGTCTGTGACCCCTCTCAACTTCTCAAACTTGCCTGTTCTGACAGCGTCATCAATAGCGTATTCATATATTTCGATAGTACTATGTTTGGTTTTCTTCCCATTTCAGGGATCCTTTTGTCTTACTATAAAATTGTCCCCTCCATTCTAAGGATTTCATCATCAGATGAGAAGTATAAAGCCTTCTTCAACTGTGGCTCTCACCTAGCAGTTGTTTGCTGGTTTTAGGGAACAGGCATTGGCATGTACCTGATTTCAGCTGTGTCACCACCCCCCAGGAATGGTGTGGTGGCATCAGTGATGTACGCTGTGGTCACCCCCATGCTGAACCTTTTCATCTGCAGCCTGAGAAACAGGGACATACAAAGTGCCCTGCGGAGGCTGCGCAGCAGAACAGTGGAATCTCATGATCTGTTCCATCCTTTTTCTTGTGTGGGTGAGAAAGGGCAACCACATTAAATCTCTACATCTGCAAATCCTGCCCCTTAGTCACGTTATTTTTGTGGCTTGATGGCTTTTATTCCTTTCCGCATTTCCTTTGTGAATATTGTTTTCTTCTTTATGTCTTTAACTGGAATGGGTGAGGATTCTGGGATCCTTTGTTTAGCTTAAACCTCATGACTGAATCATCTATACCTAGGCGGCCTCCTTTGGTTTCTGAGCAATAACCCTGTCATCCAGGTGGAATCACAACCATCTTTTTATATACGTGAAGTCCTCACTTCATTTTGGAATTCCTTGAAAATTGACTTTATGGAAACAATGTACAGCAGGTCCTCCAACACCACTGGTTCTTCAAAGTTGTGTAGTTATAATGTTGGAGAGGAATAAGTGGTTTCACTATACCTAATTTTGCTTCAAGGTGAAGTTTCCAAGAGACTTTCAAAGATGTTAAGTGAGGACATACTGTACATCAAATTCATATCCTCTTCCACAGTTCATGTGGAATTTCTTTATAAACTTCTTCTAGAGAATCTATTTAGGCAGGTTCTGTGTAGAGATCCATGTCGCCGTTCCTCAATCTTGGCTTTGAGTCAAATCACCTGGGGAGCTTACACATGATGAGGCCTGGGTCTCATTACCTGAGATTCTGATTTCTCTGCACCTGTGTGAGTGTGTGGATTTTTTTCTTTTTTTTTTAAAGCACCAGAGGTGGTTGCAATGAGGAAGTTTTTAGAGGCATCAAGCTCCAATGAGTAAGAACAGAAGTTAATTGTAATATGATTTCTTCAAATATTATCTTCCAATGCATTGTCCATCAACACCGTACCAATGTTTATTATGCTGTTGTTTCTTACCATTTAGCATTTTCTATTTTTTTTTCTTTCTTTTTTTTTTTTTCTTTTTGAGGCAGAGTTTCACTCTTGTTGCCCAGGCTGGAGTGCAATGGCACGATCTCGGCTCACTGCAATCTCTGCCTCCCGTATTCAAGCGATTCTCCTGTCTCAGCCTTCCAAGTAGCTGGGATTACAGGCATGCGCTACCATGCCTGGCTAATTTTATTTTTTATTTATTTATTTATATTTTTTTTGGTATTTTTAGTACAGACAGTGGTTCCCCATATTGGTTAGGCTTGTCTTGAAGTCCCGACCTCAAGTGATCCGCCCGCTTCCACCTCCCAGTGTTCTGGGATTACAGGCGGGAGGGACCGCGCCCAGCCACCACTTAGCATTTTCATTTTACATTTGTTGAAATTATAGATTTATACACACATTGATTGCTGCTTTGTTATACACTTGCATATACATAAGATGGGAAATAGAAAAGAATAAAATGGGCACAGTATCCCTGAAGTTTCACATTCCGAGACAAGTTAAAAATATTTGCTTTTTAGAAATTTGTTTCAATTGAGAAACTGTGGTATACACACACAATGAAGTATTATTCAGGCTAAAAAGGAATAAATAAAATTCTCTCCACTGCAGACAAAATGGATGAGATTGCAGGTCTGTATATGAAGTGAAATAAGCCAAGCACAGAATGACAACTATTTCATGTCCTCACTTCTATGTAGGATCAAAAAAGAAAATCTTGGCCAAGTGTGGTGGCTCAGGCCTGTAATCCCAGCACTCTGGGAGGCCGAGTCGTACGGATCACTTGAGGCCAGGAGATCGAGACCCACCTGGCCAACATGGTGAAACCCTGTCTCTACTGAAAACACAAACAATTAGCCAGGCGTGGTGACGCGTGCCTGTAGTCTCAGCTACTCGGAGGGCTGGGGCCCAAGAAGCGCTTGAACTCGGGAGGCGGAGCTTGCAGTGAGCCCGGATTGTACCTGTATACTCCAACCTGGGCAACAGAAAGAGACTCCATCACACACCTACACACAAAAGGAATCTCAGGAAGGTGGAGAGTATAAAGGGGGTTAGCAGATGCTAGGAAGAAAAGGGGTGGGATGGGGAATGAAGACAAGTGGATAATTGGGTCCCAAAATACAGAAAGATGGAATAAGTGAGTTCTAGTGTTTGGTAGTACAGTATGAAAATTTTAGTTCACAAGAATTGCTTGCATATTTCCAGATGCTTTGGTAAGAAGCTTCCTCATTTTCTCATTATGCTGGTTTTTCAGCTATTCTCTTTCTGCTCTCGATATCGTGCTGGATTTTCTGTTTTTGGTTTTTTGTTTTGAGACAGAGTTTCACTTTTGTTGCCCAGGCTGGAGTGTAATGGTGCAATCTTGGCTCACCGCAACCTCTGCCTCCTGGGTTCAAGCGATTCTCCTGCCTCCATCTCCTGAGCAGCTGGGGTTACAGGCATGCCCCAGCACGCTCAGCTAATGTTGTATTTGTAGTAGAGACGGGGGTTTCTTCCTGTCTGTCAGGCTAGTTTTGAACTCCTGACCTCAGGTGATCCACCCGCCTCGGCCTCCCAAAGTGCTTGGATTACAGGTGTGAGCGACCATGCCCGGCCCATGCTGTATCCTTATCTGTTGTCTGTTGTTGTTTGTTTGTTCTGGAGCCCAGAAATAACTTCTCACCTATATGTTCAAACGATTTTTAACATGAGTGCTAAGAAAACTCATTGGTGGAAAAGCAGCCTTTTCAAGAAATGGTGTTGGAGAAACTTGATTTCCACATGCAGAAGAATGAAGGTGGACCCTATGTCACACCAGGTGCAAAAATTAACACAAACTGGGTCAAAGCCCTAACCCCAAGTGCTGAAAGTATAATATGCCTAAAAGAAAACATTGGCCACGCTTTCATGACATCAGATTGGGCAATGCTTTCTGGGATATGACACCAAAAGCATAGGCAACAAAAGAAAATTAGATTCCTTGGATCACATCTAAATGACAGACACTTTTGTGCATCAGCAAACACTGTGAACTGTGAAAAGATAACCCATGGATTAGGAAAAATATTTGCAAATCATATCTCTGAAAAGAGGCTGATATGCATCATATACAAAGAACAGCTAGAACTGAACAACAAGAAACTCAAAGCATCCCATTAACAATGGTCAGAAGACTCGAGTAGACACGTCGTTAAGAAGATATAGCAATAGCCAATAAGCATCTAAAATGATATTCAAAATCACTCATCATAGGGAAGTGCAAATCAAACCAAGAATGTGATACCACACATTAGGATGGATAAGATAAACAAACAAGCATTGGTGAGACTAGAGGAAAGTAGGAATGCTCGAATCTGATTGGAGGGAATGTAAAACCGTGAAGGAACAGGGAAAATAGTATGGTGTGTACTGGAAAAAGTAGAAACAGGATTATCAGATGTTCCCGCTGTTGCACTTGTGGGTACCTGCCAAAAGAATTAGAAGCCAGGAGTGGAAGAGAGATTTGTACACCCAAATTCATAGCAGCATTATTCACAAGAGCCAAAATGTGGAAGCAACCCAAGGGTTTGTGGACAGTTGAATGAAAAAGCACACTGCAGTTCCTTCATACATTGGAAGACTATTCTGCCTTAAAAAGGCAGGCACTTCTGGCCGGTGCGGTGGCTCACGCCTGGAATCCCAGCATCTTGGAAGACCGAGGTGGGTGGTTCACCTGAGGTCAGGAATTCAAGACCAGCCTGGCCATCTTGGTGAAACCCTGTCTCTACTGAAAATGCAAAAAATTAGACGAGCGTGGTAGCCTGTGCCTATAGTCCCAGCTACTCGGGAGGCTGAGGCACAAGAATCGCTGGAACCCGGGAGATGGAGGTTGAAGTGAGCCCAGATTGTGCCACTGCACTCCAGCCTGTGTGACAGAGTGAGACTCCATGTAAACACAAAACAAAACAAAACCAAAAAAAAAAGAAAAAAAAACACCCAAACAACCAGACAGGCACTTCTGACATAGGATGCAACACGGATGAACCTTGAAGACATTCTCATCAGTGAAATAAAGAAATCCCAAAAGGATAAACACGACCAGGCTCAGTGGCTCGCACCTGTAACCCCAGCACTTTGGGAGGCTGAGGCAGGCGGATCACTTAAGGTCAGGAGTTTGAGACCAGCCTGGCCAATATGGTGAAAGCTTGTCTGTATTAAAAATACAAAAATTAGCTGGGCATGGTGGCGCATGCCTGTAATCCCAGCTACTTGGGAGACTGAGACACAAGAATCGCTTGAACCCACGATGTGGAGGTTGCAGTCAGCCCAGACCACGCCACTGCACTCCAGCCTGGGCAGCAGAGAAAGACTCTGTCTCCAAAACAAACAAACCAAAAAAATTAAACACGGTATGATTCCACTTATATCACGTGTCTACAGTAGCTAAACTTATAGAGTTGCAAAATAGAATGGTGGCCCCCAGGGGTGGGCGAGAGAGAGAGGAATGGAGAGTTTGGTTAATGGGTGCAATTTCCATTTTCAACGATAAAACTGTTCTGGAGATGATGGCAGTGTTGGTTGCTAAACAATGCGAATGTACCTAATGTGATTAAACTATAAACTGAAAAACAGTGGAAATTGTAAATGTTTATACTGGCCATTCTATATGAAATAATCTATATTTATAATTTTTAGCATTTATAAGTGGTATATTTTCCCATAATAAAAGATGAAAATTAAAGCACTTGGATCTTGTAAAAGAAAAGAAAGAAGCGAATAATACACACAAGCTCTCTCCTGATTAGAGGAAGAGCCCCAAAGCTTCTATGGACACTCGCTTTTCTCTTCTTCTTCTTGCATGATGATGAGGAAATCCTTAGAGCTTGGGGAACTTGGGCGACTCTGGCTAATGAGGGGCTCTGTGCCTTGAGCCCCCCAGGCCATAGAATAGTAAATACTCAGTCTGTGCCTCCAGCCCTGCAGTGTGAGGTTGCAGTCCTGTGGGCTCCACAACCGTCACCTGTATCGGGAGGCTCATGTCTCACCCTGTCTTCTGGCCAGCCTTGAGGACGGAGTCTGAGCCTCCAATGTGCACCATGCAGGGAGAACAGTGGACCTGTTCTCAGTGGTCGTGGCCTAGCAGAGGGGAAGGGCAGTTCAGTGAGTGCTGAGGGACAGTCGGGAGCGTTGTTTGTTTCCTCATCCTCAGGACAAACAGGACAGTGCGGTGGGAAGACGGGAGGAGACGAATGTGCAAACTGTCAGCTCAGCAGACTGTGGAGTTCCTGTTCTTGGTTGTGGTGGGGGGTCTCTCTCAGGAATCTTCTTCAAAATTTTGCTTCCCTCCCCCACTGGTTGTCCTTTTCATAGACATCTCACCCATGATAGCAGGGAATGAGTCCCTCTAAACTGTTCCCTCAGAACAACAAAAAGATGATGAAGGTGATGATGAGGAAAAAGAGGATGATGACAGACACCATGGCATCATGAACCCTTACTGAGGGCTTCCTAAAGGCCAGGCTCTGAGCTCTGTGTTCTATGCAGCTTGTTGCAGCTTGTTTCATTTCATCTGCGTAGTCTCCCAGTTATTAGTGCACATTTCATGATGATTTTACAGACTAGAAAAGGAGCAACATATTTTGTTATAACTTGTACCAGATCATGAAGTCAAAAAGGGTGAAGCCCAATTTGAACCAGGCAGTCTAAGTCCAGACACATGGCATTTGGCCAGTCCTCTCCCTGCATCCAACCTGCCCTCTCAAATCCTTGTCACTCAGGCCGATGCCCCTGCTCACTGTGCCCTTCCCTTTGGGGGTTCCTTGTAGATCACAGCTAGACCAGTGGGTGCCACAATCACTGTGTCAAGAATGGAAAGGGCAGCTGAGATCACATCGAGGATTCCAGGAATAATTGGCACAGGATCATTCAGGATGCATCTCTCCCTTGCCCCTGTTCCTGGCTTTCCTTACAGCTCTCGACTTCCTCAAAGGAGTCATCAATTCGGGGTTTGGCTTCCATTCTTATTGAGGAAGCTGGGAAGTGTTTCAAAAATGCTCCTCCGATATGCTTGTGGTTAAGACCTCTGAGCTCTGTTGAAAACTTTTGGAAGCTGGGCGCGGTGGCTCACGCCTGTAATCCCAGCACTTTGGGAGGCTGAGGCAGGTGAATCACAAGGTCAGGTGTTCGAGACCAGCCTGGCCAACATGGTGAAACCCCGTCTCTCCTAAAAAGAGAAAAATATTAGCCGGGCGTAGTGGCAGGCCCCTGTCATCTCAGCTACTCGGCAGGCTGAGGCAAGAGAATAGCTTGAACCTGGGATGCGGAGGTTGCAGTGAGCCGAGCTTACTCCACTGCACTCCAGCCTGGCAACAGAACGACTCCATCTCAAAATAAAAAACAAAAACAAAAACAAAAAAGAACCCAAACATTTTGAGGGTTGGGAGACCATCAAGTATATTGCCCGGGACTTAGAGTCTGGCCATTAATTTTCAATACCACCCTTTCTGCTTATCTGTATGGCAAAGGGTGAGACATCCATCCTCTGAGATTCAGCACTCTCATCTGAGTTGATTTCTAGTTGATCCAATGGAAGTGAGCGACGATTAAACCGATCGTGGATGCCCGCTGCGTGATCTCTATGTGATGGACGCGTAAAGTAAAGACAAAGTGAATTTTAGATACATTCGTTAATATTTTAAGCTTAAACTCCATACGGTTCAACAGAAATATCCCCTGACCTGAAGTTCTGGTTTCCCTGCATTCCAGACAGGACATTTTGTTTTTTCCTTCTCTCAGTAAGGACTGAGTACTGTGAGAGGAACAAGTGAGTCTCTTTTGTTTCTGATTCCCCAGAGCCTATATCTTGCTTGGCACATAGGAGACAGCAAAAGGAAACGCCTATGTGAATTATTGAATTGACACTTCCTTGGTTCACAAAAATTGGCTGTCATCAGTGTGACGTCAGTGTGACAGAGCGTGTGTTTTTGGTTTTTTGTTTTTTGAGACAGAGTTTTGCTCTTGTTGCCCAGGCTGGAGTGCAGTGGTGTGATCTCGGCTCACTGTAGCCTCTGCCTCCCAGGTTCAAGCCATTCTCCTGCCTCAACCTCCCGAGTAGCTGGGACTATAGGCGCGCGCCGCCATACCGGGTGACGTTTTTGTATTTTTAGTAGAGGCGGGGTTTCACCATGTTGGCCAGGATGGTTTTGATCTCCTGACCTGGTGATCCACCCTCCTCCGCCTCCCAAAGTGCTGGGATTACAGGCATGAGCCACGGCGTCCGGCCCAACTTTCCGATGAGAACTCTAAGTCCACCTAAGCTGAGGACAGGATTTATAGCTTACATGAATTTTAACACAAGACGCACCGATTTGAGTAAGCAATTACTCTCGGGAAGGAGAAAAGTCAGAAAACATAATGATGAAATCACTAGGACCTAATTGGCATATGGAAATATTTTCTGCTTAGGAACTACCAACTGTAATTTCATTTCCAGATGGCATGGTCTCAGCTGTTATACAGTGTTTATAAATGTTCTAAATCAAGGGAATTTGTATCAATCTATTCGAATCAAATAAAATATTTGAGTTCTTAATTTCCTTTAATTAGGATAACCATTTTCTTAAAGTGAAGAGAATGGTTTTATTACATATTTTTCTTCGGAAAAGATAGGCTGTATTTTCTAGCAATTATGAATTTGTTCTATATGACGATCTGGTTCTTGGAGCATTCTTGAATCTACTATCTCTAAGGCAGGTGTGTACAGCAAGAAGTGAATAACACAGAAATCAATGATGAAAGCATTAGAAGACAATTGAGTTTGTCAGAACTGCAAAATATTGCTGAGTGTGGATTGCTCTGAAATCTGAAAACATTACTTGTGAATTGCTTCTATCCAAAATGCAGACACAATGCTGGGTGTTGGTTTAGTTGTTTCCGATTTTTCAACCTCTTTTCTAGGCAAAAGCTGTCCAAACTCTACAGACCCACAGAATCTAACAGATGTCTCTCTATTCCTCCTCCTAGAACCTCACAGGATCCAGAACTGCAGCCGGTCGTCACTGGGCTGTTCCTGTCCATGTGCCTGGTCACTGTGCTGGGGAACCCGCTCATCCTCCTGTCTGTCAGCCCTGAGTCCCACCTCCACACCCCCATGTACTTCTTCCTCTCCAACCTGTCCTTGCCTGACATCGGTTTCACCTCCACCGCGGTCCCCAAGATGATTGTGGACATCCAATCTCACAGCAGAGTCATCTCCTATGCAGGCCGTCTGACTCAGATGTCTCTCTTTGCCATTTTTGGAGGCATGGAAGAGAGACATGCTCCTGAGTGTGATGGCCTATGACCGGTTTGTAGCCATCTGTCACCCTCTATATCATTCAGCCACCATGAACCCGTGTTTCTGTGGCTTCCTACTTTTGTTGTCTTTTTTTTTTTCTCGGTCTTTTAGAAGTGCAGCTGCACAACTTGATTGCCTTACAAATGAACTGCTTCAAGGATGTGGAAATTCCTAATTTCTTCTGTGACCCTTCTCAACTCCCCCATATTGCATGTTGTGACACCTTCACCAATAACATAATCATGCATTTCCCTGCTGCCATATTTGGTTTTCCTCCCATCTCGGGGACCCTTTTCTCTTACTCTAAAATTGTTTTCTCCATTCTGAGGGTTTCATCATCAGGTGGGAAGTATAAGGCCTTCTCCACCTGTGGGTCTTACCTGTCAGTTGTTTGCTGATTTTATGGAACAGGCGTTGGAAGCTACCTCAGTTCAGATGTGTCATCTTCCCTGAGACAGGGTGCAGTGGCCTCAGTGATGTACACGGTGGTCACCCCCATATCACCCTCTGTGACATTAGGAGTAGCATCTTTCTAAAATATTATGAATAATTTCGAAAAATGTACACCCCCTGTGACATTAGAAGTAACATCGCCCGAGGATATAAGAAATAATATCAGATTGTGTACCTGCATTGTGAGATCAGTAGTAACATCCCTTTAGGGCACTACGAATATTATCAGAGTGTGAAGACCTTCTGTGACATTAGGAGTAACATCACCCTACAATATTGGGAATAATACCCCACGATGTACACCACCTGTGACATTGGTGGTAACATTTCTTTAGGATATTACGAATAGTATGACAGGGTGTACAGCCCCTGTGATATTAGGAGTAACATATCTGAAAAAACTTTACAAATAATATCACTGATTGTACACCACGTGTGACATTAGGAGTAACATCCCCCGAAACGATTATGAATAACTTCACAGATTGTACACCCTCTGTGATATTAGAAGTAAACATCTTTGTAGAATGTGAAGAATACCATCGCAGGGTGGACACCCCCGTGACATGAGGAGTAACATCACTCTAGGATATTAGGAATAATATAACAACGTGTACACAATTTGTATGGTAGGAGTAACGTCCGCCTGGGATCCTAGGAATCATAGCACAGAAAGCACACCCCCTGTGACAATAGGAGTCACATCCCCTTAGGATATTACGAATAATATCACAAGGTGTACACGCACTGTGACATTAGTAACAATAACCAGCTAGTAGACTGTGAATAATATCACAGCGTGCACAGATTGGTGACATTAGGAGTAACGTCCCCCTAGAATATTACGAATAATATCACAGGGTGTACACACCCTGTGACTTTAGGGTAATCATCACCCTGGATTACTACAAATAATTTCACAGGATGTTAAACCCCTGTGACAATAAGAATAATATACTTCCACGATATGACAAATAATATCACAGTGTGTACACCCACTGTGATATTAAAAGTTATCCCTCCCTCAGATATTGTGAGTAATATCACAGGGAGTACTCCATGTGTTCACACCCACTGTGATTTTTAAAGTACTATCTCCTTAGGATATTACGAATAATTTCAAGGGGTGTACACACCCCATGACATTAAGATAGCATCTCTTTAGGATATTCAAAATAATATCCCAGGGTGTACACCCCATGTGACATTGCTAGTAACATCTTCCTAGGATATTACCAATAAGATCCCACGGTTGACACCCTCTGTGATTTTAAAAGTAAAATCCCCCTAGAATATTGCTAATCGTAACACGGGGTGTACACCCCGTGACGTTAGGAGTAACGTCCCCCCAGGATATTACAAATAATATCACAAGGTGTACACACATGGTGAAATTCGTAGTAATCTCCCGTTAGTATATTGTGAATACTATCACAGTGTATACACACCTGTGACTTTAGGAGTAACATCCCCCTACAATCTTGGGAACAATATCACACAGTGTACACCCCTGTAACGTTAGGAGTAACATCCCCCCTGAATATTGCTAATAATATCACAAGGTGTACACGTATTGTGACATTAGTAGTAATATCCTGCTAGCATATTTTCAAAACTATCACAGAAGGAACACACCTGTGACATTAAGAGTAACATCCCCATAGAATAGTAAGAATAATATCACGGGGTGTACACCCCCAGTGACATTAGGACCCCTGTGGCATTAGGAGTAACATCTTTCTAGAATATCACGAATAATATCACAATGTCTACAACCCTGTGTCATTGAAAGTAAAATTGCCCTAGGATATTACGAAATAGAACACAGGGAGTACAAGCGTGTGACATTAGAAGGAACATCCCCCGAGGATATAACGAATAATATCAGAGAATGTACCTGCATAGGGACATCAGTAGTAACATCTCTTCAGGATAATACGAATAATATCAAAGGATGTACACGCATCGTGAAATGAGTAGTGAACACCAGCTAGCATGTTATGAATTTTACGACAGGGTCTACACGCCCTGTGACATTAGCAGTAACGTTTTCCTAGACTATTACGAAGAATATTAAAGGGTGTACAGGACCTGTGATTTACGAGTAACATTTCTATAGAATATTGCACGTAATATCACTGTGTGTACACCCCGTGTGACCTTAGGGGTAACATCCCACAAAATTATAACGAATAATTTCACAAGGTGTACACCCTCTGTGACATTAAAAGTAACAATTCCCTAGAAAATGACGATAATATCACAGAGTGTACGCCCTCTGTGATATGAGGAGTGACATCTTCTAAGGATAATACGAGTAATTTGACAAAGTGTACAAACCCTGTGACACAAGGAGTGACATCCCTCCAGGATATGATGAATAATATCAAAGGGAACATATCCAGTGTGACAATAAAAGTAACCTCCCCTTAGGAGATTAAGAAAAACACCACAAGGTGCACACACATTGTGACATCATTACTAACATTCCCCTAGGATATTGGGAATAACATCACAGTGTGTAGAGTCCTGTGACATCTGGATGAACATTCCCCTACAATATGACAAATAATATCGCAGGGTGTCTATCCCCTGTGACTTTAGTAGTGGTAACTCGCTAGAATATGGAAAATAATGTACCAGGGTGTTAACCAAGTGTGGCAGTAGAGAAAAGATCATAAGAATACTTGAGTAATATCATCCCCCTCTCCCCCCCCTGGATATTACGATCCACACCGCAGGGGTGGGGGAGACGCCCCCCGCGATGCGGGGAGTAATATCACCCCCTCTCCACCCTGGATATTACGATCCACACCGCAGGGGTGGGGGAGACGCCCCCCGCGATGCAGGGAGTAATATCACCACCCTCCCCCCCCCCCCGGGTATTACGATCCACACCGCAGGGGTGGGGGAGACGCCCCCCGAGATGCAGGGAGTAATATCAGTAATATCACCACCCTCTCCCCGCCCTGGGTATTACGATCCACACCGCAGGTGGGCGGAGACCCCCCCTGCGATGCGGGGAGTAATATCACCCCCCTCTCCCCCACTGGATATTACGATCCGCACCGCATGGGGGGAGGAGACGCCCCCCGCGAGGAGGGGAGTAATATCTCCCCCCTCTCCCGCCCTGGATATAACGGTCCACGGTGGTCACACCGCTTGTGGACGTTATTGTCAGTAATATCTTCTCCACCTCTGGAAATTACCAACTATATCACAGACGGGTGTGCATCTTCTGCACTAGTTGCAGTAATAGCATCCTCTTCTCCCTCGATATTAAGAACAATATCACAGGATTCTTTTTACCCCCAGCGGCATTGGGTGTAGTATCATCCTCTCCCACGTTGAAATTAGGAGGAATATCACTGGGGGTGTGTCCACCCCATGCGATATCTATAGTAGCATCATCCTCTTCTCTCCTGGATCACGGGAGCAATGTCACTGGGGTGGTGTACACTTTCTGCGGTATTGGGAGTAAGATCATCCTCTCCGCCTTGGAATATGAAGGACCATATCACAGGGGGGCTGTACACACCCTGTGCTGTAAGAAGAATGTTATGCTCTCCCGCCCCGCACATTAGAAAACATATCGCAGAGTGGGTGTACTCCTCCTGTGATATGGGAGGTAATATCATCTTCTCTTCTTCTGGATATTAGGAACAATATCACAAGGGTTCGTACACTTTCTGTGGTATTGGGAGTAATATCAACCTCTCCGTCTTTGAATATTAAGAACAATATCACAGACTGGATGTACACCCCCTGCGATATTGGGAGTCATATCAGCCTCTCCTTTCCATGGATATTAGGAATAATATCCCAGAATGGGTGTACTCCTCCTGCTGTATGGGAAGTCATATCGTCCTCTCCCTTCCTGGCTACTAGGAACAATATCAGAGGGTGGGTGTACACAGACTGCGATATTGCGAGTAATATCACCCTGTCCCCCTCCGGATATTAGGAACAATATCACAGAAGGGGTGTACACTTTCTGCGATACTGGAAATCACAGCATTCTCTTCTTCCGTGAATATTAGGAGCAATATCACCGGGTGGATGTACACCCACTGCTCTATTGGGAGTGACGTCATACTCCACCCCCTGGAGATTATATTCGGATCAATATCACCGGTTGTGTGTACACCTAATGCGATATTGAACGTAATATCATGATCTCTCCCTCCCTGAACATTAGGAACAATATCACAGGTGGGTGTACACCCACTAAGGTATTAGGTGCAATATTAATATTAATTATTCCTCATTTATTATTCACACGAATATGAATTACCAATAGTAATATGAAGAAATAATTGCCAATAAAACGTTTTCACATTATTAATATTAGTATTATTAATATTAATATCAATCATTAGGAGCTAATATTACTCTTTTCTAATGAATAAGGTCGATATCGGTTATGAATATCAGGCGTTATTAATCATTAATATTTCTCATTTATTGTTATCATTAGCACAAGTATTTAATATTAATTTTCATTATTATGGATATTGATTTTAAAAATTATATTATCAGTTATTAATATTGATAATTACAATTAATATCAATTACTAATAATTATTAGTATTAATAGTTGATATTATTGATTGATATTATTTATTCATAATTGATATTATTAATTGCGATAAGTAATATTGCGCCATTCCACACAGTATCGCAGAAAACATATACGCCCCCTGTGATGTTGTTCCTAACAGCCAGGGGTAGACGATGCCATTACGCCAAATAACGCACCGGGTGGGCCTCCCTTCTGTGATCTTGTTGCTAATATCCGGGCACGGAGAGGACGGTATTAATCCCAATAATCCAGAACGTGTAGACCTCCCTTGTGTTATTGTCCCTAATATCCAAAGGTGGAGAGGAAGATGTACCTCCGAATTTCGCAGGGGTTGTACACCACCCCTGTGACATTGCTCCTAATGTCCAGGGGTAGAGAAAATGACATGACTCACAATATGGCAGGGGGTGAACACCCCCTTCATGATATTGTTCCTAATATTCAGGGGGGAAGAGTATGATATTCCTCCCAATATCACAGGGGGTGTACTCCCCATATCCCAGAGGGTGGATAGTATCCCGATCTGTGATAGACTCCTCCACGATGCGGGGAGTAATGTCATCCCCCTCTCCTTCCCTTGCTATTACGATACACATCGCAGGGGGGCGGGCGACCCCCACGATGCGGGGAGAAATATCACCAACCCACCCCCGATAAGACGAGCCACATCGCAGAGGGGTGGACACTCCCAGTGATGCGGGGAGTCATATCTATCCCCTTTCCCCATGGATATAGGAGCCACATCTCAGGGGCGTGGACACGCTCCGCTGATGCGCAGAGTAATATCAACCCCCTTCCCTCCTTGCATGTTAGCAGCCACTGAGGACATACAGTGTATTCACGATATTTCCAGTAAAATCATCTTTTCTAATGAACCTTATGAACAAGAACACAGAGGGGTGTACCCCTCCTGCGTTATTGGGGGTAATATCATTCTCTCCTGCACTGTATACTGGGAACAATATCACAGGGGCGTGTATTCCTCCTTCCATATTGGGAGTCATATCATACTTGCCTTCCATATATTAAGAACAATAGCAAAGTGGAGGGGGGTGGACACTTTGACGATATTGGGAGTAACATCATTCTCTCTACCCCTAGATATTAGTAGCAATATCACAGGGGGATGTGCATTTCTTGTGATATCGAGAGTAGTAGTATTGTCTTCCCCGCTGGATATTAAAAACAATACCACAAGGGGCGTCAAACCACTTGCCAAATTTGAGGGAATGTTATCCTCTCCGCCACCCCTCCACCCCCGGATATGAGAGACAATAACACAGGGGTAATGTACACCCACTGCTTGATTGAGAGAAGTATCATTCTCTCCCTTCTTGGATATTAGGAACAATATCACGGGTGTGGGGGGCTGGTGTACTGCCTCTGCGATATTGGGAGTAAAATTATCCTCTCTTCCCGTGGATATTAGGAAGTGTATCAGAGGTGGAGGGTGCACATCCCCTGCGATATTCAATGTCATCTTATGCTCTCCCTCGCAGGGTATTAAGGACAATATTACAGGACGGGTGCACACCCTCTGCGATATTGAGAGTCATATCATCCTCTTTCGCTCTGGATATTAGGAACAATATCACAGGGTTGTGTACACCCCCTGCGATATTGGGAGTAATACCATCCTGCCGCCCTGAGGAGAGAAGCCATTTGTCTACTGTCTCCTGTCTCTGAAGAGGAGGAGGAAGTAAAAGTTGAAAAACAACAGGAATAAAGTCAGTGGCAAGACCAGCCGGTGGCACTGATGAGCCGGCCTGAGGTGAAAAGATTAACCCCCGCCCCCCCACTCTAAGCACATGTGCTCTCAATCCATCACGATTCTTTCACGTGGAACCCCTTAGAGTTGTAAGCCCTTAAACGGGCCAGGAACTCTGTCTTCCTTAGGGGAGCTGGGCTCTTAAGACGAGAATCTGCCGACACTCCCGGCCGAATAAAAAAGCCTCTTCCTTCTTGAGTCTGCTGTCTGAGGGGCTTTTCCGTGGCTCCTCCTGCTCCATTTCTTGGTTCCCTGACCGGAAATCAAACCCGGGTAGTGGCAGTGAGAGCGCCAAAGACTAACCACTAGATCACCAGGGGGACCTAGAACCCTGTGGGAAATAGATTGCCCACCATTAGAAGTGGATTGGCCATCAGAAGGAAGCCTGGACAGGTCCCTTGTTTCTGAGGTGTGGCACAAGGTAACTGGTAAAGGATAGCTAGACTAGTTCCCATAAATAGACACTTGGTGACGGCTGGTGCTAGACCCCCCACAGTGGCTGAGAGGGCAGGCAGCAACAATACTAGTACCAAAGGGACAGATGGCTAAGGAAGGATCCCGCTCCACCCGCCCAGGGAAATCAACTCCTCAAGTTCTGTTCGACCCAACATCAAAAGATCCATTGCAGGAGATGGCACCAGTGATCCCAGTGGTGCCCTCCCCTTACCAGGGAAAGAGGCTCCCCACTCTTGAGCCCTCAGTGCTTGCGCCTCCACAAGACAAGCATATCCCCAGGCCACCCAGAATAGACAAGAGAGGAGGTGAAGACTCGGGAGGAACCCCTCCCTTGGCAGCTCGTTTATGGCCCAAAATGGGGATCCAAATGCCCCTGAGAGAGCAGTGGTATACTGGGATAGATGAGGATGGGCACATGGTGGGGAGGCGTGTTTTGGGGTACCAGCCCTTGAGCTCTGCCGACCTTCTCAACTGGAAAAACAATAGCCTGTCCTATACCGAAAAGCCACAAGGTCTAATTGATTTGCTCCAAACTAATATCTGAACACACAACCCCACCTGGGCTGATTGCCACCAGTTGCTCATGTTCCTCTTTAACACAGATGAAAGGCGGAGAGTGCTCCAAGCAGCAACTAAGTGGCTAGAGGAACATGCACCAGCTGATTACCAAAACCCCCAAGAGTATGGAAGGACCCAGTTACCTGGAACCGACCCCCAGGGGGACCCACATGAAAGAGAGGATATGCAAAGGCGAAACCAAGAGAGAGAAACTCTCTTGGAAGGATTACAGAGGGGAGCTCAGAAGGCCACAAATGTTAACAAGCTCTCTGAGGTCATTCAGGGAAAAGAAGAAAGTCCAGCACAATTTTAGGAGAGACTGTGTGAGGCCTATGGTATATATACTCCCTTTGATCCTGATAGCCCTGAAAATCAGCGCATGATTCACACGGCTTCAGTCCGTCAAAGCGCAGAAGACATGAGAAGAAAACTGCAGAAACAGGCTGGGCTTGCAGGGATGAATCCATCCCAATGATTATATGGTATGAGGCCACCACTTCTCCTGTTGTCCTTCCCAGTTTCTCCCCAACCTCCCCTTTTCCCTAGTTTATAAGACAGGAGAAAAGGGAGAAAGCAAAAAGTTGGAAATAGAAGTAAGATAAATAGCTAGATGACCTTGGCGCCACCTCCTGGCCCTGGTGTTTAAAATAATAATATTATTAACCCCTGACCAAAACTACTGGTGTTATCTGTAAATTCCAGACGTTGTATGAGAAAGCACTGTAAAACTTTTTGTTCTGTTAGCTGGTGTATGTAGCCCCCAGTCACGTTCCTCATGCTTACTTGATCTATTATGACGTTTTCACATAGAACCCTGAGAGTGGTAAGCCCTTAAAAGGGCTAGGAATTTCTTTTTCAGGGAGCTCAGCTCTTAAGACACGAGTGTGCTGACACTCTTGGCCAAATAAAAAAACCTCTTCCTTCTTTAATCCAGTGTCTGAGGAGTTTTGTCTGCGACTCGTCCTGCTACATTTCATGGTTCCCTGACTGGGAAGCGAGGTAACTGACGGAGAGTCGAGGCAGCCCCTTAGGCGGCTTAGGCCTGCCCTGTGGAGCATCCCTGCGGGGGACTCTGGCCAGCTAGAGCAACGCACATGCAGAGAGCACTGCCGGGTAGGCAATTGCCCGAGTGGAACGCCTCATCAGAGCAGTGTGTGGTAGGCCCCTGTGGAGGATCAACGCAGTGGCTGAACACCAGGAAGAGGCACTTGGAGTCTGGACATTTGAAACTTGGTAAGACTGGTCTTTGGAACTTGCCCACTCCATTTGAGTGGAAGCGTGGCCTGATCACCCATGGCGTGCCTGTACTGGCACTTTGGTTTTTGTTTTTGATTTGACTTGAATTGCTTGATACTTTGGTTTTGGTTTGACGTGGCTTGGATTTCTGGATACTCTGATTTTGGTTTTGATTCTGGTTTTGTGAAAACTGAAAAAGTGTGTGTGTGCCCTTTTTACCCATTCTTTGTTCTGTGGTGTGCGTGTGGTGTGAGCTTGGTGTTCTATCTCGAGGAAACGTGGGTCAGACACAAAGTAAGCCTACTCCGCTAGGAACTATGTTGAAAAATTTTAAGAAGGGATTTAATGGAGACTATGGGGTTACTATGACACCAGGGAAACTTAGAACTTTGTGTGAAATAGATTGCCCAGCTTTAGAAGTGGGTTGGCCATCAGAAGGAAGCCTGGACATGTCCCTTCTTTCTAAGGTATGGCACAAGGTAACTGTTAAGTCAGGACACTCAGACCAGTTTCCATACATAGACACTTGATTACAGCTGGTGCTAGACCCCCCACAGTGGCTGAGAGGGCAGGCAGCAGCAGTGCTAGTAGCAAAGGGACAGATAACCAAGGAAGGATCCCGCTCCACCTGCCCAGGGAAATCAACTCCGGAAATTCTGTTCAACCCAACATCAGAAGATCCATTGCAGGAGATGGCACCAGTGATCCCAGTGGTGCCCTCCCCTTACCAGGGAGAGAGGCTCCCCACTTTTGAATCCACAGTGCTTGCGCCTCCGCAAGACAAACATATCCCTAGGCCACCCAGAGTAGACAAGAGAGGAGGTGAAGCCTCGGAAGAAACCCCTCCCTTGGCAGCTCGTTTAAGACCCAAAATGGGGATACACATGCCCCTGAGAGAGCACCAGTATACTGGGATAGATGAGGATGGGCACATGGTGGGGAGGCGTGTTTCTTTGTTCCAGCCCTTCACCTCTGCTGACCTTCTCAACTGGAAAAACAATACCCCGTCCTATACCGAAAAGCCACAAGCTCTGATTGATTTGCTCCAAACTATTATCCAGACCCATAACCCCACCTGGGCTGATTGCCACCAGTTGCTCATATTCCTCTTTAACAGAGATGAAAGGCAGAGAGGGCTCCACGGAGCAACTAAGTTGCTAGAGGAACATGCACCGGCTGATTACCAAAACCCCCAAGAGTATGGAAAGACCCAGTTGCCAGGAACCAACCCCCAATGGGACTCAAATGAAAGAGAGGATATGCAAAGGCTAAGCTGAGACAGGGAAGCTCTCTTGGAAGGATTACAGAGGGGAGCCCAGAAGGCCAACAAACGTTAACAAGGTCTCTGAGGTCATTCAGGGAAAAGAAGAAAGTCCAGCACAATTCTAGGAGAGACTGTGTGAGGCCTATTGTATGTATACTCCCTTTGGTCCCGATAGCCCTGAAAATCAATGCATGATTCACATGGCTTTAGTTAGTTAAAGCGCAGAAGACATGAGAAGAAAACTGCAGAAACAGGCTGGGTTTGCAGGGATGAACACATCACAGTTATTAGAAATAGCTAACCAGGTGTTTGTAAACAGGGACACAGTAAGTCATAAGGAAAACCGCAGAGAGAATGAATGTCAGGTCCGGCAAAACGCCGACCTGTTAGCTGCAGCAATCAGAGGGGTCCCCCCAAAGAGGCAAGGGAAGGGGGGCCCCGGGAAAGAAACTCAGCCTGGCTGTCAGAGATTGCAGCTTAATCAGTGTGCTGATTGTAAAGAAATAGGACATTGGAAGAACAAATGCCCTCAGCTGAAAAGAAAACCAGGTGACTCAGAGCAGGAGGCCCTGGACAAGGAGGAAGGGGTCCTGCTCAACCTGGCAGAAGGTTTATTGGACTGAGGGAGACTGGGCTCAAGTGTCCCCAAAGACTCGCTGGTCAGAATGACAGTTGGGGGTAGAGACATTGATTTTCTTGTAGATACCGGTGCTGAACATTCGCTTGTAACCGCTCCAGTCGCCCCCTTATCCAAAAAGTCTATTGACATCATCAGAGCCATGGGGATTTCAGCAAAGCAAGCTTTCTGCTTGCCTCGGACTTGTGCTGTAGGAGGACATAAAGTGATTCAGCAGTTTTTGTCCACGCCTGACTGTCCCTTGCACTTGTTGGGAAGAGACTTGCTTAGCAAGCTGAGAGCCACTATCTCTTTTACAGAGCACAGGTCTTTGCTGCTAAAGTTACCCAGAATGGGAGCCATTATGACCCTTACTGTCCCCCGACAGGAGGAATGGAGACTTTTCTTAACTGAGCCGGGCCAAGAGAGAAGACCAGCTCTGCTTAAGCGGTGGCCAAGAGTATGGGTGGGACACAACCCTCCAGGGTTGGCAGTCAACCCAGCCCCCATACTCATAGAAGTGAAGCCTGGGGCCCAGCTGGTTACGCAAAAACAGGACCCGATCCCCAGAGAAGCTCTTCAAGGTATCCAGGTCCGTCTCAATCACCTAAAAACTTTTGGAATTAGAGTTCCTTGTCAGTCTCCACGGAACACTCCCCTCCTGCCTGTTCCCAAGCCAGGGACCAAGGACTACAGGCCGGTACAGGATTTGTGCTTACTTCTTCAAGCTACACTGACTTTACATCCAACAGTACCTAACCCATCCACAGTGTTGGGGTTACTGCCAGCTAAGGACAGCTGGTTCACCTGTTTGGACCGGAAAGATGCTTTCTTTCATATCAGATTAGCCCCTGAGAGCCAGAAGCTGTTTGCCTTTCAGCGGAAAGATCCAGAGTCAGGTGTGACTACTCAGTACACTTGCACCCGGCTTCCGCAAGGGCTCAAGAACTCTGCCATCATCTTCGGGTATGCGTTGGCTCGCGACCTCCAGAAATTTCCCACCACAGACGTAGACTGCATGTGGCTCCAGTAGATTGATGCCCTTTTGCTGGGACACCCCATGGCAGTCAGGTGCACCAAGGGAACAGATGCCCTACACCGGCACCTGGTGGACTGTGGGTAGAAGGTGTCCAAGAAGAAAGCTCAGATCTGCTGACAGCAGGTACATTACTGGGGATTTACTATCTGACAGGGGGAACACAGCCTGGGATCAGAAAGAAAGCAGGTCATTTGCAATCTACCGAAGCCTAAGAGCAGAAGGGAGGTGAGAGAATTCTTAGGAGCTGTGGGGTTTTGTAGACTGTGGATCCCAAACTTTGCAGTATTAGCCAAGCCTTTGTATGGGGTCACAAAGTGGGCAGGTACCAGGAACCTTTGGAATAGGGATCCCTACAATGGCAAGCCTTTCATGACCTAAAGGAAAAACTTATGTCAGCCCCAGCCCTGGGGCTACCCGATCTGACAAAGCCTTTTCCATTGTATGTGTCAGAGAGAGAAAAGATGGCAGCTGGACTTTTCACCCAAACTGTGAGGCCCTGGCTGAGGCTGGTGGCCTACCTCTCTAAACAACTAGACGGGGTTTCTAAAGGATGGCCCCCGTGTTTGAGGGCCTTGGCAGCAACTGCCCTGCTAGTACCAGAAGCAGATAAGCTGACTCTTGGGCAAAACCTGAACATAAAGGCCCCCCATGCTGTGGTGACTTTAATGGATACTAAAGGACATCATTGGCTAACGAATGCCAGACTCACCAAGGACCAAACTTTGCTCTGTGAAAATCCCCGTATAACCACTAAAGTTTGTAACACCCTACACCCCGCCACCTTGCTCCCCGTGTCAGAGAGCCCTGTCGAGCCTGATTGTGTAGAAATGTTGGACTCAATTGACTCTAGCAGACCTGACCTCCGGGACCAGGCTTGGGCATCAGTAGACTGGGAGCCATACGTGGATGGGAGCAGCTTCTTCAACCCCCAAGGAGAGAGAGGTGCAGGGTATGCAGTGATAACTCTGGACACTGTTGTTGAAGCCGGATCGTTGCCCCAGGCCACTTCAGCCCAGAAAGCTGAACTCATTGCTTTCATTGGGCCTTAGAACTCAGTGAGGGTGAGACTGTCAACATTTACACTGATTCCCGGTATGTCTTTTTAACCCTTCAAGTGCATGGAGCGTGATAGAAAGAAAAGGGCCTATTGAACTCTGAGGGTAAAGACAGAAAATATCCACAAGAAATCTTGCAATGATTAGAAGCAGTATGGAAACCCCACAAGGTGGCAGTTAGGCATTGCAGAGGACACGAGCGAGCTTCCACCTTGATGGGTTTGGGGAATTCGCATGCTGACTCAGAGGCTCAAAAAGCAGCATCTGTTCAGAGGTACCTTAAACCAAGTCCAAAGTTTGATGTTCCTTGGTCCACCCAGGCAATGAGAACTTTAGCTGATATCCCCCAGAAGGACTGGTATATATCTGGTTTACCTTTACTCTAGAGTTGTGACCTTTTGCAATCCTAGCCTCTTGTAGGGGAAATTTCCTATTCAACTTCCCAACTTTCATGGGCTTAAATATTTATTTCCGTCTGGCGTCATCCATGAGACTGTCAAAGGAAAGTCTAAATTTGTCAGGATCAAAAAGTGCCATCAAGGCAACAATGATTTCCAAATTCTGTTTACATCTCTCAGTTCCTATTTACGTTTCAATTTTGGCCGAATAATTCAGTACTTACGTGGGTAAATCCCCAAACTCCTTCCCGTGGCTGAGCCCTTTCCGGTCACATCTCTGAGCTCTGACTCCATCCTTCCTTAGGCCTGAGCTGCCTGCCACCTCCCAGGCCCCCACTTCTGCCCCCACAGCCAGGAGACTGCCACCAGCCACCCGAGGCCACCCTCTTGGCTCTATCTGCAGCCATGTCTGGCCCGGGCGTCTCTGAGAAGCTCCCAGGCTGGGGCCAATGGGCATGCAGGCAGCGTCATGGGGACACCGTGGGGAGACAGAGGGTGCCAAGGAGTGGGAGATGAAAACAGGAAGGTGGAGGTGATAAGGAGAGAGTTTCAAGGGAACTATAACTTATTTTTAAAAATACCAAGGCTTGGGGAAATCCCGGCCTAAAGAATAGCAGTGCCTGGTCATCAGGATCAAAGCAAAGCTGAAACACCCCTTGGCACAGAGCCGGGAAGAAGAGGCAGCTGTGTGCTGTTGGGAGTGGCTCCTCCAAGAGGTGGGACCATTCGTTCATTCAATCCAACATTGATCGAGGTCTTATTTTTTTTTTATTTTTTTATTTTTGAGACGGAATCTTGCTCTGTCACCCAGGATGGACGGCAGTGGCGTCATCTCCGCTCACTGCAAGCTCCACCTCCTGGGTTCATGCCATTCTCCTCCCTCAGCCTCCTGAGTAGCTAGGACCACAGGTGCCCGCCACCATGCCTGGCTAATTTTTTTGTATTTTTACTAGAGACGGGGTTTCATCATGTTAGACACGATGGTCTCGATCTCCTGACCTTGTGATCTGCCTGCCTCGGCCTCCCAAAATGCTGGGATTACAGGAGTGAGCCACCGAGCCTGGCTTCAAGGGCCTATTTTTTTTAGGTTTTGCACAAGCACAAATCTGGCAGGTCCCCCTGGGCCATGGCACCTGGCGAGTACCCAGGTTTATTTTTCCTGGGCATCCCAGGCACACTGCTGCCTCCACACCTTCGTACTCACTTTTCCTCTGCCTGGAGGGCACTTTCAGTTATATCTACACATACCACTCCTTTCCTCCTCTTCTTTAGTAAAATGTCACCTTCCCTGCCCATTCTACTTAAAATTGCAGTGACACCCCACCCCCCCGTCTCCATATCTATCTTCCCAGTCCTGTCCCTAACATTTGGAAAGCCTGGAAATAGATTAAAAATGGGCTGGGAATGGGGGCTCATGCCGGTAATCCCAGCACTTTGGAGGCCGAGGTGGGCAGATCACCTGAGGTCAGGAGTTCAAGACCAGCCTGGACAACATGGTGAAACCCCATCTCTACTAAAAATACAAAAAATTAGAAGGCATGGTGGTATGTGCCTGTAACCCCAGCTACTCCAAAGGCTGAGGCAGGAGAATCGCTTTAACCCGGGAGGTGGAGGTTGCAGTGAGCCGAGATCACCGCACTGCACTCCAGCCTGGGTGACAGAGCAAAACTCTGTGTCAAAAAAAAAAAAAAAAAAAAAGAGTAAAAATGATGGTTTACCCCCTTTCTCTTCCCACACCCATTTTCATCCTGCACCTCAGTCATACAAGTGAACATCCCAGCTACATCCCCAGGAAACAGTCACCTCTTGACTGTACTTTTGGCTTACAGGTACATTCCACTCTCTCAGGGTCAGACCTATGGGAACACAAACAAGCCCCGAACATGGGTTCAGTGCCATTTGAGCAGGAACTCTTGAGGTCTTGGATAACCAGAGTGAAACCTAGAGAAGGATCTTGGGCTCCCAGGGGCCACATCCCCTTGTCCTGGCAGACTCTTTGCCCTGGAGGGGCTTAGAGAAGGGTGGAGCTTGGGGAAAGGGACCCTCTTACCCAGGTCTAAGGATAGGACTGTCCCTTCCACTTTATTTTTCCCCAAACACTCAACACCGTCGAACATACTATATATTTTAAGTATTTACTTTGTTTATTGTCTGAATGCCTCCAGTAAAATGTAAGTCCCATAGAAGGCAAGGATTTCTGTTTTGTTCACTATTATACTCTCTAAACTTAGTATCTGGCACATAGTAGGTGCTCAATCAATATTTGTTGAATAAATAATGGATTACCAGGTTTGAGGTTCCAGGATAGAAGATAGGCTAGAGGCACCTAGTCTTCATAAAACTCCTTTGTTCTGCAGAGCGCTTCTGGCAAGAAGAATGTTAGGTGCATGGTGCAAAACCCCATCTTTTCAAATCTGCAAACCCTAGAGAGGAATCTATGCATTCTGCTCATTTAGAAGATAGCAGCACCCAGGCACGGTGGCTCATGCTTGTAATCCCAGCACTTCGGGTGGCCGAGGCAGGCAGATTGCTTGAGTTCAGGAGTTCAAGACCAGCCTGGGCAGCACAGCTAAACCCCATCTCTAGAAAAAGTAAAAAATTAGCTACGCCTGAGGGTGCCATGTGTACCAATCAAGTGGAGAGTTCAGATGCATAAACCAATAGCCAAATATAAGACAATAAGTACCGAAATTAAAGTGTGGTCAAGGTATCATCGACAACCAGGTGAGAGGACAGTAAACGCTGCCTGTCTGAGTCACAGAGACCTCCAGGGCGGAGTGACATGGGCTGCACTTTGACGGATGGGTAGGAGCTTCCGCTTTCGAGAAGCTCAGTAACCGGCTGCAGAGGCGTAACTTCTCCACACTAAAAGGTGGTTAGTACACGTAGTCCATGTATGTAAAATACATATATGTATTTGCACAGAAAAATGTTTTTAAGTCTAAGTAATACATTAATTAAAAATTAATAATAGGGGCACAGCGCAGTGGCTCATGACGGGAATCCCAGCACTTTGGGAGGCCAAGGAAGGCAGATTGTTTGAGGCCAGCAGTTCAAGACCAGCCTGGCCAATATGGCCAGACCCTGTCTCTACAAGTATATATACATAAAATAGTTAAATCAGAATAGTGGAATAATTCAGGAAAGTGGGTGATACTTTTTCTTTACACTTTTTGTGTATAGAAGAGCACATATAATTAGAAAACATTAAGATAATAATACCCCACATCTACACATCCAATATGAACATTTGTGTGGATCTCAGGAGGGCTGGGGGAGATGCCTTCCAGGCACCACGGATGGTGTGGAGGTGGGAAACCGTGGAGATATTTCAGAGGGACAGTGAGCCCCTCTGGCTGAGTAAAAAGTAGATGGAGTCGGCCAGGCGCAGTGGCTCACACCTGTAATCCTAGCACTTTGGGAGGCCAAGGCGGGTGGATCGTGAGGTCAGGAGTTCGGGACCAGCCTGGCCAATATGGTGAAACCCCATCACTACTAAAAATACAAAAATTAGCCAGGCACGGTGGTGTGTGCCTGTAGTCCCAGTTACTTGGGAGGCTGAGGCAGAAGAATCTCTTGAACCCAGGAGAGAGGTTGCAGTGAGCCGAGATCGTGCCACTGCACTCCAGCCTGGGTAACAAAGCAAGACTCCATCTCAAAAATAAAAAAGTAGCTGGAGTTGAGGGTAGAAGAGGAGGCCAGTCTTGGTGGCTCACGACTGTAATCCCAGTACTTCAGGAGGCCAAAGCAGGAGGATCACTTGAGGCAGGAATTTGAGACCAGCCTGGACAATATAGTGAGACCTTCGTCTCTGCAAAAATTCAAAACTTGGCTGGGCAGGTGGCACTGGCTTGTCCCAGCTTCGCCAGAGGTTGAGGTGGATCACTTGAGCTCAGGAGTTCGAGGTTGCAGTGAGTTATAATCGCCCCACTGCACTCCAGCCTGGGTGACAGAGTGAGACTTGTCTCTAAAAAAAATAAATAAATAAAACTGGAAGAGGAGACTAAGGCCCAACTGCGGGGCCGTAAATTTCAGGCAAAGGCTTTTGGCCTCTGACCTACCTCCCTGGCATGGCTTGCAGCAAGAAGGTTTAGCTTTCAACCTGGGATGTCTCTCTGCACCCCGTTTCCCAGATGGCAAGAAGCTCAGACGTGGCCGAGCTGAGCCTGGATCCCATCTCTGGTGACTGCAAGGCCTGGGTAGAAGGGCAGGGCAGGGGCAGCGGAGATGGAGGTGCAGGTGCCCCATCTGCCCGCAGATGCCCTCCAGTCACAGACAGGAAGGTCCCGAGACATACCTCACGGGAGAGCTTCCCAGTCCCGCAGACACAGCCCCGGCCACAGACCCTACTCGCGGAGGGAACGCTTGCGTCACAACAGAAGCCACAGAGGCGGGCCTCAGGATGCTCCAACAGGCGTGTGTGTCGCCATCTGTCCTCGTGGGAAGGCTCCTCCCCGCCGGGATGGTGTCCACCGGATCGCGACCAAAGCGGGGCCCTCCCCACTCTCTCCGCCTCCCCGCTTCCTTGGAATGAGGTGGCCGCTGTTTCCCAGCTGCCCGCTTGGTGGCGCTGCCAGCATTAATCGAGGGCGGCGCCGGGCCCCGCAGCCGCTGGAGCTCGGTGGAGAAACGCTCCGTGGTGACTTACAGTGGCCCAGAGGCCTGCATCACTTAAGCCCTGCATTAGACTCAGATCCAGGCCTGGAGAGGCCTGTCAAACCCACATAAGGTAGATAGGACAGAAATGGTGGCTGTCCATCATTCAAGGACATGTGGTCCCTTGAGGTTATGAGATCCACTCAAGTTTCCTTGGCTCAAATATCCAGCAAGCCACGCGGGGCAATCTAAAGAGACTCATCTCGACAAAACATGAAAAAAATTAGCCAGGCATGGTAGCAGGCATATGTAGTCCTAGCTACTCCCGAGGCTCAGGTGGGAGGATGGCTTCAGCATGGGAGAAAGAGGTTGCAAAAAGGCATGACCACAGCACTGCTTTCAAGCCTGGGCGACAAAGAGAGACCCTGTCTCAAACAAACAAACAAAAAGTCTAGTAAACAGAATTGCTTCCCTTTTTGTTGTTTGTTTTCTGAACAGTGCATATTTGTGCAGTAAACAAAAAGGCAGGGCTCAGGGGGATCAACAGGGTATTGGTGGGTCCAAACTGTCACCAACAGGACTCCAGTAGAGAAAAAAAGCAGACAGCCTTGAACTTTGATTTCAGAGCTGGGAAATTGTGGGAGGTCGCTACTATAAAATGCAGGAGACAGCGCTGGGAATGGCTCAACGTGGGTCTCTGGACTGAGGAGAGAGTCAAGGCCATGAACTGAGCCTGACTCTTCCTCCCAGCCTCTCAGGACCTGGCTCAGTTTAACTGTGAAGTGGGAACACTGGCCAGTGCCCTGCTCAGCTGGGAGGGAAGAAGTCTGGTAGGCAGAAAAGACTTTTAAAATTATTACATGCTCAATGAAGATAAAGAATTATTAATATCACCATCTTAATCATCATTATTGGAAAAAGACATCTCATCCAGTGCCCAGGAACAGCAGAGCAAAGACCATGAAGCACACACTCCTGGCTGCTCCTACTTTACATGGACATTAACATAGATGGGATTCAACTTTGGTGTTTTCACTCTGCAGCCAAATTTCCTGGTAATTTATAAGTCATCAGCTTGAGGGATACTCAACCTGGAGCCATTTGGGTACTGGGGCCAAAGGATTTCTGGGGGAACCCAAACTCAGTGACCTCCCCCATCACAAGGGCCCCATTTCAGAGGTTATGATGCCATAACCTTGACCTTGCCTCTCCCTCTTCTCTACCCTCTCCACCTCTGCCATATGACTTTGTTTGCTGCATTTGCCCCAGGTCGTCACAATTGCCCTCCACCTCCACCAACAGATTTCTAGCCACAATGGCGGCAGCAAGCTGCAGAAGTCAGGAGCAAAACTGGACAGGGACCACTGAATAACTGTCTTGTTTATAACACCCTTTATATTTCTCATTTCACTCATGTAGAAGTAGACAAATGGCCCTATTTCAAAAAAGGCTTGAACAAACATCTCACAAAAGATGTATGAATGGTTACTGAGCACACGAAAAGATGCTCAATGTCACTAATCATCAGGGAAATGCAAATTAAAGCTACAATGAGATCCTACCGCACACTCACGAGAGCAGTTACATTAAAAAGACTGACCACACTGATTGTCGCTGAGGATGTGGAACAACTGGAACTCTCATCGCTGCTGGTGGAAGTATAAAGTAGTACAACCACTTCAACACAGTTTGATCATTTCTTTAAAAGTTAAGCATGTAGCTACATATGATCCAGTGGTTTCACTTTTAGATATTTACCCAAGAGAAATGAAAACACAAGAGTTGCAGTAGAATGGCCACTGTGATTTTCCTTATAATGGCCAAGAAATGGAAACTCAAACTTCTGTCAACAGGTAAGGAGATAAACAAATTGAAGTCTATCTATTTGATGGAATACTACTCAACAATGAAAAAGAATGAAGTGTTGATACAGGCCCCTGTATAAAGGAATCTCCAAATAAGAACCCAGACCCCCTGGGAAAAAAAAAAGCATACTATGTGATCTCATTGATATATAATTCTAGAAAATGCAAATGAATCCCAAGTGAGAGCAGAATCAGTGGTTGCCTAGAGATAGAGGTGGAAGGAGCAGGAGGGAGGGATGATAAATGGCCACCAGAAAATTCTGGGAGGTGATGAGTGTTTTCATTGTCTTGGTTGTAGGGATGGCTCAGAATGTATATTCATGAGTGTAATGTTATTGGCAGGGCATGGTAGCTCATGCCTTTAATCCCAACACTCTGGGGGGCTAAGGCAGGAGGACCACTTGAGGCCAGCCTGGGCAACACAGCAAAACCCCACCTCTACAAAAAAATAAAAAATTATCCAGGTATGGTGGTGTGTACTTCTACTCCCAGCTACTCAGGAGGGTGAAATAGGAGGATCACTTGAGTCAAAGAGTTAAAAGTTGGAGTGTGCCATGATCACGCCATCGCTCTTCAGCATGGGCGACACAGCAAAACCCTGTCTCCAAAACAAAACAAAACTTATCAAAGTGTACACTTTAAACACATGCAGTTTGCTGTACATCAGTTATACCTCATGAAAGCCGTTAGTATTTTTTTAATTTTTAAAAAAGACAAACCACTGATACTCGTAACAGATGGATGATTGTCAAAATCATTCTGTTGAATGAAAGAAGCCAGACATGAAAGATAATGTTCTGTGTGGTTCCATTTATTCAAAATGCCTAGAAATGAAAACTAATGGGGGCCAGGCATGGTGGCTCATGCCTATAATCCCAGCACTGTGGGAGGCCGAGGCAGGCAGATCTCCTGAGGTCAGGTGTTCAAGACAAGCTTGGTCAACATGGGGAAACTGCATCTTTACTTAAAAAAAAAAAAAAAAATATATATATATATATATATATATATATATAAATTAGCTGGGCTTGCTGGCACATGCCTTTAGTCCCAGCTACTCAGGAGGCTGAGACAGGAGAATCACTTGAACCTGGGAGGCGGAGGTTGTAGTGAGCCAAGATCGTGCTACTGCACTACAGCCTGGGTGACAGAGCAAGACTCCATGTCAAAAAAAAAAAGAAAAGAAAATTAAGGGGAACAGACAATATCAGTGGCTGCCTGGGGCAAACGTGGGCATAGAGACAGATTGCATATAGTTGTTTAAAAATACATCAGAGGCTTCAGGAGGCTGAGGCAGGCAGATCACTTGAACCCAGGAGTTCAAGACCAGCCTGGGCAACACGGTGAGACATCATCTCTACAAAAAAAAAATACAAAAATTAGCAGGGCATGGTGGCATGCACCTGTAGTCCCAGCTACACAGGAGGCTGAGGCGGACGGACCACCTGAGCCCAGGAAGTCGAGCTGTGATTATGCCATTGCATTCCAGCCTGGGCGACAGAGTGAGACCCTGTCTCAAAAAAAATTAATAATAAAAATACATCAGAGCAGCCGGGCACAGTAGCTCATGCCTGTAATCCCAGCACTCTGGGAGGCCAAGGTGGGCAGATCACTTGAGGTCAGGAGATCAAGACCAGCCTGGACAAAATGGTGAAACTCCACCTGTAATCCCAGCTACTCAGGAGGCTGAGGTAGGAGAAACGTTTGAACCCGGGAGGAGGAGGTTACAGTGAGCTGAGATTGTGCCACTGCACTCCAGCTTGGGCAACAAGAGCGCAACTCCGTCTCAAAAAAAAAAAAAAGAAAAGAAAATGCTATTCCTGTATTGACTGTTTTTCAGCAGCCAACACCGACATCCACGTTCGCTGGCAAGATGAGCAGTGTTGTACTTGGAGCTCAAGACAGCTCCGGCAATCCCTGCTCCTGGGAGTCATACCCCTGTGCTTCCTCTCTGGACCTTGGTCCTGCCCAGCGACCTCAACTTCTGCTGATCCTCCTGTACTGCACAGGGCCGGACTGTGTAGCCACTGGGATATTGCAGAAATGACCGTGTGGCATCCAAGACAAGGTCCTAAAAGACACTGCAGCTTTTGCCTTGCTCTCTTTTGTGTCACTCGCTCAGGGAGAAGCCAGCACCACGTGGAGAAGGTGCTCAAGCAGCTCAAATGAGGAGAAACGGAGGCCTCCTGGCAAGAGCCAGCACCAACTTGCTGGCCATGCAAGTGAGCCACCTCAGAAGCAGAAGCAGCAGCCTCATCAAGCCTTCAGATGACAGCAGCCCCCAGCAGACCCCTTACAGAGATTCCATGAGAGACCCTAGGTCAGAACAGCCCAGCTACACCACTCCCAGATCCTGAATCACAGAAACCATGAGATCATAAATGACTGTTGTCTTAAACCACTAAGTTTGGAAGTAAACTGCTTCTCAGCAAAAGATAACTGGCATAAGCAGTGATGGGCAAAAGCACAAACCATGAGATAGCAGAGATGTGTTTCAGTTCCTGTGCTTCCACTTACTGCTGTGCCTGTTTGAGCCTCAGTGAACTCACCTAAAAAAGACAATAGTGTGAAAATACTACTGGCTTCACAAGTGTGTTAAAGGATCAAACATATATAAAGCGAACAGCGCAGTGTTAGGCCCAGAAAGGTAATAAATGCTGTTTCTCTTCTTCAACCACGCTTCCCACCCCACCATTCTCCCACTCAGTGGCAGATTTTCTCATCTGTAAAATGGACTTGAAACACCTCCCATGAGATTGCTGTGGGGATCAAATCAAAGTCTGTCTTTGGAGAGGCTTTGTAAATCCTAAAGTACTCACCAAAGGCTCTTACTAGCACGTAAGGACCTGTCTCAGGAGAATCTGCCTAGCATGACTTCCTTTGTTGAAGGTTACAATCAAGGGCTCCCCCAAAAATCTATTTTAGGTTGGAGTCACGTAGACATGAATGGAAAGTGGCAGGAAGACTGTTCCCCACTGCTGACACCAGGCCCACAAACCAGCTATTGGCAAAGAGTTGCAGTTTTGAAAAGCTCAAACTCCAAAGTAGATACGGGCATGTGATTCCGTGGTCAGGAGACACTGAGGTCACTGTGCAGGCCAAAGATTCAGAGAGGAAGCAAAACTACAGAAATGAAAGCTCCTTTCTAAAGACTTGTGAAGAAACAAGTGGAGTTTCGCTGTGTTGTCAAGTTTGTGCCCTCTCTTTGCCTGTGCGTGGACAGGTCTGACATCCATGGTTCGGCAGCTCCCCCCGCCCCCCTGCACCCTGCCCTCAAGTCCTTCTGGGGAGGGAACTGGCCTGTGGGGGCGTCCACTCAAGGTAAGCAAACAACCCTCTTAAATCATGCCCTGACAGCAGGCCAAGAACCACGCAGATAGGGGGACAGAAAGAGAAAGAAAAACAACCTGGTCGAATGACCTGGTCAAATTATGCCTGAAAGTCCCTGTGAAAGTTTTGCTCTCTGAAATTTTGCCTCAAGATCTGGATTTCTTGAAAGATGGCTGCATCTGGGCCAGCAGAGCGGAGGTTGCAGTGAGCCCCGGTGTGGCTGAGGAAGACTGGAGAGGCACTGGCTGCTGGGAGAAGGGGAGTATAATGCTAAGATGCAAAATCATCAACCAGATGATACTATACTATCAAGGAAAATGTAGCAACATTCAGTATCATAACCAGAAAAATTAACCAACTTCCACAAGCAGAAAGGGATCTGTGTGAGCATGGGATCGACATATATTGGACTGAACACTGCCCTTCATGGCTTCATACCAATGTCAGTGAGCCCCCCTACCCTTTTTTTTTTTTTTTTTTGAGACAAAGTTTCACTCTTTCGCCCAGGCTGGAATGCAATGGCGCATTCTCGGCTCACTGCAACCTCCGCCTCCGTGTTCAAGCAATTCTGCCTCAGCCTCCTGACTAGCTGGGATTACAGGCACCCACCACCATAATCGGCTAATTTTTTTTTTTTTTTTTGAGATGGAGTCTCGCTCTGTCACCCAGGCTGGAGTGTAGTGGCGCAATCTCGACTCACTGCAACCTCCGCCTCCCAGGTTCAAGCAATTCTCCTGCCTCAGCCTCCTGAGTAGCTGGGATTACAGGTGCCTGCCACCATGTCCATATAATTTTTGTATTTTTAGTAGAGATGGGGTTTCACCATGTTGGTCAGGCTGGTCTCGAACCCCTGACCTTGTGATCCACCTCGGCCTCCGAAAGCGCTGGGATTACAGGTGTGAGCCACCGTGCCCGGCCATGATCAGCTAATTTTTGTTTATTAGTAGAGACGGGGTTTCACCATATTGGCCAGGCTGGTCTTGAACTCCTGACCTCAGGTGATCCACACGCCTCGGCCTCCCAAAGTGCTGGGATTACAGGCGTGAGCCACCGTGCCCAGCCAGTGATCCCCCTTTGGACAGCATGCATCTCACAAGGGGTTTGTGAGTTTATTTTTGCAGGCAGGTGATTTGAATTTTGAAACCTGTACCATCAAACGGCATGCATTGGCTGGCCTTCTTTTGGGTGGTCTGTACCGGTTTTATAGGCTATACCTATGAATGGTGGCCTAGCAGTCAGGCATGACTCAACCCTGCTACCTGGGAAAGAAAACAGTTTACTGGATTAGAATGTCTATGCTCATCTCCAGAAATATGTTATTTCCCATTTTGCTTCAGACTGTGTTTGCAGTAAACATTGCAAACACAATATAGAAAATATAAACCACTTATAAAGATATAGAAAATATAAAGATATAGAAAATATAAACCACTTATAAAGATATAGACCACTTATAAAAACATAAGCCACTTATAAAGATATAGAAAATATAAACCACTTATAAAGGCCCTTCAGTTACCTGAAGCTGGCCTAGAAATTCACTGATTTTAAGGAAATATGTACACAAAAATAAAATGGTTCCCCCAAAAATGTTAATCTAAATTTCTTTTATTCAATTTTCCTATCATATTTTTCCACAGAAGTGAAATAATCAGCACATTAAAATTTTTTGTGTGCTTCTGCGAGCAGAGCTTTTAAATTTTTTAAATTTTAATTTAAAAATGTTTTTCTTTAAAAATTCTTGTCCAAAGTTGATGCAAAAAAATTTTTTAAATAGAGATGGAGGCAGGTCATGGTGGCTTATGTCTGTAATCCCAGCACTCTGGGAGTTCGAGACCAGCCTGGGCAACATGGTGAGACACTGTCTCTACAAAAAATAAAAATTAAATAGAAGTGGAGCAAGATGGCCAAATAGAAGCCCCCACTGATCATACTCCATACAGGAACACCAAATTTAACAACTATCCACACACAAAATTACCTCCATAAGAACCAAAAATCAGGAGAGTAATGACAGTACTTGGTTTTAACTTCATATCGCTGAAAGAGTCACTGAAGAGTGTGGGAAAGACAATCTTAAATTGGCGATCACCTCCCCCGACCCCTCAACATCCCCTGGCAGTGGCTGGCTGCGTGACATGAAGAGAGAATCTGTGTGCTTGGGAGAAGGAGAGCACAGCAATCGCGGGAACTTGAATTGGAATTCAGAGCTACTGACATAGGGCAGAACTCAGCCAGTGGCCCTGGAGGGAGCATGTAGACCAGTCCTAGCCAGAAGGATAGATTCCAACCCATCCCAGAGGTTGGAACTTGAGTTTTGGCAAGCCTCACCACCATGGGCTAAAGTGCAGTGGGGCTCTAAATAAACTTGAAAGATGTTTAGGCCACAAGGACTGCAAATCCTAGGCAAGTCCTGGTGCTGTGGTGGGCTCAGAGCCAGTGGACATTGAGGGGCACATGAGCTAATAAGACACCACCCAGGGTGCCTAAGGGAGTGCTTGCAGCACCCCTCCCACAATCCCAGGCAGCACAGCTCACAGCTCCAAAACAGACCCCTTCCTGATGCATAGGAGAAGAGAAGGAAAACTAAAGAGGACTTTGTCTTGCAACTTGGATACCAGCTCAGCCACAGTAGGATAGGACACTAGTCACAGTCTTGAGGGCTCCATTCCAGGCCCTATCTCCTGGATGACATTTCTAGACACACCCTGGGCCAGAAGGGAACCCACTGACCTGGAGAGAAGAGCTCAGTCCTGGAAGAATTAATCACTTGCTGACTAAAGAGCCCTTGGACCCTGAATAATCAGCAGCAGTAACCAAGTAGTACAGGCAGTTGGCCTTGAGTGAGACTCTGAGACGTGCTGGCTTCAGGTGTGACCAGAAGCACATTCACAGTTCTGGTGGCTACGAGGAGAGAGTCCTTCTGCTTGAGAAAGAGAGAGGGAAGAGGAAAGAGCACTTTGTGATGAGCTTAGGTGCCAGCTCAGCCGCAGTGAGGAAGAGCACCAAAAGGGCCCTTAAGGCCCTCGATTCCAGGCTTGATCCAGCAGAAGAAAGAATGAGTGAGCTTGAAGATAGACTACTTGAAAATACACAGTCAGAGAAGACAAAAAAAAGAGAGAATAAAAAACAACAAAGCATGCCTATAAGACCTAGAAATTAGCCTCAAAAGGGCAAATCCAAGTAATTGTTCTTAAAGAGAAAATAGAGAGAGATTGGGTAGAAAGTTTATTCAATAAAATAATAACAGAGAACTTCCCAAACCTAGAGAAAGGTATCAATTTTAAAGTACAAGAAGGTTATTGAACACCAATCAGATTTAACCCAAAGAAGACTACCTCAAGGTATTTAATAATCAAACTCCCAAAGATCAAGGATAAAGAAAGGATCCTAAAATCAGCAAGAGAAAAGAAACAAATGACATCCAATGGAGCTCCAATCCATCTGGCAACAGACTTTTCAGTGGAAAGGCCAGGAGAGAATAGTATGACATATTTAAAGTGCTGAGGAAAGAAACTTTTACCTAGAATAGTTTATCTAGCAAAAATATCCTTCCAACATGAAGGAGAAAAACTTCCCTGACAAACAAATGCTGCGGGATTTCATCGACTCTAGACCTGTCCTCCAAGAAATGCTAAGGGCCGGGGTCGTGGCTCATGCCTGTAATTCCAGCACTTTAGGAGACTGAGGCAAGCGGGTCACTTGAGGCTAGGAGTTCAAGATCAGCCCGGTCAACGTGGCGAAACACCATCTCTACTAAAAATATAAAAATTAGTCGAGCGTGTTGGCGTACGTCTGTAATCCTGGGTACTCGGGAGACTGGAACATGAGAATCACTTGAACCCGGAAAATGGAGGTTGCAGTGAGTCAAGATTGTGCCACTGCACTGCATCCTGGGTGACAGAGTGAGACTCCATCTCACACACAAAAAAAAAAAAAAAAAAAAAAAGCTAAAGGAAGTTCTTCAATCTGAAAGAAAAGGACATCAATGAATAATAGGAAATCATATGAAGGTGCAAAACTCACTGGTAAGTACACAGAAAAACAGAAAATATTATAACACCATAATTGTCGTGTGTAAACTACTCATGTCTTAAGGAAGAAGACTAAAAGATGAACCAATCAAAAATAATCACTACCATGACTTTTCAACTCATAGACAGTACAATAAGTTATCAATAGAAACAGTGGGCCAGATGTGGTGGCTCATTACTGTAATCCCAGTACTTTGGGAGGGGGAGGCAGGTGGATCACCTGAGGTCAGGTGTTCAAGACCAACCTGGCCAACATGGTGAAACCCTGTCTCTACTAAAAATACAAAAATTAGCCAGGCATGATAATTTAAAAATTAGCACACACCTTAATCCCAGCTACTAGAGAGGCTGAGCCAGGAGAATTGCTTGAACCTGGGGGACAGAGGTTGCAGTGAGCTAAGATAGTGCCACTGCACTCCAGCCTAGGTGACAGAGTGAGAGTCTGTCTCAAAAAAAATAAATAAATAAGTTAATACGTGGGGAGAGCAAGTTAAAGTGTAGAATTTTTATTAGTTTTCTTTTTGCTTGTTTGGTAGTTTGGTTTTTGTTTATGCAATCAATGCTGTCATCAATTTAAAATAATTGTTTACAAGATATTTGCAACCCTTACAGTAACCTCAAACCTAAAAACATACAACAAATACACAAAAATAAAAAGAAAGAAAGTGGCCAGGCGTGGTGGCTCATGCCTGTAATCCCAGCACTTTGGGAGGCCAAGGTGGGTGGATCACCTGAAGTCAGAAGTTTGAGACCAGCCTGGCTAACATGGCAAAACTCCGTCTCTACTAAAAATACAAAAATTAGCCTGGTGCGGTGGCGTGTCCCCTCCTGTGGTCCCAGCTACTTGGGAGGCTGAGGGAGGAGAATCACCTGAACCTGGGAGGCAAAGGTTGCAGTGAGCCAAGGTTGCTCCACTGCACTCCACAGCCTGGGCGACAGAGCAAGAGTTCGTCTCAAAAAAGAAAAAAGAGAGAAAAGCAAACAAAGGCTGGGCGCGGTGGCTCATGCCTGTAATCCCAGCACTTTGGGAGGCCGAGGAGGGCTGATCACGAGGTCAGGAATTTGAGACCAGTATGGCCAACATAGTGAAACCCCATTTCTACTAAAACTACAAAAAAAAAAAAAATTAGCCGAGTGTGGTAGTGTGCGCCTATAACCACAGCTACTCGAGAGGATGAGGCAGGAGAATTGCATGAACCCAGGAGGTGGAGGTTGCAGTGAACTGAGATCTCGCCATTGCACTCCAGTCTAGGCAACAGTGTGAGACTCTGTCTCAAAAGAAAATAAAATACAGAGGAGAGGAGAGGAGGGGAGGGGAGGAGAGGAGAGGGGAGGGGAGGGGATCTTGGAGAGCTATCCAAACTTCTCATTTCATCAGGAAGGAATCTGAGGGTTTAGTAACAAGGGGCCTCATCCCAGATGACTCAGATTTACTGGTCACTTCCTTTTCTGTTCAGGGAATCTGCCTCAGGCCAATACTAATTGGACCCCAGAGAGTCTTTATTCTACCATCTCAAAAACCTTGTTTAGGATTGTCTTAGCTATTTACTGCTGAGTGACAAAGGAGCATAAATTTGGCACCTAAAACAACACACATCGGCAGGGTGAAGTGGCTTACACTTGTAATCCCAATACTTTGGGAGGCTGAGGTATGAGGATCACTTGAGCCCAGCAGTTTGAGACCAGCCTCAGCAACATAGTGAGATACCATCTCTACCAAAAAATAAAAGTTGTTAAATTAGCTGGTCATGGTGATGTGTGCCTGCCATCCTAGCTACTCAGAAGGCTAAGGCAGGAGGATCACTTGAGCCCAGGAGTTCAAGGATGCAGTGAGCTATGATCATGCCACTGCATTCCAGCCTGGGTGACAAAGCAAGATTCTGGCTCACACACACACACACACACACACACACACACACACACACACACACACGTTTTCTCACAGTTTCTGTAGGTCAGGAATCTGGACACAGCTCAGCTGGTTCCTCCATTTTATGGTCTCTCACAAGACCACACTCAAGGTGTCAGGCAAGGTTGAGTCTTATCGAAAGGCCCAACTGGGGAGAATCTGCTTCCAAGCTCACTTTTTGGTCGTTGACATGACTCAATTGCTTTTAGGCAGTTGAACAAAGGGCCTTGATTCCTAGGTGTTTTTTCCCAGAAGGCACCCTGTGTTTCTTGCCTTGTGGGCCTCCCCAATCAAGCAACTTGCTTTATGAAAGCTTATAAAGGAGAGAGTCTGCCACCAAGACACAAGTCGTCATCTTATATTTACAGAGGTGACATCCTATCATCTTTGCTCTTCTCTGTTTGTTAAAACCAAATCGAAGGTCCTGCCTGCACACAATTGGGGACATTACACAAGGGTGAGAACACCAGGAGTCAGGGACCACAGGGAGCCATCTCAGAGTTCACTCAACACAAAGATATTAATCTTCATTAAGCTCTTTCTGCCCCAGAAAGCAGCCCAGCTTTTGTGGATGTTGTGAGGCCTGTCTCCCAGAAGGGCATTTATTAACCAAACAGTATACAAGATGGTATTAGTCCATTTTTATGCTGCTGATAAAGACATATCAGAGACTGGGCAATTTACAAAAGAAAGAGGTTTATTGGACTTAAAGTTCCACATGGCTGGAGAGGCCTCACAATCATGGTGGAATGTGAAAGTCACATCTCACATGGGGGCAAACAAGCGAAGAGAGAATTTGTGCAGGGAAACTCCCATTTCTAAAGCCACCAGACTTCATGAGACTCATTCACCATCTCAAGAACAGTGCAGGACAGACCTGCCCCCATTATTCAATCACTGCCCACCAGGTTCCTCCCACGACACATGGGAATTCTTGCAGTTACAATTCAAGATGAGATTTGGGTGGAGACACAGCCAAACCATGTGCAGTGGCACAATCGGCCCACTGCAACCTCTGCCATCCAGGTTCAAGCAATTCTCATGCCTCAGCCTCCTGAGTAGCTGGGATTACAGGCATGTGCCAGCACACCTGGCTGATTTTTGTATTTTTAGTAGAGACAAGGTTTCACCATGTTGGCCAGGCTGGTCTTGAACTCCTGACCTCAAGTGATCTGCCCACCTCAGCCTCCCAACATGCTGATGCCTGGCCCGATTTCTTCTTTTTCAATATAATGTGGAATTATCTGATATCTGGATCCAATTTAGTTGTTTATGGAACTGAAACTTCCATTTATTTTGTGGATTATTTCCAAAAACTGATTGGGACTTTGTGTCCGATTTCATTCGTTTCTGTGTGTCATCAAAAGCTGTATTTGTTATGGAGATTAATAATATGTTCTAATTCCCCAGAACTTAGCCATGTCTAACCCTGATATGGACAAGGTTCCATCACCTTTTATAAGACCTTTACAGTAAGTCTTCAATAAATATTTGTTGAATGAATGAGTAAATGACTGAATGGATGGGTGAATGGACACTTTCGCTGGCTTGGGTTTGGGCAGACAGTAGGAAGTGGGGGCCACTGTTTCACCAAAGGAATCACGCTGGAGAAAATCCCTGCATAGCATTGAGTTGTGCAACTATAAATCTATTCCCATAAATTCCAATCAATCCTGTAAACTTCAGAGCAAAAATGCCAGGCTGTGTTAGTTTGCTCAGGCTTCCGTAACAAAATACCACAGGCTGGGCAACTTAACAATAGGCGTTCGTTTTCTCACAGTTTTGGAGGTTAGAAGTCTGAGATCAAGGTGTTGGCATGGCTGGTTTCTCCTCAGGCTATGCCTTCTCCGTGTCCCCACATGTTGTTGGGTTTTTTTTTTTTTCTGTGTATGTGCAGCCTTCATGTCTCTCCCTCCTCCTATAAGGACACCAATCAGATTGAATTAGAGCCCACCCTAACAGCCTCGTTTAACTTAACTACCTCTTTAAAGACCGTGTCTCCAAAGACTGGGTGTGGTGGCTCACAATGTAATCCCAGCACTTTGGGAGGTGGGAGCGAAAAGATTGCTGGAGCCCAGGAGTTTGAGACCAGCAGGGCAACATAGTGAGGCTCTGTCTCTACAAACTGTTTAAAAAAACAGCTGGGTGTGGTGGCGCATGCCTGTAGTCCCAGCTACTCAGGAGGCTGAGGCAGGAGGATCGCTTCAGCCAGGTAGAAGAGGCTACAGTGAGCTATGATCATGCCACTGCACTCCAGCCTGGGCAACACAGCAAGATCCTGTCTCTAAAACAAAACAAAAATCAAAACCTTATCTCCAAATATAGTCACATTCTAAGGTAGTTGGGCTTAGGACGTCACTGTGTGACTTTGAGGGAAGTCACTATTTAGACCATACCACAGATCAGGCCTCGTTTTTGCAGGCCTTCCTGTCCTTGCCTCTCACCATCAGACCCTGTCAGTCCCCAAGTCAGTTGACTGAGGAGCCTTCTATCAGCAGCCCCAGACCATTCTTATGGGGGTGTGAGGGGACAGTGCAGGTCCCTAGAGGATATGTCCATCTTCTTTACTCTGGGGATCAGCCCAGAGTCTGGGGGCCACAGTGGACCCCTCTGAACAGCTGCTCCCCAACCCACACACTCCCACTCCCTTCAATGGGGCACCTCCCTACACGCCCGGCCCTCCTGCACTGCTCCTCAATTCCCATCCCTAACCTTGTCTCCTCACACAACTCCAAACCCTGAACTGCCTCCCAATGGCCCTCAGATTTAGCAGTGGCTGTAGACAGATTCGTGCAGGCACAAACCCTGATAGTAGGAAGCTCCCGAGGTGCCACTCCGCCCGAGCCCACGAGCATAGCGCTCACCCTTCCGGCGGTCCTCCCTCCCTCGTTGCTGTTCCTCCTCTTCCCCTTCCTGATCCCTCCTTGGATGGCTGACCTTTCAGCTTAAAGTCTCTGGCTCACTCCTGGGACCTGTGGAGAACGTTTTGGTTTGGTTTGGTTTTGGCTGTTCTCGCTACGCTGGTGAACTCTCAGTCCCGTGGAACTGATGCCATCTGTGCACTGATTGATTGCAAATCCATGTCCCCAGCTTGGCTCTCTGTGAACTCCAGACTCAGCTCTGTTCAGTGTCTTGGCTCGAATGTTTAATAAGGCATCTCATTCTTGACATGCCCCAAACTGAGCTCCTGCTCTCCCCCATAAAACTTCCTCCTCTGAAGTCTTCCCCACCCACGTTTATAGCATTCCCATTGTTGCACAACCATCTCCACCATCCATCTCCAGAACTTTCTCATCCCCCAGCTGAAACGCTACACCTATTAAACACTAGCTCCCCCTTCCCCAGCTCTTGACAGCCCCCATTCTACTTCCTGGGCCTGGGCTTTTACTTTGATGGTGTGGGCGCGATTGGTGGCCTTTGAGCAGAGGAGTGTATGATTTGACTTGGGTTTTAAAGAAGCCCTCGGGCGCTGCGTTGAGACTGACATGCCAGGCGTGAGGGAGAAAGCAGGACGCAGGGGGTCATTAGGAGGAGCCCAGAGGCTCAGCCAAAAAAAAAAAAAAAAGAAGCTGGGCGCATTGGGTCATGCCTGTAATCCCAGCACTTTGGGAGGCTGAGGCTGGTGGATCACGAGATCAGGAGATCGAGACCATCCTGGCTAACACGGTGAAACCCCATTTCTACGAAAAGTACAAAAAATTAGCCGGGTGTGGTTGCGGGCGCCTGTAGTCCCAGCTACTCGGGAGGCTGAGGCAGGAGAATGACGTGAACCCGGGAGGTGGAGCTTCCGGTGAGCCAAGATCACGCCACTGCACTCCAGCCTGGGCGACAGAGCGAGACTCCGTCTCAAAAAAAAAAAAACAACTTGGAATCATCCTGCTTCCTCTTTTTCTGTCTTTTTCTCTCATAGCCCACACCCAACCCATGAGGAAATCTCTGCCTTCAGAATATTCTCACTTCTCACACCTCCCTGCAAGCCCCCTGCTCCAAGTCACCCTCTCCCCTAGCCTGGATTCCTGTTTTGTCTTTCATTTGAGCCAACATTTAAAAAGCAGGAAGCTTCATCCAAAAATACGGATTTCTGCTTCTAGCGAATAAAGAAGCAGCCATGGCAACATTCTGCTATCATCCTCTCTTGGCAGGAATCTGCTAGAACTAAGTAGAAGCTACCGTCTTTATTTAAGGCTTACACGTTCCACTTTTCCTCCTCCGTCCTTTAGTTTCTCCGCAACATTGAGGCCACGTGTGAATTACCACTTGTCATTGTCACTGAACTTTTTCTTTTAGAAAAAAGAGAAATAGGGATAGGCGCTTTGAGGGTTCAAGGTGATAGGATCACTTGATACCAGGAGGTCAAGACCAGCCTGGGCAACATAGGGAGCCCCTGTCTCTACAAAATAATAATAACTAATTAATTAATTAATTTAGCTAGGTGTGGTGACACACACCTGTGGTCCCAGCTACTTGGGAGGCTGAGGCAGGAGGATTGCTTGAGCCTAGGAGTTTGAGGCTGCAGTGAACCATGATTGTGCCACTGCACTCCAACCTGAGCAACAGAGTGAGACCTTGTCTCAAAAAAATAAAAAATAAAAATGCTGGATGCGGCAGCTCACACCTGTAACCTCAGCATTTTTGGGAGGCTGAGGTGGGAGGATCACGTGAGTCCAGAAGTTTAAGACCAGCCTAGGCAACATAGCAAGACCCCATCTCTTAAAAAAAAAGAATTAGCTGGGATCTTCAGTTGTCACATAGGTGGAAAAAAAAAGAAAAAAATTAAAATAAAAAATTAGGTAGGCGTGGTGGTGCATGCTTGTGGTTCCAGCTACTTAGGAGGCTGAGGTGGGAGAATCAGTTGAGCCCGGGAGATTGAGGCTGCAGCGAGCCGTGATTGCACCACTGCACTCCAGCGTGGATGACACAGCAAGATCCTTTCTCGAAACAACAGCAACAAAAACCCTGAATTGCCAACCCGGGGAGCCTCTGATGGACTCCGCCCTGACCAGGACTGTAATGAGCTGTGGACGGGGCTCATGGGCTATTGCGTTCCATAGTGCAATTCACCTCACCATTTATGTGAGTGGCACCCCCTAAGGTTATGCCATGGGCAGTCACACAGCCATCCAGTGCATCCTGGAGACAGAGGAAAAGTCAGGTGTGGTCTGGGCCCAGGACCAGGACAGCAGGGTGGGCAGGCATGGCCAACAGAAGGAGCCCTCTAAGCTTCACTGGGAAAATGAACAGAAGGGAGGAAGGAAGGCATGGGGCTGGTTGTGGGGTCAGACTCTGCTTCCGTGACCCTCAAAGCAGAGATGGCAAAGCAAACCTCCAGGGCCTCCAAAGGCCTCACGAGTCCTGGCTGTGGAGCGGGGGCTTGCAGGAGGCTGCAGGCTCAGGAGCACCCAGGACATCAGTGGCCTCTGCAGACCAGCCTCGTCTGAATGCTTCCATCACAGTAACGCAGAAGTTTCTGGACACCAAGAGACAGAGGCCAGGCAACATGTTTTCACAGTCTCATTAGTCCCTGTCCAAAGTAGTGCCATGCAATATGGGGCAGTCCCACACCGAAGGGGCCTCTTCACTGCCCGCCTGTCCAGGGTCCTTACCGCCATTGACGGGTCACCTGGACCCTGCAGCCACACTCTGGAAGAGCCTCTGCAGAGAGGCTTCAAGCCCCTTTTCTTTCTTCCCCTGCTGCAGAGAAGGGGCTCACGAAGGCATCCTGTCAAGCTTCTCTTGCCTTACTTAGAATAATGACGGGCTAGGTTTTTGTTTTTCAACTGTCAAATCAAAACAGAAAAAAAGCAAATGTAGATTGTAGACCCAGGGGACTTTTGCAAGGGATCCTTCTGGCATGAAACTTTCTCCTTTCTCTGCCTGGCATATTTTCTGGTAAAGGGGAACACACATCTTGGGGAGGTATCTCGAGAGTCGATAATAGTTATGGTTCAGTTCCGTCTGCTTCCCAGAGAATTCTAACTGTATTGCATAGTGAGTGCCAAGACCTCTTGAGGCCAGTGGGGGATTGCCTGAGGGGCTCCCATAACTCATCCATGGACTCATTTAGCAGGAAGGAGCTGAGGGAGGAGGCAGGCAGGAACCAGTCCTGAGTGAGGGCAGGGAAGTGTAGGGTGCCATCTCTCCCTTCAGGGCAACCCAGGGTAGTGGCACTTATGCTGCAAGGTACAAGTACCTGCAAGGCCACTAGCAAGGTGACGACAGAGAATGAACTCCAGCAGGCTTAGGAAAGGGAGAGTTCACTTCCCACCACGGGGATCAATAACACTGCGGAAAACAGATGCATTCATTCTTGGCCTGAGCTCCCAGGTGCAAATGGAGAGAGGGGAGGGCATTGGAAGTACAGAGAGCAGCAAAAACAAATTTCAAAGGCATGGCTATGAAAGGCTCCACGTGAAACTTCTTCAAAAGAATGCCCCACGGTCTACTGTGGCCGCCATTCCTTCCTGGTGCTTAACCTCCCTCCCTCAGCTGCTCTTTCCAGCCACATCTAGTCCCCTTGCCAGCTAGATTCTACTGGCAGAAGATTCAAAGACAGAAATCCCCCTGTCTTCCAGTCTAACTCCGAAGCCTCTATGGTAAAGCCTACCTGAGTCTCTCAGTCTGAATTCTAGCCTCTCCTCCCCACCCTCCCTGACACAGCATTTCTGAGTATGTGAGTACTGAAGTGCTAACTCATGCGGATCCTCAACTAGAATTCCAGCTCCTTGAGGGAGTCTCTGGGGCTCACTCTGCTTTCTGTCCCACCCCATGTTCTTCCCACCCGGCTGCCTCAAGAAGAGCTCTCCATCTCTCTCGGTCTGTCTCAGTCTCTCTCTATCACTGCCCCGGCCGTCTTTGCTGAATGCCAGTCACTGAATTGAGTTCATGTCCTGACTTTACTGCTGACCTATCTGGGATCTTGGACAGGTTACCTCATTCCTTGTGCCTCAGTTTCCTCATCTGTTAAAAGGTCTTAAAATTGATGTAAGGACTGAACGATATTGTGCATCGAAAGTACATGTTAACTATTATTATCATTTACATTTACTTGTTATGTATACAAAACATATATCTTTAAATCTGTCTTTGAAAATTCCAGAGCTATTTTTACCTTACACCCAGAGATAAAAATTTGCTTTGATAACTACAAGAAGAGAGTGACCTATCCTTGAGCTCACAATGATCTGAGACTATTCCAGAAAGAAAAAGGAATTCCTGCCATCCCCTTTCAGCTCAAACCACAGAGTCGGCTTTTAGAAATCCATAAAATATTTAGGACAGGTTTGCTACACCAGACTTGCCGTAACTGGCCAACTTTTTACAAGTGGACCAATGTAATTATTTATAACAACAAAGGGCACGATTTCATAAGGCTACTTGAATGTAAGGAAGGGGGAAGTGCAGGGATTGAATGGTGAGTCTGAATGTTAGAAATGTGAGGAAAAAATACTCTTTTTTCCCTAGTGTTGATAATCTTATTGCTTCCTGAAGAAATAGCACCTGGATCTGTGTGAGAACCACTATCCCCCCTATTTCTTCTCCTCCTCTGACTTGGTTGCAACACATTTCTGTGAATTCCAGAAAAAGCAAACAATTCCTCAGTACTCCTAGCCCAAGACAAGTACCAGAGTAGACCCTGCATCTAGACGATGCTGAGCAGGCTTTACATGTTTTTCTCCTCCTGACATCAGCTTTTCCCGTGAAACTCTGAAAAATACTGCAAGCACTCCCTGCAGAATCACCAACTCCCAAACCATGGAAACAGTCCAGAATTAGGAAGAGCCGCGGGAAGGAATGAGAGCTCTTGTAATAAGAGCAGCTAGACCGAGCGCAGTGGCTCACGCCTGAAATTGTAGCATTTTGGGAGGCCGAGGTGGGCCAATTGCTTGAGCTCAGGAGTTCGAGACCAGCCACAATGTGGCAAAACCTCATGTCTACTAAAAATACAAAAATTAGCTAGGAGTGGTGGTGCATGCCTGTGGTCCCAGCTACTCAGGAGACTGAGGCAGGAGAATTGCTTGAGCCCAGAAGGCTGAGGCTGCAGTGAGCCGTGATTGCACCACTGCACTCCAGCCTGGGCGACAATGAAACTCTGTCTTGAACAAATATATAGATAAAAAATGAACAGCTATAATGGTGAACTGTGTCCCCCAGTAATTCATACATTTAAGTCCTAAGCCCCAGTCCCTCAGAATGTGGTTATCTGGAGATAGGGTTTTTGAGGAGGTAAGCATATATATATATATATATATATATAAATTTTTTTTTTTTCAAGAAACGGAGGCTGGCTAGGCATAGTGGCTCACACCTGTAATCCCAGCACTTTGGGAGGCTGAGGTGGGTGGATCACTTGAGGTCAGGAGTTCGAGATCGTCCTGGCCAACATGGTGAAACCCATCTCTACTAAAAATACAAAACTTAGCTGGGCTTTCTAGCACATGCCTGTAACGTCAGCTACTAGGGAGGCTGAGGCAGAAGAATTGTTTGAACCCAGGAGGCAGAGGTTCAGTGAGCCAAGATCGCGCCATTTCACTCCAGCCTGGGCAACAGAGTGAGACTCCGTCTCAAAAAAAAGAGAGGTTTGGAGACAGATACACACAGAGGAGAGACCATGTGAGCACATAGTGACAAGGCACCCATCTGCAAACCAAAGAGAGAGGCCTCAGAAGAAATGAAACCTTCTGACACCTTGATTTTGGACTTGCCAGCTTCCAGAACGGTAAGAAAATAAACACATAGTTTAAGCTGCCCAGTCTGTGGTATTCATTATAGTGGTCCAAGCAAAGTAATACACCTGTTGTATTTCATTTCACCCTCAGAGCTACACCGATTCTTTTTTTCTATCCTGCAGAAGAAATCAAGGCTCAGAGAAGTCAGCTAATTTGACTCAGCTCATAGTGAGTGTCAGAGCCAGGCTCTGCAATGAGGTTTGTATGGTCGCAAAACTGACATTCTTTTATTTTTTCTTTCTTTTTTTTTTTAGACTGAGTCTTGCTCTATTGCCCAGGCTAGAGTGCAGTGGCTCAATCTTGGCTCCCTGCAAACTCTGCCTCCTGGGTTCAAGTGATTCTCCTGCCTCAGCCTCCCCAGTAGCTGGGATTACAGGTGCCCTCCACCACGCCCGGCTAATTTTTGTATTTTTAGTGGATACAGCATTTCACCATGTTGGCCGGGCTGGTCTTGAACTCCTGACCTCAAGTCATCTGCCCGCCTCGGCCTCCCAAAATACTGAGATTTTAGGTATGAGTCACTGCATCCGGCCAAAATGCATATTCTTTTTACCATATCAAGTTGCCTAGTCAAATGAACATTTCACTAAAAATATTCTAGAATCTAACTGAAACTAGTTACTAGCTAGATCAGTCATTGGAGGACCTCCCAATGGGGCGATTTCTTGCTAATCCTACAAGTAGGCTGGGCAACACCAATTTAACGCCTTTGCCAGCTTCAGTCTCACCCACAGCAAAGTTACATGGGCCTGATGACCACTGGCATGAGGAGGAAAGTCCATCAAGTCCTCAATACATTTTTTTTTCTTTTTGAGACAGAATCTCACCCTTCTCCAGGCTGGAGTGCAGTGGCACAATCACAGCTCCCTTCAGCCTCGACCACCTGGGCTCAAGTAATCCTCCTACCTCAGCCTCCCCAGTAACTGGGACCACAAGCAAATGCCACGGGGCTAAATTTTTTTTTTTTTTTTTTTTTTTTTTGGAGATGGAGTTTCGCTCTTGTCGCCCAGGCTGGAGTGCAATGGCACGATCTTGGCTCACTGCAACCTCCGCCTCCTGGGTTCAAGTGATTCTCCTGCCTCAGCCTCCTGAGTAGCTGGGATTACAGGCGCACACCACCATGCCTGGGTGATTTTTGTATTTTTAGTAGAGATGAGGTTTCACCGTGTTCGCCAGGCTGGTCTTGAACTCCTGACCTCAGGTGATCCACCCACCTCAGCCTCCCAAAGTGCTGGGATTACAGCGTGAGCCACCGTACCTGGCCAAATGTTTAATTTTATGTAGACACAGGGTCTTCCTATGTTGTCCTGGCTGATCTTGAACTCCTGGGCTCAAGTGATGCTCCTGTTTCAGCCTTTCAAAGTGCTGGGATTACAGGCATGAGCCACTGTGCCGGGTCAAGTCCTCAATACTTAAGTCCACCTTTAGCCATTCCTTGCATACTCTGAAGGTGGTGCTGACTGTTACACAAACTCCCATCTCAGTCCCTGTCCTCATGGGTGTCAGAGAGCGGGGTTCCTCGCAGAACAATAATAATTATGGTGCCAACTATTACCTGCAGCCTAACCCCTCCAATCCACTGAGCACAGTGCTAGGCACATGACATATGCTATGTCTAATCTTTTTTTTTTTTTTTTTTTTTTGAGACTCAGTCTCGCTCTGTCACTGAGGCTGGAGTACAGTGGCATGATCTCAACTCACAGCAACCTCTGCCTCCCGGGTTCAAGCGAGTCTCCTGCTCAGCCTCCCAAGTAGCTGGGAGAAACGTGCCACCACATCCAGCTAATTTTTTGTATTTTTAGTAGAGACTGTTTCGCCTTGTTGGCAAGGCTGGTCTCAAACTCCTGACCTCAAGTGATCCACCTGTCTCAACCTCCCAAAGTGCTGAGATTACAGGAGTGAGCCACCGCACCTGGCCCCTGGCTGGTTTTTGTATTTTTAGTAGAGACTAGGTTTCACCATGTTGGCCAGACTGGTCCCAAACTCCTGACCTCAGGTGATCCACCCACCTCAGCCTCCCAAAGTGCTGGGATTACAGGTGTGAGCCACCACACCCGGCCTGTTGTGTTTAATCTTTCCCTCTGTTTTGTGAAGAATATACTATCCCCATGCTGCAGAGAATAAACCTGGGCCTGGGAAAAGCAGTGTGACTCACCCTGGGAGGCACCAACGGAGCAGCACAGAGCCTGGGTTCAAGCTCACCTGTGCTGGCCCCCAAAGCCTGTTCTCCCTCCTCCACCCCGCCCTGCCTCGCAGTGACAGAAACCAAAGGACACTAAGGCATCCCTGTGTGGCTCATTCGGGCTGCCCCAGAGACCCCTAAGAAGACCCTCAGGAGGTCCCTGAAGCCCCTTCAGAGGGGAAACCACTATAGGAGTCAGGGGAGCTCCAGGGTTGTCATCCACCTAATTAAAGCAAGTACCCAGCCAGTAATGGACCAAAGATGGTTCACAGAGAGCACATTCCTGCCAGCCCATCCCAGTGGCTCCTAGCACCCTGCTCAGCCCCACACCTTTGACCCACCCTCCAACAGGCAGCCATGGACCGGGGGAGTGGTGGGATCAACACTATGACCTTGGCATTTGTTATCTCTGGCCCAGGTAACAGCAGCATGAGGATGACCCTCATCATGTGAGTGTCTCTGTCATGTTTGTGGACATCTGGGTGTGTCTCAAGGACAGGCAGAGTGGGGCAGGGGACTGCAGGAGTTCCAGCTCGAATGAGCCACAGGCCCATGTTATCTCTCTGAGCCTAATCCTCCTCAACTCTCCATTAAGGGTGTGCCTGATCCTCTCTGAAGACCCTCAGGGCAAAATGATTTTGCATTCCATTCCCTGGATTTTAGTCCTAACCAATAGTGGCTATACCATGCTTCTAGATGAGAACCAGAGTTGGACTTTATAATTCACACATTTACCACATCCAGCTGATGTCTACTAGGTGCTGCTGTGGGCCTGATGTGGGAACAGCTACAGGAATCCCTTGGAGAAGCATAAGACAGCACTTGATAACCCGGGTTATCAGGCCCCCGAGGGTCTGCAGCTGGGAGATAAGCACACTGTGTCTGGTTGAGCTGACTGATTGACGTCTGTCTTCTCCAACCTAGACCCAAGTTCCATTCCAGGTGGGCTGACATTCAGTTCCCACTGCCTGCTGCAGTGCCTGGCACACAGGAGGCAAAATAATAGACCAACACTGCAAGCCTAGAGAAGGACTTTTATTTTATTTTATTTTATGTATTTATTTTTATTTTATTTTATTTTTTGGGACAGAGTCTCTCTCTGTCACCCAGGCTGGAGTGCAATGGCGCGATCTCAGCTCACTGCAACCTCTGCCTCCTTGGTCCAAGTGATTCTCCTGCCTCAGCCTTCCAAGTAGCTGGCACTAAAGGCACACACCACCACCCCCAGATAATTAAGAAGGACATTATTTTTACATGAATACAAACATGGATATCTCTGGAGTACAAGTCCAATTTCACATGCATTTTTAAGATGAAACTTTAGGGCAAATTGCCTAAGTGGGTACGTTTGTAGAACAAGGTTATTCGTCTGGGAGAGCTTATGGGACACCAGCACCAGACCAGGCCAACAGAGAAAAAGGGGCCCACCCCACGCCCATTATCTCCCTGCTGGGCGCCCCTTTGGCCAGCCCGTCTGCTTCCTATAGGCATATCGGGAACCATGGAAGCCACAAGAAGATGGGGTGTTCAGGCCCACATGACCCCACCAGCAGTACTGCCCTGACCCCCTCCGTTGAGCTAAGCAAGGTTGCAATTTCTTAAGAAGCTTTTCTAGAGAAGTGAAATTAAAAAGAGAGAGAACAGCTGGCCCCAGAACTCTAACCAGTGAAGGAACTATCTTTAGCGTAGAGAGACTTGGTTGGGGAAGATGACATCTTGTGGGACGAAAGTCAGCTCTGAGCCTGCAGATCATGAGGGAGGCTGTTCTTGGGGGAACAGGGAAGAAATGAGTTGTTTTGCCACTGAAAGGAATGGAGAGAAATCTGAGAATGAGGGCGAAAGGGAACCAAAAAGATGGGAAGTTCAGAGTGAAATGAAATCTAGCCTGGAAGGGTCACCAAAGAACGTTAACTGAAAGGCAATGCCTGTGTTCTGGATGCATTTCTACCAAGTAAATCTCTCCTCTATCTCTTGGTCACCCCCTCCTCATCCTCATTGCCTACCCCTAAGCCTCCAGAAAAGTCTAAACTCACTATGATTCCAGTGTACATAGAAATCAAGCAAGAGGCTGAATTTTATAGCCGGATCAAGCATGCCCAAGAGACAAACATGCAGAAAGAGTCCTCTTAGAGACAAGACATCAAAGCATGAATGAAAGACAACCACAGCCTCCTCCACCAGCACTTCCTTCTTTGCCTGGAGGCTTGCAAACATCTTAGGGACAGGTTTAAGCCATCAGAAACCATGAAAACGGAAGGTTTTTGTCCATTTTACCTAGATCTAAAAGGAGGAGAGGCCACAAATGGAAATCTAAAGCCCATCCGTGAAAAGAAAAAAGAATAAAAGGGATAAATGAACAGAGCACAATAGTTCTGTCTGAATTAACTCAGGACTGTCTGAGACACACAGACCCTGGTTCACTTCCTGCCCCGGTCTTGAGCTAATGCGCTGATTCATCATGAAGGCTTGGGCAAAGCTCAGTCTCCACCCTTGGCTCCAGATTTGCATCTGGCCCAGTAGTACCACAGCCACTCTGATGGCAGGCCCGGCCACGCTCCCACCCGGCCTCTGTATGCCAGCTCCCCCTCTGTTGGCAGGAGGCTCCATTCTCTGACAGGCTTACTCGCCTGCAACCCCTAACCCCAGTCAATCTTCCAGGAAGCTCCTGTTCCAGTTCCAGTTCTTCTTCTTCTTCTTTTTTTTTTTTTTTTGAGACGTTGTCTCACTCTGTCACTCAGGCTGGAGTGCAGTGGCGCAATCTCAGATCACTGCAACCTCTGCCTCCCGGGTTCAAGCGATTCTCCTGCCTCAGCCTCCCTGACTAGCTGAGATTCCAGGCACCTGCCACCGTGCCCAGCCTGATATTTTTGTATTTTTGGTGGAGACGGCGTTTCACCATGTTGGCCAGGCTGGTCTCGAACTCCTGACCTCAGGTGATCTGCCTGCCTTGGCCTCCCATGGGATTACAGGAGTGAGCCACCGCACCCGGCCCGGTTCCAGTTCTGAAGGACACTTCCAGTGGAAAGGCAGTCAACTTGAGCTCTCGTTAAGCCAGCTGACCTGAGACTGAAGATGTACCCTGCCCCTATGGAATGTTCAAGCCCTTCCCAGCTATTGTTGCAAAATTTCACCAGCTTCCCACATGTTCCCGGGTGACTAATCCACCACTTCCCCCCATACACACAAACAAGATGGCTAACAAAAGAAAAATGTCTTCTGTGTCTAGTCACAGACACATCTGCCAATTAAGTCCTCTTGCCCACACAGAGCCCTAAATAAATAAACAAGGGTCATATGCTCAGGCAGGTAAACATCTGGGAAAACAAATTATTTCATGCCTCAACATGGATTTCCAAACTCCAAAGACACCCTCAACCAAAGCAAAATTCACAAATAATAAAAACACTTCTTTAAAGATGAGGACATTTTTGAAAATGATTTCATGGCCATCTACAGCGAGCATGCCAATGATAATGAAATCCATAAAGCCCTTAGACCTTCTCCATGGATGATCTCCCTGGTATCTAAGTAAGTCAGAGCAGGTCAGGTGTGGTGGCCCACACCTGTAATCCCAGCACTTTGGGAGTCCGAGGCAGGAGGATTGCTCGAGCCCAGAAGATTGAGACCAGCCTGGACAACATGGCAAAAACCCATCTCTACAGAAAAATACAAAAATTAGCCAGGTGGCCAGGCATGGTGGCTCACACCTGTAATCCCAGCACTTTGAGAGGCTGAGGCTGGTGGACCTCATGAGGTCAGGAGTTCGAGACCAGCCTGGGCAACATGGGAAAACCACATCTCTACTAAAAATACAAAAAATTAGCCGGGTGTGGCCGTGCACACCTGTAATCCCAGCTACTCGGGAGGCTGAGGCAGGATAATCCTTTGAACCCGGGAAGCAGAGGCAGCAGTGAGCTGAGATCACGCCACTGCACTTCAGCCTGAGCAACAGAGCAAGACTTCATCTCAAAAAAAAAATAAAAAAAATTAGCTAGGTGTGGTGGCACACAATTATAGTCCTAGCTACTTGGGAGGCTGAGGTGAGAGGACTGCTTGAGCCCAGGAGGCTGGGTCTACAGTGAGCCATGATTGCACCACTGCACTCCAGCCTGGGTAACCTGGTGAGATCCTGTCTCAAAAAAAAAAAATTAATTAAATAAATAGGCTGGGTGTGGTGTCTCACACCTGTAATCCCAGCACTTTGGGAGGCTGAGGCTGGCAGATCACTTGCAGTCAGGAGTTCGAGACCAGCCTGGACAACATGGTGAATCCCCATCTCTACTAAAAATACAAAAATTAGCTAGGTGTGGTGGCATGCACCTGTAGTCCCAGCTACTCGGGAGGCTGAGGCAAAAGAATTGCTTGAAGCCAGGTGGTGGAGGTTGCAGTTAGCTGAGATCGCACCACTGCACTCCAGCCTGGGTGACAGAGCGAGACTCCATCTCAAAAAATAAACAAACAAATAAATAAGTCAGAGTAACAATGATGCATGGAAATGGGAGTGGTTTACTGTCCACCTTTACTCCACCTACAAAAGGAGTCTCATTCAGAAGCTTTTTCTGCTGGCCTGTGGTACTGAAATGTCTCTTCTGTTTGGGTTTTTTTTCTGAGACGGAGTTTTGCTTTTTCACCCAGGCTGGAGCGCAATCTCGGCTCACTGAAATCTCCGCCCCCGGGCTCAAGCAATTCTCCTGCCTCAGCTTCTCAAGTAGCTGCGATTACAGGCACCTGTCACCACACCTGGCTAATTTTTTTGTATTTTTAGTAGAGCGAGGGTTTCGCCATGTTGGCCAGACTGCTCTTGAACTCCTGACCTCAGGTGATCCACCCACCTTGGCCTCCCAAAGTGCTGCGATTATAGGCATTAGCCACCACACCTGGTCTGTCTCTTCCATTTGGACCACGGACTGGACCAAAAATGATTGAGAAATCCAATTGTTTCCTCTTCTTGTCCACAGAAACTGAACTGATAAGTTTGCCAGGTGGACATTCAGTGTCCACCGTTGACAGCACAGATCTATTTTTCACAGACAGCGAAGTCAAATTTACTACCTAGGATAAAACACTCCAAAATATTCCGTGAAACGCCAAGGTATAGGATCTGAAGTAGATGCCTCATTTTTCTGTGACTCAGATTTCTTCGCAAACTTCCCAGCAGCTTTGGGGTGGGCCCAGGGGGCCACACTGCACTCAAGGTGGTAACTGTGATCTCCGCAAAGAGACAGGAAAAGTGCTGGACTGAGTCAGGAGGCTGAGCTGTGTAAGTGCCATGTGACCTTGGCAAATCTCCCAGCCTCTCTTCGGTTTTCTCATCTGTGAAATGCCTACCCCACAGCTTGCTGAGAAGCTAAAAGTAGAAACAGTTATGAAGATGAGAATGCATTGTAAACTGCAAGGAGTTGTAGGAGCGCAGGTGGTTTGCAGGGCTGGGTGGTAGCTAAGGTGAACTGAGCTTGCTCTCACTGAGTACCAGGGGTACTAACTCCCTCATCTCACAACAGCCTTGTGACACCAGCCCATCGTCACAACCCTTCTGCAGATGAGGAAGGCCCCAGGGAGTTTAAGGAACTTCCCCCAAGGAACCATCGGGGAGGTGGTAGTACCAGGATCATACACCTGTGGCTCAGATAAGCTGGAGCCCACCAAACCGTATTTTTTTCCCTGGGAATGCAGCTTAACCACATTCCCCAACTCTGTGACATTCAAATAGTTGTCATCAATGGAGCACATATCCTGCTCGCAGGCTGGGACAGTTTTCAAGACAGGAGGGTTTTTCCCATTCTCTCCCTCCCCTGGAGCAGGGACCCTGGCATCCATGTGTAGGAGATGGTGGTGCATCCCAAAGCAGCCCGAGTCCCTCAGGAACCTCAGAGTGCAGCATCTCCCCCCTTACGAACCCTCACGGTCTTCAACCTGAATAAGAAATTAACCATTGTTGGGTGGGCTTGTTTATTATAGCAGCTTGCATTATTACCCTGATGAATACATCTCCAGTCCCCAAGAGTCCTTCTTAACAGGGACTACTGAACCCTCTTCTGACTACAGCTACAGGCAGCAAAGAGGTACTACCATTTAGGATGGCTTAACAGCGTAAAGGTAGAAATTTAGTATCAGCCAGGCAGCCAGACCAGAATTATATGTGAAACCAATGAAGATTCTTGGCTGCAGTATAAAAGAATGAATGAATGCTACCTCTAATTATAAATCAGGAAACAACACAGAGTTTTCTTTTTGTTTTTTGGAGACAAGGTCTCTGTTGCCCAGGCTGGAATGCAGTGGCACAGTCTTGGCTCACTGCAGCCTCCAGCTCTCAGGCTCAAGCGATCCTACCAAGTAGCTGGGACCACAGGCATGCACCATCATGCCCAGCTAATTTTTGTGCTTTTTGTAAAGACGGGCTTCACCATGTTGCCCAGGCTGGTCTCGAACTCCTGGGCTCCAGCGATCCTCCTGCCTCGGCCTCCTAAAAATGCTGGGATTACAGGCATGAGCCACCATGCTTGGCCAACACAAAGATTTTTAAATGAATATAGGAAGGATCACTTGCTATTGCACTTACGTTCAAGGAAATTTATTGTGATTACTAATACATATGGCACCAAACCTAGGTGGCTTATAGCAAAGTTTCCCTTTAACTTCCAGTTTGCAGTGCCTGTCACAGGCCAGGTTCTCAGCTAGCATTTGTGGAGGGATGACTGGCCTTGCCCCTCCTCGTTTTGTGCTCACTACCTTGTTGACATAAAAAATGTTCTCAAGATCAGGCGTGGTAGCTCATGCCTGTAATCCCCGCACTTTGGGAGGCCAAAGGCGGGAGAATTGCTTGAGGTTAGGAGTTTGAGACCAGCCTGGGCAATACAGCAAGATCCCATCTCTACAAAAAATAAATATTAGCTGGGCATGGTGGCATGCACCTGTAGCCCCAGCTAATTGGGAGGCGTAGGCAAGAGGATTGTTTGAGCATGAGAGGTTGAGGCTGCAGTGAGCTGTGATCAGGCCACTGCACTCCAGCTCCAGCCTGGGAAACACAGCGAGACTCTGTCTTAAAAAAAAAAAAAAAAAAGAAACAGAATGTTCTCACCCCGTTTTTCTCCAGAGTTTCCAAACAGCCTGCCTCTGAAGCAGCCCTCTTCTCAAGCATAGTATTATGGGCTGAATTAGGCCCCCAAAAGTTTGTATGTTGAAACCCTAACCCCTAGTACCTCAGAATGTGACTGTATTCAAGGTCTGGGTGTGGTGGCTCATGCCTGTAATCCCAGCATTTTGGGAGGGCAAGGCGGGCACACTGCTTGAGCCCAGGAATTTGAGTCCAACCTGGACAACATGGCAAGACCCAGTATCTGTAAAAATAAAATAAAAAACAACAGCCAGGCATGGTTGTATGCGTCTGTGATCCCAGGTAGTCCAGAGGCTGAGGTGGGAGGATTGCTTGAGCCCGGGAGGTGAAGGTTGCCGTGAGCCAAGATCCTGCCACTGCACTCCAGCCTGGGTGACAGAGCGAGACCCTGTCTCAAACTTTTTTTTTAATTAAATAAATGAAAAATAAAAATAAATAAAACTACAAGGGCAACTGAAACCCCAAGTGAGATAATACATTTGCTCTTCATGGAAGAGGACAAGTGAGTAAACCCTGCTCTTCTGTGGTGGGGAGGCCATAGTTAGAATTGAAGGGGCCCCACCAGAAACAGAAATGGTGGGAAGTGGTGGCCTCTGGAGGCAAAGCTTTGGGGGCTGTGGACATCTGCTGAGACCCTGGCTGCAGACATGGCTTCCCTTCCGAGGGAGTTCATGTGAAAGTCGAGGCCCCCACCGGTATTAGAGGAGCAGCCATCTCTTTTGCTCGCAGTTAAACAAGTGCTCTCGCAGTAGGATAAGCCACAAAGGAGACACTGTAGGAGAATAAAGAGGAATCCTTCTGGAAGCCAATAGAAAAAAAAAAAAAACAATGTGGTCAGCCCTCATAAGGCTAGAACCAGAAACTTAGTTCTCTGAAGCCAAGGCACTGTAATTTCCCTCCCTCTGATGACAGTCACACCACAGAAAGGGAGCTGTCGGGAGGAAGAAGAAGGAGCCCAGAGGCACGGCTCATACCTCCCTGCTGGAAGGAGGGGTAAAGGGCACGAAAGTCCTTTGAGAAGAGAGGAAGGAGAAATAGAAATGAATAAGACAGCACCCTACACCAACCAACTTAGAGTTTAGATAGGAATGGAGACATATTTCTGAAAATACTGGAAACAATCACAGCCAAATAAGAAATCCAGTTCATTTCAACACTGAATAGTTGGGCACTGTAGCGTATTCAAGGATAATTTTTAAAAATTAAAAAGTTAAATCAGGCTGGGCGAGGTGGCTCACACCTGTAATCCTAGCACTTTGAGAGGCGGAGACAGCAGGATCATTTGAGCTCAAGAGCTTGAGATCAGCCTGGGCAACATGGGAAAACACCGTCTCTACAAAAAATACAAAATTAGGCTGGGCCCTGTGGCTCACGCCTGTAATCCCAGCACTTTGGGGGGCCGAGGCAGGTGGATCACGAGGTCAGGAGTTCGAGACCAGCCTGGCCAACATGGTGAAACCCTGTCTCTACTAAAAATACAAAAATTAGGGGAGTGTGGTGGCGGGTGCCTGTAACCCCAGCTACTCAGGAGGCTGAGGCAGAATTGCTTGAACTCGGGAGGCGGAGGTTGCAGTGAGGCGATATCGCACCACTGCACTCCAGCCTGGGCGACAGAGCGAGACTCTGTCTCGGCAAAAAAAAAAAATTCATATTAGCCCCCAGAGAAACCCCACACCCTTTAGCTGTCACCTACCTAACCTCCCATGTGGATTTCACGGAATCATACAATACTGAGTCCTTTGGACCTGGCTGATTTTACTTAGTAAACGTTTTCAAGGTTTATCGATGTTGTAGCATGTGTGACTACTTCATTCCTTTTTACGACTGAATAAAACTCCATTTGGTGGATTTATGACAGTTTGTTTATTCGTGCAATGGTTTTTAATGGATGGACATTTGAGTTGTTTTCACCTTTTGGTTACTGTAAATAATGCTGCTATAAACATCTGGTGTAAGTTTATACATACGTTATTAACTTTTGTTTTAGAGTTGGGGTCTCACTATGTTCCCCAGGCTGGTCTTGAACTCCTAGGCTTAAGTAATCCACCCACCTCTGCCTCCCAAAGTGCTGGGATTACAGGCGTGAGCCCACTGTGCCCGGCGGATTTTTGTGAGGACGTATGTTTTCACCTCTTTCAGGTGTTAACTTAGGCCTCTTTTACGGATGTTCAACAAGCAAACAGCTTTTACACACGTGAGTCAAGGCCTCTCTGTAAGTTCTGAGAGCTGTTCCCCAGGCCCTGAACCCTGACCCCCAAATCTAGCAGGTTAAGCCAAAATTCTCCTCAACTTCAAGGCCTACTTCATTCATTATGCATCCACTCAACTCACATTTCTCTATCCTCTGCTATGGGCCAGACACCCTGCAATGAGCTGGGATGAAGCAGGGGAACACCGCAGGTAAAAATGCTTGCCTGGGTGGGGCTTAAGATCCAGTGAGGGCAGGAAGGAACATATACAAGTAAATATGCTGTATGTTCCTTTCTCCATGAAGCTTTCCTGGATGTTCCAGGAAGGGACGAATTCTACTCTGGTAGTAATATATTTCTTTTCTTGTCTTTTGAGGAGTCTTGCCCATGTTGGAGTGCAATGGCGTGATCTCGGCTCACTACAACCTCTGACTCCCTGGTTCAAGGGATCCTCCTGCCTCAGCGCTCGAGTAGCTGGGATTACAGGCCCGCAATGCCACACCCAGCTAATTTTTGTATTTTTAGTAGAGACGGGGTTTCACCATGTTGGCCAGGCTGGTCTTGAACTTCCAACGTCGTGATCCGCCTGCCTTGGCCTCCCAAAGTGCTGGGATTACAGGCGTGAGCCACTGCGCCTGGCCTATTTCTTTTTTTCTTTTCTTTTCTTTTGAGATGGAATCTTGCCCGGGTTGGAGTGCAATGGCGTGATTTTGGCTCACCGCAACCTCCACCTCCCGGGCTCAAGCGATTCTCCTGCCTCAGCCTCTCAAGTAGCTGGGATTACAGGCGCGTGAACCACCACGCCCAGCTAATTTTTGTATTTTTAGTAGAGACTGGGTTTCACCATTTGGGCCAGGCTGGTCTGGAACTCCCGACCTCAGGTGATCTGCCTGCCTCAGCCTCCCAAAGTGCTAGGATTACAGTGGTGAACCACCGCGCCTAGCCTGTTTCTTTTGTTTCAAAAGTGATTTTTACCTCTCAAAAGTGATTTCTATAATGACACTGATGGAAAATTCCATCAAATAGCCATAACGCATGTCAAGCACTCTGCTCTGCATACCTTCTGTCACACTCTAAGGATGAGAGAGGGGAGAGTTATCCTGGTTCTGGCTGTGTCCTCCCCATTTTGGCCATCTTATGAGCTCCTTATAGAGGTCTGAAATGATTTGGAGTCCAGAGTCCATGGCTGTCAGGATATGACTAGGGTGAGCAGGCAGTTGGGACCACCTTGACCTCCAGCCTCCTGGTCCTCAGTTCCTCGGGTATCCCACTCTGCTGGGGGCTTAGTGACCATGTTTGGGCTCCAGAGATTATTTTTTCCTTCCACTCCTATCCTTAGTTTGTTACTAACCAGGCGGGAGTACAGGCATGTCTCTGAAGACAGGCTCAGGGCTGTGTGACAGCTGACGACCAGGCTGCAGGGAACCAGGTCCCATGCAGTCCTACTGCCTTTTTTTTTTTTTTTTTTTTTTTTTTTTGAGGCGGAGTCTCGCTTTTCGCCCAGGCTGGAGTGCAGTGGCACGATCTCAGCTCACGGGTTCACGCCATTCTCCTGCCTCCGCCTCCCGAGTAGCTGGGACTACAGGCGCCCGCCACCACGCCCGGCTAATTTTTTGTATTTTTACTAGAGACGGGGTTTCACCGTGTTAGCCAGGATAATCTTGATCTCCTGACCTCGTGATCCGCCCGCCTCGGCCTCCCAAAGTGCTGGGATTACAGGCGTGAGCCACTGCACCCGGCTACTGCCTTCTTACTGTCGCCACAGCCTGGATAAAATACGATTCTTCTGAGCCTTTTTTTTTTTTTTAATACAGAGTTTCACTCTTGTTGCCTAGGCTGGAGTGCAATAGTGCGATCTCTGGTCACCGCAACCTCCGCCTCCCGGGTTCAAGCGATTCTCCTGCTTCAGTCTCCCGAGTAGCTGGGATTACTGACACGCGCCACCACGCCCGGCTAGTTTTGTATTTTTAGTAGAGACGGGGTTTCTCCATGTTGGTCAGGATGGTCTCGAACTCCCGACCTCAGGTGACTCACCGGCCTCGGCCTCCCAAAATGCTGGGATTACAGGCGTGAGCCACCGAACCCAGCCCCTCTGAGCCTCTTGAATACAACTGGGGTCATGCCTGCTTTGCAGGTTTGTCTTAAGGATTAAAGCTGTTTGGGGAGTGTCTGGAGGAGGGTGAGTCTTGAGCCAACCCCTGCATCTCCCTTCCAGGGCCTCCCGGTAATAAACCCCAAGTAAATGTGCACTTTGTCCGTCCTCTCGGAGCAGGTCTCCGGGTACTCCTGTGCCAAACCGATTTCCGCCCCCAAGGTCCTTCTCCTCTTAGAAATCCTGACGCAGCTCCTAGGTTCCTTCGCAGTGACAGCCACTCTTTTCTATTTGTACGTAGCTGTAGTGTTTTGTGGGTACGTTCTCTGAACAACAAAGTGGCCCTTCTAAAGGCTGTTCTGTGGGGTCCACAGCCTCGCCACCCCCAGCCTCTGCAGCGGCTTCTGAATGAATGAAATAAGCGACGGCGCCCTCTCCACCACCCCACCCCCGCCAACTCGGCAGGCAGGGATCCCAGGCGCGGGTTCTGGCGGAGGCGGTCCCGCGAGGCGGGGGGACTTTTCTAGGCGGGGTGGGGGCCTTGGGACCACCTTTAGGGGCTTTTTCCCCATCCCCTGGCCCCAATTCGCAGCGTTTCGCCACCCAGGGCCCGCAGGGCTCCAAGCCCTTCTTCCCCAGCCCGCGCGCTCAGGCCCCCGCCCGCCCCCGGCGGTGGCCCCGGACCCCGAGCGGAAGGGGGCGGGGGGTGTGCGGGGCCGGGAAGCGGGGAGCGCGGGCGGCGGAAGGTGGCGGGAGGGGGTGGGGGCTGGGAAGCACCGTGCGCGGGCGGCGGGAGGGCCCGGGCGGGGCTGCGCGGTGGTCACGTGGGGCGGGGCCGGGAGGGTACTTAGGGCCGGGGCTGGCCCAGGCTACGGCGGCTGCAGGGCTCCGGCAACCGCTCCGGCAACGCCAACCGCTCCGCTGCGCGCAGGCTGGGCTGCAGGCTCTCGGCTGCAGCGCTGGGTGAGTGCTGGGGACCCGGGGCCACCGCAGCGTAAGTGACCTTGGCGGGGACGGTGCTACCCGGCCGCCGAGACGGGTTCCTCTGCGCCCTCAGTCGGGCCCAGGCGCGGCCCCGCGGCGTCCCTGGGGGCCGGCGGGGAGCCGGGACCCTCGGGACTGTCCCTGACGGGCGGGCTGGGGTGGGAGTCCGCGCGCTCCGAAGCGTCGGCGAGAAAAGCAGAAAACAGCTCCGCCCGCCAGCCCTCTGCCCTCCGCTCCCCTCCCCGGGCTGTGCGCCGGACCCCGGCCCTCGGAGCGGGGACGCGGCCAGGACCGCCGAGGGAGGCGCCTGCGAGGAAGAGCTCGGCCGGGTCCGGAGACTGCTGCCTGGGACCGCGCTCCCAGCGCCTGGGCCTCGGTGTCTCCGGGCCAAACTGCCGACATAATCGCATCTGCCGGCATCTATTTTCGGTTTATTTCCCCCTCATTGCGAAGGATTTGCCTGGCCAACTTTCTGCGCAAGATCCCACGCAATTCCTGGGACCCCAGAAGACAGGTCCTGTTGAAGAACAGGAATCTGGCACTGGGTGGGCTGGGGAGGAAGCCGCACGGTGTTAAATCCATAAACAGGAAGAGAAACCAGACAGCGAAACCAAGAGGCGAATGGGCGATTGGATGCCGGTGGGGAGAAGGCCGGGGGCGCACCCTGCTCCTGGACTCCAGTAAAGGGAGGCCGGGCAGAGTCCCTGGGGCGCCACCTCCCCCTCGGTTAGTAGCCCTGGAGGCCGGGGGGAGTTGGCCTCTGGGGAGCAGTGGGTGCTGGGTGTGGGGCGTTGCAGGCAGGCTGGGGTGGGCGACCCAGGTGGAAGTGAATTGCACTTGGCTTCCTGGTGGGCCTCTGTCACCCCCTTCCCAGGCGCTGAGAAAGCCAGCAGGCTGGCAAAGAAAAGGACCCTAGCGCAGGCCCCACACTCCTCCTCCTAACGGACGAGAGACCCCCCAAACCCACTGGAGAAGTGACGCTGTGGGGTTCAAATGCAGACCTGGCACCTTTTTGTAGCCTGGAAAAACATTCCCACTGCCTGCTGCCGGAGGAGAGGATAGCTGAGATGCACTCTCTTTGAATCCAAACGTTCAGGAACGTAAGGCGAAGAGGCCTAAGAGGGCGTTGGCTGGCTCTGTCTCTCAGGCTGGAGCACAGTGGCGCGATCTCGGCTCACTACAACTTCCGCCTCCCAAATTCAAGCTATTCTCCTGCCTCAGCCTCCCGAGTAGCTGGGATTACAGGTGCCCGCCACCACGCCCAGCTAATTTTTGTATTTTTAGTAGAGATGGGGTTTCACCATGTTGACCAGGCAGATCTTGACCTCCTGACCTCAGGTGATCCGCCTGTCTCGGCCTCCCGGTGAGTCACGGTGCCTGGCCAAGAACTGTTTCTTGTTGGCTCTGGTGCTGGTGACTTAGAACCCGCCAGCTCCTGGAGAAAGGGGCTGGGCCGCCCACCCTGTGTAGCTTTCCCAAAGACAGAGTCAAACGTCTCCTGGAGAACAGAGGCTTCCCTTCGTCTTTGGTCATTTGTCCTCTAGCTGGGGGTACCCCCTGGTGGAAAGGCACAGGTCCCTTGCTCCCCAGGTGGCAACGCAGGCCAGACACGGCCCTGGCACAGCTCTCCTGGGTGTTGGCTCAGGACAGCCCTGTTTCCAACTGGTTAGGCGGTGAGGGGTGGTGGCCCTTTGGTTCCAGGTTGAAACTGCCCATGTGGTGCTGATTTAGCAGACTGGGGAGGCTCTTTTTGTAGGCAGGTTCTTTTCTTTCCCCAGCTGCTGGACCTGGGAGTTGGAAGAGAAGTTGCACCCATTTTAGGGGTAACAGATATTTTCTGTTGCTCTTGGTTGGATTGGGAAGTGAATTGAAGGGAGGTCACGTTTCAGGGGTGCCTTGGGATGTCTGTCAGTGATTTTCTTTTCTTTCTTAATTTCTTTTTCTTTCTTTTTTTTTTTTTTTTGAGACACACTCCCTCTATCGCTCAGGCTGGAGTGCAGTGGTGCGATCTCGGTTCACTGCCACCTCCGCCTCTCATGTTGAAGCAATTCTCCTGTCTCAGCCTCCCTCCCAAGTAGCTGGGATTGCCAGTGCCCATCACCACACCTGGCTTTTTTTTTTTTTTTTGTATTTTTAGTAGAGACGGGCTTTCACCATGTTAGCCAGGCTGGTTTTCGAACTCCTGATCTCAAGTGATCCGCCTCAGCCTCCCAAAGTGGTAGGATTACAGGCATGAGCCACCGCGCGGTGGAGGGGTAATTTTCTTAAATCTGGTAATGAGTTGTGGTTGTGTAGAGTAACATACCGTCCTTTCGAGATATGGACTGAAACATTGAGAGGGAGGAGTTACAGGTATGCCGATTCTTCTTTTCTCTCTCTCCTTTTTTTTTTTGAGGTGGAGTCTGACTCTCTCACCCAGGCTGGAGTGCAGTGGCAAGATCTCAGCTCACTGCAACCTCCGCTTCCTGTGTTCAAGCCATTCTCCTGCCTCAGTCTCTCAACTAGCTGCGATTACAGGCATGTGCCTCCACACTCAGCTAATTTTTTTATTTTTAGTAGAGATTTTTTGTCTCTCCTAAAAAAATCCAATGTAAAAAAATCCCAATGTGGGGGTTTTGCCACGTTGGCCAGGCTGGTCTCGAACTCCTGACCTCGTGATCCGCCCACCTCGGCCTCCCAAAGCGCTGGGATTACAGGTATGAGCCACTGCGCCCAGTCTGCTGCCTCTTTTCAATGGTCTGGCCTAAGGAAATTATTGGAAACATGTGCGGTTGAGTGATATTTACTGGGCACTTCCACATGGTCCATGTAAAGGGAGATGGTTGGGGTGACAGGCAGTTGAGTCTAGGGGAGGCATGTACAGATGTGCTGTGCCTCTGGGATATCAGGGTGGCAGGCAGCAGTCTCTACGTCTGGTCCCAGGCTGCCTGAGAAAGAGCATGTGGGAGGCAAACCTTGCGCCCTGGCATGGTTGTTAATGTTTATATTTACCCTAGCTTGTGTGGGGTAGGAGGTTTAGGGATCAAATTCCACTCTGTGTTTAGACATTTTTTTCTTTCTTTTTTTTTTTGAGACAGTTTCACTCTGTCACCCAGGCTGGAATGCCGTGGCACAATCTCAGCTCACTGCAACCTCACCTCCCAGGTTCAAGCAATGTTCCTGCCTCAGCCTCCGGAGTAGCTGGGATTAGAGGCATGCACCACCATGCCTGGCTAATTTTTGTATTTTTAGTAGAGACCTCAAATGATCTGCCCGCCTCGCCTCCCAAAGTGTTGGGATTACAGGTGTGAGTCACTGTGCCCAGCCATGTGTTTAGACTTTTAACTAATCTCTTTTTTAGTTTCAAGCCTTATCGTCCGCCTCTGTAGACCACTCCTGTGCCTGTTTCCTGATCCTTCCAAGGGCCATTGTATTCCCTGTCTGCTGCCCCTCTTTTGGATTCTTCTGCACATTTTTTTGTTCATGCATTCATTCATTTATTGTTTGATTAATGACAGGGTCTTGCTTTGTCTCCCAGGCTGGTGTGCAGTGGTGCGACCACGGCTCACGGCAGCCTCAGCCACCCAGATGTAAGCGATCTGGTTCCCACCTCAGCCTCCCGAGTAGTAAGTAGCTGGGACCACAGGCGGTGCCCAGGTTTTTTTTTTTTTTTTTTTTTTTTTTTCGTTTGTAGAGACAGGGTCTCACTGTTGCCAGGACTGCTCTGAAACTCCTGGTTTCAAGTGATCCCCTTGCCTCCTCCCACTTAGGCCTTCCAAATGCTGGGATTACAAGGCATGAGTCACCTCCAGGCCTTTTTGTACTTTTAAAACTCTGCATCAGTGTATAAACAATGTTATTAAAGTTTATATGACTTCAGTTACACTACATGGATCCTTTTTCACTCACGGTTGTGAGATTTATTTCTGTTGCTACATCCAGTTCTAGTCCATTTGTGTTAAGTGCCCAGTGTGTTTATCTACTGAGGGACAGTTATGTTATTTCGTGTTCACTATTATCCCATGCTACAATAAATATCCTGTGTCTCCCAGATACTTAGAAGAGTTTCTGCAGGGCACATGTGGGAGAGTTTGTTTCTGGGTCATGAGGTGTGTTCATCTTCCATCTTGCTAGATGCTGGCAAAGGGTTCTCCAGTGTGGTTGCATCAATTTACTCGCCCAGCAGTGTGCAGAGTTCCTGTTCCTCACATTTACCAACACTAGATAGTACCAGACTTTGATTTTTGCCAATCTGATGGGTTTGAAGTGGTACCCCTGTTTTAATTTCATGACCAGAAATTCAAATTTAATCTTTGCTGTAGGACAACAGTAACCCACTTATGCCTAGTGTTCCATTATTAGAACGCTAAGCATGTGGGAGTTTTTACATCATACTGCTCAAGGTCATCGCCAAGGTCTGATGTTTTTACTCGTGCAAAAATTTAAAAAATTGCAACCTCTGGCATAAATGGGTTGAGTGACACTTTTCCTGTTTTTATTGTTGGTCAGTGATGGCATATTTGCTGGTTTTTTTTGTTTTTTTTTTGAAACGGAGTCTCACTGTGTCGCCAGGCTGGAGTGCAGTGGTGTAATCTCGGCTCACTGTAACCTCCGCCTCCCGGGTTCAAGTGATTCTCCTGCCTCAGCCCCCTGAGTAGCTGGGATTACAGGCGTGTGCCACCACGCCCAGCTAATTTTTGTATTTTTAGTAGAGACGGGATGTCACTATGTTTGTCGGGCTGGTGTTGAACTCCTGAGCTCATGATCTGCCTGTCTTGGCTTCCCTAAGTGCTGAGATTACAGGCCTGAGCCACCGCTAGCCTATTTATTTTTTATTTTAAATTTTAATTTTCTATATAGAGACGAGGTCACTATCCTGCCCAGGCTGGTCTTAATCTCCTGGGTTCAGTCAATCTTCCCACCTTGGCCTCCCGAAGTGTCAGAATTATAGATGTGAGCCACTGTGCTCAGCCCAGAACTGATGTTTTCTAAATGCTGGGTGCTGAGAAGGATGTGTGGCTGGCAGTCTTGACTGTGTTATCTGTCTTTACCAGGCCAGTAACTTCTTTGGTCTGGTCATCAAGATAATCTAGCATCACCAGCAAGCATGCATGGAGAAGGATGGGCCCAATGTGGCCAAGATGGTAACGGGACCAGTAGAGAGCCCTGTAGAAGACATCTAGATATTCTGCCCTAAGAGCCCGGAGGGCCGGGCTGTCTCATGACCCTCTGACGTGCTGACCTGGACTCTGGCAGAATGTGCACACACACAGTCACACAGCTTCCTGGCTTGCGCAAGTCCCAGGAGGGCGGTGCCAGCCACAGGCTTTTCCCATTCGAGGGTTGGAAGCGTATCATCAAACCACATCAGAGTGCTGGGGGCCACCTGCCACCCATTCCCAACCCACTCAGCCTTCCTGGTGTTTGGGACATGCTTTGCTTTGGCAGTCAAGACAGCAGAACAAATCAACTTTTAAGGCCTTGTCACTGATAGTACAATTTCCATTATTTTTCATCCAAATTAGGATACTTCTGAAAATAGAAATGATGACTCTGGGATGCAAACGTTGGCTGTCCTATGTATAAGGAGATGGCTTTTCACGCTCCCAGTGACTGAGGAAGTTTCTCCCAGATGGCGCTGCTCTGAGCCTGGTGCAGGGTAGGCACTTTCAAAAGAGTGTCTCCTTGTATCTTCCATCAGCCTTGCGAGATGGGTATCTGTTCCCAGGGCCCCAAGGGAGGAAAACAGGACCTAGCTGGATCCAAGAGCTAGGCCTTTCTTTTTTTTTTTTTTTTTTGAGATGGAGTCTGACTCTGTCGCCCAGGCTGGAGTGCAGTGGCGTGATCTCGGCTCACTGCAAACTCCGCCTCCCGGGTTCACGCCATTCTCCTGCCTCAGCCTCCCGAGTAGCTGGGACTACAGGCGCCTGCCACCATGCCTGGCTATTTTTTTGTATTTTTAGTAGAAACGGGGTTTCACCGTGTTATCCAGGATGGTCTCGATCTCCTGACCTCGTGATTCGCCCACCTCAGCCTCCCAAAGTACTGGGATTACAGGCGTGAGCCAGCATGCCCGGCCCAGAGCTAGGCCTTTCTGTGGCTGGCCTTCGCGTCAGCCTCAACTACCCTGGTGTAATCTCGCCTGCGGTTGAATTAGGGAACCGCCGTGTTCTGCAAGCTGGAGAGGCAGAACACTAATGAGCAGAACACTAATCTCATTGCAATCTCAAAGGATCTCTAAAAGCTTTTATAAAGCAGGCCCAAGGTCCTTTGGTATCCGATGCAGACGTGGTGAATGCATTGGCTCTGTCAGCATCTGAGCAAGTCAGTAACAGAAATGGGGAGTAAAAGCTTTCAGAACTTTCCAGAATATTGACTAAATTGTCTTGTTTACAACCAACAACGACAACAAAAAATAACTGCTGAGGGCCTTCGTAGTGTCTGCTGTTTCAAGTGTACAGTAGTCATTTTGTCTGCAGGATGTGGGGTTGCTGTGGCTGACCTTGTACAATATTCCACTCATAGGTGTCTTCAGGCCTATGGAGAGCAGCTTGCGTGGGCTGGGCCTGCAGTACCTGGTTTGCATAGATGATTGGCAGGTGGGCAGCACGGGGAAGGACCTGTGAGTGGCCAACCTGGTTCAGGTGAGGGAGGTGGAGTGGGGCTTCTCTGCTTCCCCTGGTTCCCTGGAAGCCTCCAAGGCTGGTGAGCATCACTGCTGCCTCTGCACACCTGTGTGCTGGGTGGGTTTTCTGACAGGTTTTCAGTTGCTTCGGGGCTACAGCTGCAGGGAGCCTGCTCCATGGGACAGATGGGCCTCTGGTGCCCGTTCATCAGGGGACTGATGAGACCGAGGCCTGAGAGCCCTTTGGATTTTGTTTTTGTCCTTAATTTAATCATAAGCCAAGAATCTACTAAACACAGTTCCATTAGGGGCAAAGACGTAACACATCAGAGGCCACAGCAAGGCTGTGATTCATACTCAAAAAGGAAAGGTCTCTGGGTCACAACAGAGCATAGTTGAGGTCAGCACACTCCCACCCAGTGCAGGGCTGCTCCAGCATTGAGGTGTGTCTGGCAGGTTGAAGTAGGGGAAGATGAAACTCGCCGAAGTCTTGTTTTGTGGTTGCACTTAAGTGGTCAAAACTTCAGGAGCAACTGCCGTTATTAGCGGTGAGTGCCAAGACTAGTTTTTATAGAAGAGAAAGAAACAAAGTACTCTGGGAAGGTCTTACTGAGCCTTCACAGTCTCCCCACCTTTCCACTGTTCCCGTGCTCTTAGCCGCTCTGCTGGCCTATAAGGCACAGTCTTCATTTGTGGCTTCTGGCAAAATGTAAGCACTTGACTTTTGTTTTTGTTTTGTTTTGTTTTGTTTTTTTGAGACGGAGTTTCCCTCTTGTTGCCCAAGGTGGAGTGCAATGGTGCGATCTCAGCCCACTGCAGCCTCCACCTCCTGGGTTCAAGCAATTGTCCTGCTTCAGCCTCCCGAGTAGTTGGGATTATAGGTGCACAACCACCACGCCTGGCTAATTTTTTGTATTTTTAGTAGAAATGGGATTTCACCATGTTAGCCAGGCTGGTCTCGAACTCCTGACCTCAGGTGATCCACCTCCTTGGCCTCCCAAAGTGCTGGGATTACAGGTGTGTGCCACTGTGCCCGGCCAACTTTCAATTCTTTAGAGCTGACTATGAGAGGAGCCAGCAGTATAGCCACAGCACCAACGAATGAGGAAGAGCAAAATACTGCATGACAGCTTTGCTAAGAATTCTTTCACTTTTTTTGTCTATCAGCCAGGAGCTAGCAACTTGGCTTATTTGGAAATTTTAAGTGTACATATCCTGTCTCCTTAAATCCTTTACAGATTTAAAGTGCAGTCTACCTGAGGGCTCTGTGACCATGTAAGAAAGCTTTTTCTTTCTTTTTTTTTCTCTGAGACAGAGTGTTGCTCTGTCGCCCAGGCTGGAGTGCAGTGGTGTGATCTTGGCTCACTGCAACCTCTGCCTCCTGGGTTCAAGCAATTTTCCTGCCTCAGCTTCCTGAGTAGCTGGGACTACAGGCAGCACCACCATGCCCGGCTGAGTTTTGTATTTTTAGTAGAGACAGGGTTTCACCATGTTGGCCAGGCTGGTCTTGAACTCCTGACCTCGTGATCCGCCTGCCTCAGCCTCCCAAAGTGCTGGGATTACATGCGTGAGCCATTGTGTCCGGCCTTTTTTTTTTTTTTTTTTTTGAGACAGAGTCTCGCTCTGTTGCCCAGGCTGGAGTGCAGTGGTGTGACCTCAGCTTACTGCAACCTCCGCTTCCTGGATTCAAGTGATTCTCCTGCCTCAGCCTCCCAAGTAGGTGGGATTACAGGCACCCACCACCGTGCCTGGCTAATTTTTGTATTTTTAGTAGAGACAGGAGTTTCACCTTGTTTAGTAGAGACAGGCTGGTCTCGAACTCCTGACCTCAGGTGATCCGCCTGCCTTGACCTCCCAAAGCGCTGGGATTACAGGCATGAGCCACTGTGCCTGGCCAGAAAGCCTTCTTTATTGAGCTTGGTGGCAGCCCAAAACTGATTGTTTAAGGGTGTCAGGACTTAACACCTCCTGTGACTTAGCCGCACCTCCTCTCCTTTGACTTTCATTCCACCTCCTTCCAGGATCGCAAGGTCCCTATTTGTCCTGGAAACGGCTTCAAGGTAGTCTAGGGTGCCGTTTGCCGGGGGAGGAAGGTGCTCTGGTTGATAGAGTCGCCTGGCCGCACACTCTTTTTGGCACATAACAACGTTCTACAGAGCCGGGGTGGAGCGTGCTTTCTCATAAGTGCTCTGCAGGTTTGGAGAGAGAGGATATGAGGAGCACCCTTTTCTGTTTTTTTTAACCCAAAGATTAGCTTGGAAAAGGGGCAGAGGGGTGCACTGGAACTCAGGTCTGCCTAAGCAGCACAGCAGACCAAGGTCTAGAGATGACATCTGCTCGCAGCTGTTCTTCCACCAGCCCGCATCCTGGAAAGGGGTCTTGTGGCACACAAGAGTTCACATCCTTCCCTCGTGAAATAAGGACTTTGTGTTCATCATCTCTTGTAAGAAGCAGAGCAGAAAGCACAGAATTAAGAAATAAAAGGGAAGTGGGTGCCTATATAAAGGGAAGTGAAAATGGGTTGCTGTCCCATGCAAAGACCCTGGAAAGCTGTTAACAGCTCAGCTTGTCACTTTCACCATCTGCATTTGTCCAGAGTGATTGAGATTTGCGTTGTTGTGGAGAGAAAGGCGCCTGTTGCACAATGGAGTGAGATTGCCACTGCTGTCAGGACCTCTGTGTTTGGCTTGACACTTTTTGAGTTCTCAGCAGTCTCGGGACCCTCAAGAGTGGAAGCATTTTTGGATGTTAAATGCTGGGGTTAATTGAAGTTAAGAGCTTGTTTTACTGGGCATGGTGGCTCACACCTATAATCCCGACACTTTGGGAGGCCAAGGCGGGCAGATCACTTGAGTCCAGGAGTTTGAGACCAGCCTGGGCAACATAGCAAAACCCCATCTCTACAAAAAATACAAAGCTGGGCGTAGTGGTGTATGCCTGTAGTCCCAGCTCCTTAGGAGGCTGAGGGGAGCAGATCTCTTGAGCCCAGGAGGCAGAGTTTGCAGTGAGCCATGATCGTGCCACTGCACTCCAGCCTGGGCAACAGAGTGAGATCCTGTCTTAAAACAAACAAAAAAAACAAACTTGTTTTCATTTAGACTCTTCCTGGCGTTGGGGACCTATTGGAATAGGTTTAGTGTGAACTGAGAGCTAGAAGTGTTAGAGGAGAGAGGGAGGGAACAGAGCCCGCTGGAGCGAGTGCCCTTCCTACCTTATCACTGCATGCCAGGCATGTGCCGGCGCTTTGGTCCTCCTCATTTCATTCTTGACTGCCACCTGAGACACGATGGTTACTAGCTCCATTTTATAGGTGGTGAAACTGAGGCTTGGGGAAGGTCAGACCCCAAGGGTGCCATTTAGTCAGTGGCAGAGCCAGATCCAAATGCAGGTCTCCTGACTCCAAGTGCAGGGCTCATTTTATCGTCCGGTTGCAGCACGCTGGCGGCCCCTTGAGCCCCAACCTGGATACCATAGGGGAGGAGCAGAGAAGCCAGGAACACCACAGCCCTGGGCCAAGGTGCGGGGCTGAAAGAACTTCCCAGCGCTCAGCCTGGGACTAGTGGAATGGGCTGGGCCCTGGGGCTGGCAGCGGTGGCCCCGGGGAGCCTGGGAATGAGTAGGGAGCACAGGGAGGTGTGGGAGGGCCTGGGAACCATGAAAAGGAGGGCGGGTGCAGGGAAGTCGCCTGCTAGTGAAGTGGCGAGGGGGCCCTGTGGGACTCCAGGGAATGGCCACGGCAGGTTGTCCTCCAGGAGTTGAGAGCCACTGGACATGGCAGCTGCCTGTGTTCTCAGCCACCACAGTAACCAAAGAAATCTTGGTTTTAAAATTCAAGTTGCCATGGAAACGCTCCCATCCTCGACTTGGCTTATTATTTAAAATAACATCTCTACAGCACAAAGCCCCCGGGTACATCCAAGGACACTGCTGTCTGCCCACGAGCCATGCTAACCTCACAGTGTGGAGGCTGTGTGGGTCACTGACATGCATGGCCACGTGAGACGCTGCCTACCCACGAGTCACGGAAAAGGGGAAGATTATTAAGAAAGTCACTAGGGGCCAGGTCCAGTGGCTCATGCCTGTAATCCTAGCACTTTGGGAAGCTGAGGCAGTTAGATCCCTTGAAGCCAGGAGTTCAAGACCAGCCTGGCCAACATAACGAAACACGGACTATACTACAAAAATTAGCCAAACGTGGTAGCACAGGCCTGTAATCCCAGCTACTCAGGAGGCTGAGGCACAAGAATCACTTGAACCTGGGAGGTAGAGGTTTCAGTGAGCCAAGATTGCGCCACTGTACTCCAGCATGTGCCACAGAGCGAGACTCCCATCTCAAAGTCACTAGGGAGGAAGCCTCATTGGTGGGAAGGAAGACCAAATTGGAAATGCTCTGAGGAATCATTAAAACAAATGTCCTTTTATCAGTTTGGTGGCTCAGGGCCTTTAGTAATACTGCCAACCATTTTTCCTAGAAGAAACAAAACTGAAATAATAGGAACATACTCACTTTTTTTTTTTTCTTAAAAGTAAGGGTATGTTGTGAAAAAAAGTCTCCCCACCGTAGTGACCGACTGCCGTACATCTTCCTTGGCATTTTGCATGTAGTGGCAGGAGTGTTCCTACATGTGTAGATTGCTGAGAGGGTCAGATGCTTATGGTCCTCAGTCACCCACAGCTTGCTTTTTCCCCACTTAACATTGGGACTTGGGGCATTTTTACTCTGTTAATACAATAGAATTCACTTCAACTAGTTGGTTTTTTACTTTTATTTTATTATTATTATTTTTAGATGAAGTCTCAATCTGTCGTCCAGGCTGGAGTGCAGCCTCTGCCTCCTGGGTTCAAGTGATTCTACTGCCTCAGCCTCCCAAGTAGCTGGGATTACAGGCATGCGCCACCACGCCTGGCTAATTTTTTGTATTTAGTAGATACAGGGTTTCACCACCTTAGTCAGGCTGGTCTCTAACTCCTGACCTCAGGTGATCCAACCGCCTCGGCTACAGGCATGCGCCACCGTGCCCCACCAACTAATTGCTTTTTTAATGGTTGCTTCATATTCTATTTAACCACTTACCGTAATTTAACAGTTACTCTGTTATTGGATACTTGATTCATTTCCAGGACATGCAGATTTAGAAACTGGTGGGCGTTGCTGGTTGATGTCTCGGTGGTTGTGCCCACCCACCCCAGGCACTCATTATCATGCCTTCCGTTTCCCCACTTCCTAAGCCCTGCAAGAAGTGCCAAACTGTCCAGCCCTTGCCAATCTGATACATGCTGAATACCTCCTTGATTTTATCTGCACCTCCCTGAGGTTGAACTTATTTTACTTTATTTTATTTTATTTTTGAGGCAGAGTCTCACTGTCACCCAGGCAGGAATGCAGTGGTGAAATCTTGGCTCACTGCAATCTCCACCTCCTGGGTTCAAGTGAGTTGAAGCAATTCTCCTGTCTCAGCCTCCCAAGTAGCTGCGATTACAGGCACCTGCCACCACACCTGGGTAATTTTTGTATTTTTAGTGGAGACGGGGTTTCACCATGTTGGCCAGGCTGGTCTCAAACTCCTGACCTCAGGCGATCCACCTGCCTCAGCCTCCCAAAGTGCTGAGATTACAAGCTTGAGCCACCATGCCGGTTGAACTTATTTTTATCTGTGTTGGCCATTTGTAGTTTTTCTATTATGCTGGTTCCATTTTTCTGACTTTGAAGAGCCTTTTGTGGAAACGAAGCCTAAAGTATATGTGAGTACTGCTTTGTTTCGTCAGTTTTTGTTTTAAAGAGACTTTTCAGTGTAATGCAAGCATTTTCCCTTGAAGGCTGTGTTTCCTGTCAATCCTAAGCTTTCCTCCAGCATTACCTTTTTAAAAAACTTTATTTTCTATATTGATGGGGTCTCACAATGTTGTCCAGGCTGGTGTTGAACACCTGGCCTCAAGTGATCCACTTGCCTTGGCCTCCCAAAGTACTGGGATTATAGGCATCAGCCACCGCACCCAGCCTGTTTTTCAAAGGGCATTGATTTTTTTCATAAAACTTTTTAAATTAAGATCTGTGGGCCTGGTGCGGTGCCTCACGCCTGTCATCGCAGCACTTTGGGAGGCTGAGTCAGGTGGATCACGAGGTCAGGCGTTCGAGACCAGCCTGGCCAAAATGGTGAAACCCTGTCTTTACTAAAAATATGAAAATTAGCTGGGCATGATGGCACATGCCTGTAATCCCGCTGCTCGGGAAGCTGAGGTAGGAAAATAGCTTGAACCCAGGAGGCAGAGGTTGCAGTGAGCCGAGATCATGCCATTGCACTCCAGCCTGGGGGACAGAGTAAGACTCCGTCTCAAAAAAACAAAACAATTCTGTGTTGCATGTGGTACTTTTTGTGTGTGAGGAGTCCAGTGTGAAGATTCAGACTTCAGGCAGCCACTTGTACAAGCACTGTCCTGTTGCCTCTCTGGCCTCACCTAGGTAACGCTGATTCCTCCACGGAGGATGTGCTTCTGAGTGGTCCGTTGGGTGCTGTGCTGATGAGCATCACCCAGCATTTTACGACACATGTGCTGCCCCAGAGGGCTGGGCTCCCGTCAGAGCTCTTTTCCACTGGCTGGGTGCGGTGGCTCACACCTGTAATCCCAGCACTTTGGGAGGCTGAGGCCAGTGGATCACCTGAGGTCAGGAGTTCGAGACCAGCCTGGCTAACATGGTAAAACCCCATCTCTACTAAAAATACAGAAATTAGGTGCGTGTGGTGGCGCACACCTGTAATCCCAGCTACTTGGGAGGCTAAGACACAAGAATTGTTTGAACCTGGGAGGTGGAGGCTGCAGTGAGCCAAGATTGTGCCACTGTACCCCAGACTGGGTGACATGGCCCACAGACCAAGACCCTGTCTCAAAAAAAAAAAAAAAGCTTTTTTCCAGAGCCATCTTGCTGTCCTCATATATTTATTCTCCTAGATGAATTGTTGCTTAAGCAACAATGAAGTTTAAATTGTTCTTCAGATAGAACCCCTAGGTGCCAGGCAGTTTGTTAAGCACTGACACCGCAGTCCTGTGACTTTCATGACGACCTGTGACCTGTGGGAGGTAGAACACCTCACCCACCCGTGGGAGCCCCTGGAGTGACTGACAGGAACCCCTGCCTCACCCAGCTCCCCGCGCCGCGGCTCTCCCCAGCCCTGGATGCAGGCGCCCAGGAGACATGTATTGCTTTTGTTGAGCTGCTCACTTAGGAGGGTGACTCAGAGTTCAAGCTGGAAAGCACTGGCTTGTGACTCATGAGCCAGTGCAAGATCAAACGGCTGGGGCATCGAGGTGAGAGTTTTCCTTCTCAGAAGCCTCATCTCCGCAGCCGGAAGCAGAGCCCTTGGCTGACTGGAAAAACCAGAGAGGCCCCGGGAGTGGGTGGATGGCCAGCCCAGCCCCACCTCTCAGCCTCAACCTCCACCAGCCCACACCGAGCTTGTTTGTCTGTGTCCTGTCGAAACTAGGACTCCTGGATTGTAACTTTTCTTACATTTCCCTGTCCCCTGGGTCCTCCACTTAGGGTGTAATCACACAGACAGGCTCTTAACTGTTTCATATCACTCACTTGGGAAAGTGTCTCAAGCTGTTCTACAAATCCATGCAAAGGCCGTTTAAAAATAGCAGCGAAGGCCCTGGACTCGGTCTCGTCCAGCACAGCCCCTTGGCTCTCTCTCTGGGCTCTGGCCGCCTGGCCCCCGGGGACCCACACGAGGTCATGGCGTGCTGCGGGCAGTGGGGCGGGGATCCCATAGACACCTCAGCTCCTTAGAGTTCTCCGCCTGGGCCAGGACGAGCATGGGGGTCCCCACTGATGCCCGAGACGGTGCCCCTGTGTGTGTGAGCCCTCGACCCACATAACAGAGAGGTGTCCTGATGCCCTCTGTCCTCTCCAGGTGGATCTAGGATCCGGCTTCCAACATGTGGCAGCTCTGGGCCTCCCTCTGCTGCCTGCTGGTGTTGGCCAATGCCCGGAGCAGGCCCTCTTTCCATCCCCTGTCGGATGAGCTGGTCAACTATGTCAACAAACGGAATACCACGTGGCAGGTAGGCTGTGGGGCTGCGTCCTATGTATGTCCCCTCCCAGGTCGGTCTGTGCACACTGACTCCAGGAATGGGAAGCCAGCCCTCACTGTGGCCCACAGAACATTGTCCTGGACTGTTGAAAAATGGCCCTGACCCTGAGTCATGTCGGCTCTGGACCACGCCTCCCTCCTTTGTCCCATACCCCACGTGTGTGCATGAGTGTGTGTGCTTGTGTATGAATATATGGTTGTGTGCACGTGGAGGTGTGTGGGGGAGTAAGTGAGCTTCGGAAGTGTTCAAAACCAGCTAGCCCCTGTGACGCCCGCCGTGGCACAGTGGCAGTTTATCAGTCCCGCCCCTGATTCCCTTTGTCTCTGCCCAGCCCTGACCCTCGGACTGAGAACCAAGAATGAGGAGTGAGCCATGTTGAGGGCTGGAGAGGGTCTCTGATTGTCAGCAAATGGGAGCAGATCAGGGGAGACACCCACTTTGCCCGTGTGTCACTCTGGGCTGTTCCCCAGTGCCCCCCAACCCTTGGGCCCTTGAATTGGGTAGGGCCTCTGGTTTTCCCTGGGTTGGGCTTCGTGTGTGGGCAGCGTGCCCATCCACCGCCATCCCGGGAGACCCTTCAGTCAGTGGGTGACTCTCTTCCAGGCCGGGCACAACTTCTACAACGTGGACATGAGCTACTTGAAGAGGCTATGTGGTACCTTCCTGGGTGGGCCCAAGCCACCCCAGAGGTGAGTGCCTGCTCCTCTGCACCGCTGTAATGTGAGTGGCAGGCGTTGGTTTGGGGCAGTGGGAAGTGGGAGAGTGAAGGCCTCTCTGGCGTCCGCAGGGCTCATGCTGCCCAGGGCTGCCGACACCGCTTGAGGTACAGTACTTGTTTCTTTTCATTTTTGTATTACTTTCTTTTTTTATTTTATTTTTTCCTTCTCAAGTTATTAGTAGAGAAGATGCTGGTGCTTTTTTTTGGTTTTTGAGAGAGTCTCACTCTGTCACCCAGGCTGGAGTGCAGTGGCACGATCTTGGCTCACTGCAAACTCTGTCTCCCGGGTTCAAGCGATTCTCATGCCACAGCCTCCTGAGTAGCTGGGGCCACAGGCTTGCACCACCGTGCACGGCTAATATTTGTATTTTTAGTAGAGACTGGGTTTCGCCATACTGGCCAGGCTCGTCTCGAACTCTTGGCCTCAGCAAGTCATCTGCCCAACTCGGCATCCCAGAGTGCTGGGATTACCGGCATGAGCCACCCCCAGTGTTTTCTATTGTGCTTCTCCAAGGTGTCTCAGCCGCAGATGTGACAGACAAGGTCTGGGTCCCCACTATGTGGGCAGACTCAATCTTGAGTAATTTAAGGGAAATCTAAGAAAAGCCAGATGAGGCCAAGTATGGTGGCTCACGCCTGTAATCCCAGCACTTTGGGATGCCAAGGCAAGCGGATCACCTGAGGTCAGGAGTTCGAGACCAGTCTGACCAACATGATGAAACCCCGTCTCTACTAAAAATAAAAAACTTTGCCAGGCGTGGTGGCGGGCGCCTGTAATCCCAGCTACTCGGGAGGCTGAGGCTAGAGAATCGCATGAACCCGGGAGGCAGAGGTTGCGGTGAGCTGAGATGATGCCACTTCCCACGTGAGGATGGGGTAGTTAAGTTGCACGACACTGCCTTCTGCACAATGGGGATGATATGAGAAATGATGAGAGGATCCTGGGCAGAGGTTGAGGCAGGAGAGCAGGGCAAGAAACACTATCTGGACTGAATAAACTTATTTAAAAATGAGTTTATAATTTGTGGATAAATTCATCTTAAAAAATCCATTACATAAGCCTAGAAAGAAGCGTACAATATCGCAAGTCAGGCCAGGTGTGGTGGATCATGCCTGTAATCCCAGCACTTTGGGAGGCCAAGGCAGGCAGATCATTTGAAGCCAGGAGTTTAAGACCAGCCTGGCCAACATGGTGAAACCCTGTCTTTACTAAAAATACAAAAATTAGCCGGGTGTGGTGGTGCATGCCTGTAATCCCACCTACTCAGGAGGCTGAGGCACGAGAATCGCTTGAACTCAGGAGGCAGAGGTTGCAGTGGGCAGAGATCTCGCCACTGCACTCCAGCCTGGATGACACAGTGAAATTCTGTCCACTCCCACCCTCCCGTCCCACCCAAAAAAAAAATCAAAAGGTGCATTGAGCAACAGAATTTCCTTTTGTTTTATGAAATTACCAAGGACACCTGTCTGCAGCCTTCTTCGGCATGTCTTGTGCTCATTTCCTTGTTAGGGGAGTGTGGCCCAGCCAAAGTGGCCTTTGCAGGGATTGGGGAGGGAGTTGTGGGATCAGAGCTTGTAATGAAGACCTTCCTTTATCCAGAGTTATGTTTACCGAGGACCTGAAGCTGCCTGCAAGCTTCGATGCACGGGAACAATGGCCACAGTGTCCCACCATCAAAGAGATCAGAGACCAGGGCTCCTGTGGCTCCTGCTGGGTAAGGCCCTGCTGGCTGGCGGGGAAGCGCTGGAGAGAAAGTGGGAGCAACACTGGAGAGTCTTGGGGGATTCGGGGTGGGGACAACTCTGACAAGGCAAGTTATAGAAACTTTCTGAGTCCCAGTTTCCATCAGTACAAAAATCACAATCCCTCTGGCCATGAATGATGGCGAGGATTAGGTGGAGTGGCGGGCAGAGCATCCAGCAGATTGCAAGTCCACGTGTACAGGTGGCGAAGCAGCTCCCTTTCCCTGACATGCTGGCCCGTCCGCAAATACCAGGAGCTCTCACTGCTACTCTGCTTCAAGAAAGCATCCCTTTAGTGTCAGTGAGCTGTCTTAATTTTGTCATTTAATTGTGGTAAAATACACGTAACAGAAATGTAATAATCTTAGCAATCTTCTTTTGTTTTCTTTTTCTTTTTTTTTTTTTTTTTTTTTTTTTTGGAGATGGAGTCTTGCTCTGTCACCCAGGCTGGAGTGCAGTGGTGGGATATTGGCTCACTGCAACCTCTGCCTCCTGGGTTCAAGCAATTCTCCTGCCTCAGTCTCCCCAGTAGCTAAGACTACAGGCGTGTGCCACCACGCCCAGCTAATTTTTGTATTTTTAGTAGAGATGGGGTTTTGCCATGTTGGACAGCCTGGTCTCAAACGCCTCACCTGTTGATCTGCCTTCCTCGGCCTCGCAAAATGCTGGGATTACAGGCGTGAGCCACCGTGCCCAGCAACTATTTTCAAGTGTACAGTTCTGTAGCATTAAGTACATTCACAGTGTTGCTCAGCCATCACCACCATCTGTCCCCCGAACTCTTTTTCAGCTCGCAAGACAGAAACTCTGTCCCCATTAACACCAATATTGTAGCCCCTGGTAAGCCCCACTCTACTTTCTGTCTCTATGAATTTGACTCCTAGGGACCTCATACAAGTGGATCACAACAGTATTTATTTTCTGGGTGAGCTGTGTTTTTTGTTAAGAAAAAAACACAGCCAGGTACGGTAGCTCACGCCTGTAATCTCAACACTTTGGGAGGCTGAGGCAGGCGGATCACCTGAGGTCAGGAGTTTGAGACCAACCTGGCCAACATGGTGAAACCCTGTCTCTACTAAAAAGACAAAACTTAGCTGGGCCTGGTGGCAGGCACCTATAATCCCAGCTACTATAGAGGCTGAGGCAGGAGAATTGCTTGAACCCAGGAGGCGCAGGTTGCAGTGAGCTGAGATTGCGCCACTGCATTCCAGCCTGGGCAACAAAAGTGAAACTCTGCCTCCAGGAAAAAAAAAAAAAAAAACCACACACACACATACAAACTAATACTACACATTTTGCAGATTTCAGAAATGAACCGAGTTCCCAGGCAGAGGTTCACGGTGGTGCTTCTCTTGCTTTAAAAGCTGAGTTGGGCAGATGTTGAGGCAGGAGAGTGGGGCAAGTGGCTCATGACGCCTCTAATCCCAGCACTTTGGGAGGCCGAGGTGGGCAAATCACTTGAACCCGGGAGTTCAAGACCAGTCTGGCCAACATAGCAAGACCCCATTTCTACCAAAGAAAATAAAAGCTGAGTTTGAGCCCCAGGAGCGTCCCCTGGTGTTGAGAGATCAGTTGCCTACAAGGTCTGAGGTGCCCCTGTGGCCCTTTGAGGGGACTGCTGCAGAGGGCCCAGCCCGGACATGGCAGCCTCACCCGGTGGGGCTCGTTCCTGCAGGCCTTCGGGGCTGTGGAAGCCATCTCTGACCGGATCTGCATCCACACCAATGCGCACGTCAGCGTGGAGGTGTCGGCGGAGGACCTGCTCACCTGCTGTGGCAGCATGTGTGGGGACGGGTGAGTCAGGCTGTGCTTCCACAGCGGGTTTAGTGCTGAGACACCCTGGGCCCCAGCTTCTCAGTGGAGGGGACTTTGAGGACTTCCTGGGACTGCTGCGAGTCAGAAGTGTTTCGGGGAGACTCCGAGAGTCTGGCAGGCAGGGCCTGGCAAGGCTGCTGCTTCCTGGGAGGTGCCTGAACCAAGGCTGGCCCGGCAGAGCTGTCTGAGGGGTGGCATCCCAGCAAAACAGTCAGTTTCAGAAAATGTGGTGGAATGTCTGGCCCCTGGTCTGGTTTGTGTCATCGCATGTTCCTTTTTCCTGCTTGGGGAACCAGTTTGGGGCGTTTCCTTATGTGTAGTTAGCGGGGATGGCTCCACCTTAACAACAAGGTGGTGGCACAGAACTTTCTGCTCCAGCTGCCTGCAGCCTCGCCTTGGTTCCGCAGTAGCGGTGTTCACTGGCGGCTGCAGATCCGAAATGCCTGAGGGCTTAAAAAAATGCATGGGCTTCTCCCCTAACTAGTTAAATGGGAATCACTGGCGATTCTCATTTCAGAGAACTGGTGGTGTTTTTAAGTACCTTAGGGAAGTTTAGCGTCTGCTCAGTTGAGAATCAGTGTTCTACCCGGAAGGGCACTCGTAGCCTGGTCTGGTATGGACATGAACAGGAGAGCCTCCTGTCTTCTCCCGGATCTTTGTGGGTAGGGGTGGGGCTGGCGGTTATTCCCTGCAAGCTGTGCTTATCTAGGGAGCGTCCCTTGGAGGGTTTGGGGTCTGGGAGGTCTGCTCGCACCACTTGCTGCAGCTGGGGGTGGGTCCACGAGTGGCCTCGGGCACTTGGGTAGCACACAGTGGTCTGGAGAGCTGGTGGTGCTTCTCTCAGAGGTTTTCATTAGAGGCTGTCTTTTCAGCTGTAATGGTGGCTATCCTGCTGAAGCTTGGAACTTCTGGACAAGAAAAGGCCTGGTTTCTGGTGGCCTCTATGAATCCCATGTAGGTAAGTGTGTCCCCTTGGCCACTTTCTGGCCAGATGGATTGTTTGAGCAATTAACCATCATGGCTTTATTTGCCTTTATAAACTGGGGGTTGAGACAGAGGGGCTGCTGAGAGGTGCTAGCCAGGTGTACAGGCCTCTGGCAGGACCTGCCTGGCGTCCATGCTGCAGGCACGAGGCTTGCCTTGCCCCAGGTCTGCCTCGCCCAGCTGGGGCTTCTCCGTGGGGGCTGTAGGTTGACTCCGCTTTCTCCCGGGTCCCATCAGGGTGCAGACCGTACTCCATCCCTCCCTGTGAGCACCACGTCAACGGCTCCCGGCCCCCATGCACGGGGGAGGGAGATACCCCCAAGTGTAGCAAGATCTGTGAGCCTGGCTACAGCCCGACCTACAAACAGGACAAGCACTACGGTAAGGGGCCTGGGGCCTGGCCACGGCGCACGTGGAGGCTGGGGAGCTGCTGCATCCCTCCTCACGCTGCAGCGAAGAGGTCAGGGCTGAGGAGCCTTGGGGTCCCGGAACTCTAGGATAGAGGAGGGGGAGTGATGCCCTCTTGCCAGGAGAAGCAGCACACTCTCCACTTTCTGCCTGTTCCACCCTGAACTCAGCCTCAGCCCTTCCAAACTGGAAGGGACCAAAGCCCTCCTTTTACAAGGGAGTGGCGTGTCCTGGAGTCTTGAGGTATCCTGGCCTCTTCCGGGACCTCGTGCTCATTGCTCCCTTCTCCCATTTCTGAGCTTCCAGCCCCAGCCCTGTCCTTAGTTCTTCAGGGGAGCCTTCCTTGAGCTCCCCTGGCAGGGCAAGTCCCCTTAGATGCAGTCTTCCCCTGGAGGCCACCAGAAATCAGTGACTGGCTGACCGTGGCGTGCCACGAGGCACTGTCACTGCCCTCCCCAACCCCGAGCTCGGTTCATTTTCCAGGATACAATTCCTACAGCGTCTCCAATAGCGAGAAGGACATCATGGCCGAGATCTACAAAAACGGCCCCGTGGAGGGAGCTTTCTCTGTGTATTCGGACTTCCTGCTCTACAAGTCAGGTGCGTGCTGATGGCTGATGGCAATAGAGGGTGGGGGTCGGGAGGGGAGCCTGGGTGCCAGGATGGTTCATGTTGACCAATAGGGCTGGATTGGGCAGGCAGGGGAGGGGCTGGGGAAGAGGGCTGTGTGGGGCCTTCCATATAGGCTCACTCCTCTGTGGACCAGCCTGGCACCTGACTGTCTTTGTCCAGGTGTTGTGCCAACACACAGAATTCCAGAGGCCTCTCCCAGAGCCTCTGGGCTAGTTCCTTCCCATCCATTGGAGTCCAGCTCATACATGTTCTCTGTGGGAACGCCCCCCTCCCTGGTGGCTGGCCACGCCTGCCCTCGCCTTCCTGGCTTTGCATTGCTTTACCAGCATGTTTCTGTTATAATGGCAGGCCGTTCGTGTTTGCACTGGCTGACACATTTTCTTCATCTTTCTCTTTGCAAAGGCCTAGATCGTGCCTCACACCAGTGGATGAACACACAGGGAGGACCTTGCCCTGGGTAGTGCCATAGGGACTCCAACCAAGGAATCTGGACAGTCCCCATCCCCAAGTCCTGTCTTAGAAATCCCTTGCTCCAGATGAACAGTCTTTGCTGACTGCATCTATCCCATTAATATTTTGCTAGATTGGAAACTTGTAAAACAACAGTTTGACAAAGGAAGATGATTCTGGCAAGAAAAAGTTTCTGTGAAGATGGCACTTCTTAGCATAGTCCTCGCCCTTATTATTAAAAGATGCATTTCCACTTTGACAGTGATTTCCCCACCCGAGAGCCTGGTTGGGCAGCCCTGAGCCCCTTAGCCAGTATCTTTCCCATCAGCTAGCATTAGCTGCCACCAGTCCTCCCTTCTCCTCCCTCACCTCTTCAGGGTGTACCTGGAGCAGCTATTAAAACTCTTTAAGCCGTGTAGCACTTTTGACAAACCCTTACTTACATGGAATCCCAGTATAAAGAACAGATGAATCAGTCATCTAGCATTAAATGTTTTATCAATTAGAATGTATTAGAAATTCTATTTTTAAAGCCAACAAGCACATTTTGTAGGCATCTATTTCAATATTTACTCAACAAATTTGAGTGTGTTGGGCCTTCAAAAATATATTTAATTCCCCAGTATTGTGGGACCCCCCCTGGAGCCTCCTGGTGGAACAGCAGGTTCCCTCTGGAAGCTGTTTCTCCTTCCCGGAGCATGACCAGCTGAGTGTGGGGGGTGCTGTGGGGCGTGGGACAGTGGCCCGGTCTCGGTCTCAGCCAGTTCTTCCCTTTTCAGGAGTGTACCAACACGTCACCGGAGAGATGATGGGTGGCCATGCCATCCGCATCCTGGGCTGGGGAGTGGAGAATGGCACACCCTACTGGCTGGTTGCCAACTCCTGGAACACTGACTGGGGTGACAATGGTGAGTGGCTGCCCCCTTCCTGCCAAGAACAGTGAATTGTGAGCCACACCCCGTGGCCATCTCGGCTTTCTCTGTTCTACCCACCGCACAGCCTTAAACCCTGGACCTACGGCCAGGCTGTCAGCTCCTCCTAAGTGCCAGGCAGTCAGGAGTTCCCTTTTGCTGTGAGGGCAGACTCTGAGCAGCTTCAGAGCCAACGCCTGCAACAGTTCCCACAGCATCGCGCCAGATCCTGTGATGGGAAGGGTGACCGGGCAGGGGGCTTGCCCGTGGAGGTGTGCCCCACGGCTCCAGAAGCCTTGTGGTGTTGAGGACTGTGCTAGTGGGCCCACAGCAGGAGTGGCCAGGGATGAGTGACTTAAGGTCTTTTAAGGATGAGTCTGACTATATTGGTTGACCCTTGTCACACTTTAAAAGCACCTTACTTTTTATTCCCAGGCTTCTTTAAAATACTCAGAGGACAGGATCACTGTGGAATCGAATCAGAAGTGGTGGCTGGAATTCCACGCACCGATCAGTACTGGGAAAAGATCTAATCTGCCGTGGGCCTGTCGTGCCAGTCCTGGGGGCGAGATGGGGGTAGAAATGCATTTTATTCTTTAAGTTCACGTAAGATACAAGTTTCAGACAGGGTCTGAAGGACTGGATTGGCCAAACATCAGACCTGTCTTCCAAGGAGACCAAGTCCTGGCTACATCCCAGCCTGTGGTTACAGTGCAGACAGGCCATGTGAGCCACCGCTGCCAGCACAGAGCGTCCTTCCCCCTGTAGACTAGTGCCGTAGGGAGTACCTGTTGCCCCAGCTGACTGTGGCCCCCTCCGTGATCCATCCATCTCCAGGGAGCAAGACAGAGACCCAGGAATGGAAAGCGGAGTTCCTAACAGGATGAAAGTTCCCCCATCAGTTCCCCCAGTACCTCCAAGCAAGTAGCTTTCCACATTTGTCACAGAAATCAGAGGAGAGATGGTGTTGGGAGCCCTTTGGAGAACGCCAGTCTCCCAGGCCCCCTGCATCTATCGAGTTTGCAATGTCACAACCTCTCTGATCTTGTGCTCAGCATGATTCTTTAATAGAAGTTTTATTTTTTCGTGCACTCTGCTAATCATGTGGGTGAGCCAGTGGAACAGCGGGAGACCTGTGCTAGTTTTACAGATTGCCTCCTTATGACGCGGCTCAAAAGGAAACCAAGTGGTCAGGAGTTGTTTCTGACCCACTGATCTCTACTACCACAAGGAGAATAGTTTAGGAGAAACCAGCTTTTACTGTTTTTGAAAAATTACAGCTTCACCCTGTCAAGTTAACAAGGAATGCCTGTGCCAATAAAAGGTTTCTCCAACTTGAAGTCTACTCTGATGGGATCTCAGATCCTTTGTCACTGCCTATAGACTTGTAGCTGCTGTCTCTCTTTGTCCCTGCAGAGAATCACGTCCTGGAACTGCATGTTCTTGCGACTCTTGGGACTTCATCTTAACTTCTCGCTGCCCCAGCCATGTTTTCAACCATGGCATCCCTCCCCCAATTAGTTCCCTGTCATCCTCGTCAACCTTCTCTGTAAGTGCCTGGTAAGCTTGCCCTTGCTTAAGAACTCAAAACATAGCTGTGCTCTATTTTTTTGTTGTTGTTGTGACTGACAGAGTGAGATTCCGTCTCCCAGGCTGGAGTGCAGTGGCGCCTTCTCAGCTCACTGCAACCTGCAGCCTCCTAGATTCAAGCGATTCTCCTGCTTCAGCCTTCCGAGTAGCTGGGATGACAGGCACTCACCAATATGCCTGGGTAATTTTTGTATTTTTAAGTACATACAGGATTTCACCATGTTGGCCAGGCTAGTTTCAAACTCCCGGCCTCAGGTGGTCTGCCTGCCTCAGCCTCCCAAAGTGTTGGGATTACAGGTGTGAGCCACTGGGCCCTGCCTGTACTTTTTATCAGCCACAAATCCAGCAACAAGCTGAGGATTCAGCTCATAAAACAGGTTTGGTGTCTTGGTGATCTCACATAACCAAGATGCTACCCCGTGGGGAACCACATCCCCCTGGATGCCCTCCAGCCTTGGTTTGGGCTGGAGTCAGGGCCTGTATACAGTATTTTGAATTTGTATGCCACTGGTTTGCATTGCTGGTCAGGAACTCTAGTGCTTTGCATAGCCCTGGTTTAGAAACATGTTATAGCAGTTCTTGGTATAGAGCAAACTAGAAGAACCAGCAATCATTCCACTGTCCTGCCAAGGTACACCTCAGTACTCCCCTTCCCAACTGAAGTGGTATGAGGCTAGCTCTTTCCAAAAGCATTCAAGTTTGGCTTCTGATGTGACTCAGAATTTAGGAACCAGATGCTAGATCAAATAAGCTCTGAAAATCTGAGGAACATTGTAGGAAAGGTTTGTTAAGCATCTCTTAAGTGCCATGATGAGCATAACAGCCGGCCGTGGTGGCTCACGCCTGTAATCCCAGCACTTTGGGAGGCCAAGGTGGGAGGATGACAAGGTCAGGAGTTCAAGACCAGCCTGGCCAACATGCTGAAACCTCACCTCTACTAAAAATACAAAAATTAGCTGGGCATGGTGGCACATGCCTGTAATCCCAGCTACTTGGGAGGCTGAGGCAGGAGAATCGCTTGAACCCGGGAGGCGGAGGTTGCAGTGAGCCAAGACAGTGCCAGTGCACTCCAGCCTCGGTGACAGCGCAAGGCTCCGTCTCAATAATTAAAAAAAAAAAAAAAAAAAAAAGGCCGGGCGCAGTGGCTCAAGCCTGTAATCCCAGCACTTTGGGAGGCTGAGGCGGGCAGATCACCTGAGGTCAGGAGTTTTGAGATCAGCCTTGGCAACACGGTGAAACCCCATCTCTACTAAAAATACAAAATTAGCCAAGCATGCTGGCACATGCCTGTAATCCCAGCTACTCGGGAGGCTGAGGTACGAGAATCGCTTGAACCTGGGAGGCAGAGGATGCAGTGAGCCGAGATCACGCCATTGCACTCCAGCCTGGGGGACAAGAGTGAATCTGTGTCTCACCAAAAAAAAAAAGAAAAAGAAAGATGCTTAACAAAGGTTACCATAAGCCACAAATTCATAACCACTTATCCTTCCAGTTTCAAGTAGAATATATTCATAACCTCAATAAAGTTCTCCCTGCTCCCAAACTGAGTTGATTCATTCCATGCGCACTGTCTCCCTCACCTCCATCATATACGCACCTGCAGCTCCTTGCCTGCTTCTAGCATGGAGCCAGCGGGGATGTGCTGGTGAGTGACAAGGAATTGTGGGGCATGTCGACATCAGCTTAAGGCTTTGTTAGAAACACCTGCCTTGCAGTGTTTGTGACTGGGAAAGAGCTCAGTGTTTTAATACACCTCAGATCACCACATTGATCATAACTTTGTCACCTCAGTTCAATAGTTTCTCCTGGATTCTTGTCCAAGTGAGATGACAGGTGGACGTAACAATGCCTTTTCAGTCTTTACCTAGACTCTCCAGAGAATCACTCCAGAATAGAAATTAGAGTATAGGTAGGCAGTCCAACCTCTGCATTTAAAAAAAAAATTTTTGAGATGGGAGTCTCTCTCTGTCACCCAGGCTGGAGTGCAGTGGCATGATCTTGGCTCACTGCAGCCTCCGCCTCCTGGGTTCAAGGGATTCTCCTGCCTCAGCCTCCCGAGTAGCTGGGATTACAGGCACCTGCCACCACACCTGGCCTAATGTTTATATTTTTAGTAGAGATAGAGTTTCACCATGTTGGCCAGGCTGGTCTTGAACTCCTGACTTCAAGTGATCCACCTGCCTTGGCCTCCCAAAGTGCTAGGATTATAGGCGTGAGCCACTGTGCCCGGCTGCCACTCTTTTTAAAGAAAGCAGTAATTTGCCCTCTTTTATTGTGCTTCAGCCATACTGAAGTGGTCCACAGACCAGGAGCACGGCCGTCACCTGAGAGCCTGTTAGAAATGCTCATCAGAGTGTCAGAGGGCCAGACCTCTGAACCAGCATTTGCATCTCCCAAGACCCCAGGTAGTTTCCCAGGTACATTCAAGCTCACAATACCTTTCCAGCTGCTCCCTGATTAGAAAACTGCATGAGAATTTAGGAATGCAACCTCTTGGGCACCCCATCAGACCTACTGTATCAGTCTCTGTTCCCAGCAATCAGGCAATTCTGATATAAAGTCTGAGAACCACAGCCTTAGAACTGTTTCCAAAACTGCCAAGAATAACCTAGAATGTTTGTTAACATGCCTGACTCGCCCTCTTCCTCCTATACACACCCGAGCCCCTGGGAAATGGCTCAGTAGATGGAAGAAGGGGCCCTCCCTGCACTTGCCCACAGGGATCCGGAAGTTCCCATATGCAGATATAAAGCTCTTGCTCCCAAGCATTCTAATTGTTTATGGTCCTAGATTCACATGGGTCAGAGGCTCCTCTGAGGAAAACAAAACATTGCACCATTAGGTCGGATCCAAATAGACTGTATGCCAGAGATGCTATAAAATTATATTAGAAGTGGGGAGTAGAGGGTAGTGTTGCCAGAGTTACCAAACAGAAATACAAGATGGCCAACTACTTCTGAATTTTCAGTTATGCAAGTTTGTTTGTTTTTTGAGACAGAGTCTCACTCTGTCGCCCAGGCTGGAGTGCAATGGCGTGATCTTGGCTCACCACAACCTCTGCCTCAACCTCTTGAGCTCAAGGGATCCTCCTGCCTCAGCCCCAACACCCTCCGAGTAGCTGAGACCACAGGTGTGAGCCACCATGCCCAGCATCCCCTATTATATCTGGCAACCTTAGTAGAGAAGATACTTAGAAGGAAAACAAGCTTTCAAAGAGCTTCAGAATGGAATGAGAGCGAATACCTTTCTACAACTCAGTGAGTAGAAAAAAGCACATAGCTTTATAGATAGAAAAAATCTGAGATCACCCAAACCACACAGCTCAGGAAGTGGTCCCACAGGTAATGACCAAGTCAGGAAAGAAGATTTCCGCAGGCCCCACTCAGACCAAATCTCTTTCCAGCAGGTTGTTCTGTCTTAACGTGAACTTTGGCAGAATTAAATCTTAGATTTCAACACACAGATTTTTAACAACCTACCCTGAAATCTCAAACCAAGTTTTGAGGCTTTAATTCCTTGGAAAATACTGTCGAGTCTAGCTCAGTGGTCCCCAAGCTTTTTGGCACCAGGGACCGGTTTCATAAAGACAATTTTCCCAAGGACAGAGGGAGGAAAATGGTTTTGGGATGAAACTGCCACCTCAGATCATCAGGGACTAGATTCTCACAAGGAGCATGCAACCCAGATCCCTCACACGCGCAATCGCACCTATGAGAATCTAACGCCGAGTGGAGCTCACGTGATAATGTTCACTCACCCGCCGCTCACCTCCTGCTGTGATGCCCGGTTCCTAACAGGCCACGTAACAGAAGGTTTAGTGCCGGTCCTAGGCCTGGGGGTCGGGGACCCCTGGTCTGGCTGTATTCCATGTGGCAAGTTATCTTGGCTGGTGACAAATGAGTCCAGGGCTAAGCCTCAAATGAACCAATTAACTGAAGTCTCCCTGGGCCCAAACTAATTTTGGTGTCAGTGGTCACAGCAAGAAAGTGTGCTTACAACAATGCAAATCCAACGTTGCAGCTCGAAACAACTCAAATTCAATGATTAAGCCACCATCCACGATGGGCTGCAGAAGAGTAGACTTTATGAGTACCTGTAGCATTAATGGCTTCTAGAAAGTACCGAATGCCCTAGTACACCAATTCTCAACTCGAGGGTCCACAGGCCTCCTTGCTGCACTGAGCACCTCAGTGAGAGCACATCACAAGCTCTGCTGCACTGGAGTAGAGAGGAAGGTGAAACCCCGAGCAGAAGTACTGTTCTGCCCCCAAGCCAATCACCTGAAGACAGCTTTTGCCTTTCTTAAGACCTGAATATATAAACTGATAACTTTAGAAAACAAAAACTGCTGGGGGAAATTTTTTTTTTTTTTTTTTTTACAATTTTTTCCTTTTTTTGAGATGGAGTCTCGCTCTGTTGCCCAGACTGGAGTGCAGTGGCGCGATCTGAGCTCACTGCAAGCTCCGCCTCCCGGGTTTAAGCCATTCTCCTGCCTCAGCCTCCCGAGTAGCTGGAACTACAGGCACCCGCCACCACGCCTGGCTAATTTTTTTTTTTTTAGTAGAGACGGGGTTTCACCGTGTTAGCCAGGATGGTCTCGATCCCCTAATGTCGTGATCCGACCGCCTCAGCCTCCCAAAGTGCTGGGATTACAGGCATGAGCCACCACGCTGGGCCATCAACTCCATTCTTGAGCTCCATCTTTTCCACAGTCAGGCAGGCTTTCAAGCGAACTGTACTTGACAAATGCAGAGCAATTAAATTCTTTATTATAAAAATCTCAAAAATGTCCACCTTTACTGGAGACCAATCTTCTAAAAGGTCAAAAGCAATCCTGCTGTTTCTCTCTGAAAGCTAAACTCCTTTAAATGAGAATACGAGAATACCCAGAATTTTATTCCCAGCCTTTGTGTGGAAAAGGCAGTTTGCATTCTTAGGAAACATCTAACTGTTACCTAAACCATAAATATTTCTATCTACTCCATTCAACCCAATTAAAGAAAACAAAATGATGAGAAAAATAGGAGCCGAACAGAAAGAAAATTCACATCATTTTCTACTATTACGAACATTCAAATGGTGCTTCAAATTAAATACTTTTAATTATCATTCTAGCCAGGATCATACTAAGTAGGATCTCATGACAGTCACATATGCAGCGACTTCACCTAAACCGTGGCACTGAATGCTCTGCCATGAGCCACAAGCAGCACAGTGATCATCACCCACAAGGACAGGTTGCTGGGATGAGGCACCCTTTCCTTTCATGTTTAGGTTCTTCTCACCTGCATTTCACTTTCCTAAAGGTCCCAGCCACACAGCGTTCTTTTAGGGATTAAAGTAGTAGGAAAAAAATAAAGAGAACACAACATCCATCCTTAAAGAAAAAAAGTAAATCCACTTTATGGTGGACTTCAGCTATGGACAAATTTGGGATCAGTGTTCTCCAGTCTGAACATAGTCTTCTGTTACCTGGGAGAGAGTGGTCAGGTACTGCCAGCTCAGGGCAGCCAAAAGCATGACAAACGACAGGTAGATGGGGGAGTAGTGGCTTCGGGAAATCAGCTGACAGTTGGGAAGATTCTGCGTCCGGATGGTGGAGATGATCTGCCTTGTTTTGCTAGAAGATGGGTCTGAGTCGGGGATTCTATGATAAATCTGTTAAAGACACAGGAAAAAATGATAAGTGCTATGTGCTTTACATTTTCCATGGCTACTTACAACAACCCTCCACTGGCAGGTATTTTATACCCATTTTACCAATGAGGAAAGGGAGGCTCAGAGAACATGAACATAACTTACCCAAAGCCATCCCAATGATAAGGTGGGGATGTCAGCCCCAGCTCATCTCAAAGCCTGTCTTCCTGAGCAAACAGGAGGCACAGGTGTGCATACTGCACCCAGAGGCCCTCGAGAGCAGCGGCTGAGCCACAATGATCTTCACATCCCCAGCACCTCACAGTGCCAGGCCCAATAAACGTCACCATAGTTCACGTAGACAGGCACAGACTAACATGACGAAAGGGAAATGCTGGAAAGACTGGGCAAAAGCAGCTTAGAAACAAGATGGAACACGCAGTACAGACCACAGCTTGACAAAGGGGGACAGGAACAGAAGCAGGGAGCCGTATGAACCACCCTGGAGTCCTCCCTGTGCCTCCCTCCCCACTCCTCCACAAGCCTCCCAAGTATGTGCAGAATCCATCTCTTCCCCTACATCCCTAAAATTACTGCCTGAGATTAGGCCCTGAGTGCCTCTCAGATGAGCTATCTCAGTCTCCAACGTGAGTCTAAGCTTAAATTCCCAAATCTACCTGTCTGCTCTACACTGTCACCAAGGAGATCTCAAACCTCTGCTTGATGCCTCAGTGGCACCAGCCCTCTCACCTGGAGAAAAAAAGCCTGAGCTCTGTAATGTGTAGCGCAAGGCCACCCATGGTCCAGACCTACTGCACCTGTCTAGTGTCACCAGCCCTTGCCCACCTCCCTCTCTATAGTCTAGTAACAGTTGCCGGGCCAGGCACAGTGGCTCATGTTTGGAATCCCAGCACTTCAGGAGGCTGAGGCATGTAGACTGCTTAAGCTCAGGCGTTTAAGACCAGCCTGGACAACACAGTAAAACCCTGTTTCTACAAAATGTACAAAAATTAGCCGGGCATCGTGGCATGCACCTGTGGTCCCCCAGCTACTTGGGGACTGGGGTGGGAAGATCACTTGAGCCTGGGAGGTGGAGGTTGCAGTGATCCGAGATCATGCCACTGCACTCCAGCCTGGATGACAGAACAAGACGCTGTCTCAAAAAACAAACAAAAACAAAAGAACAACTGTCTACTGTTGTTTCGCCCATGCGATGCTGCTGCACACCTCTGTTCCAGTCTCATACCACTCCTTCTCTCTGGAATGCGCCTCCCACGTCCCTTCAACTGGCTCCTACCTAGGCCCCCAAGTCTCAACTTCAGGATTATGCCTTCTAGAAAACCTGTCTGCAGCTCCAGGTTCAGCCAGGAGCCACCCTATTGTACATACCTTTACCTTTCCACTTACGTGGAAATGGACCATCTGTAGTTTTCACCCTGACTACACCGCACCTACTTACTCACCTTTTTATCTCCAGCCTAGCCCTGTGCTGGCACACAGCAAGCGTGCATCCCTGGCTAATTTTTGCATTTTTAATAGAGACAAGGTTTTACCAGTGTTGGTCAGGCTGGTCTCAAACTCCAGACCTCAAGTGATCCACCCACCTCGGCCTCCCAAAGGGCTGGGATTACAGGCGTGAGCCACTCCACCCAGCCAAGACTTTTCAATACAAGCATCCATAAAGTAAAATATATAGTGATGAGATAATTCTATTAGAAGTCATCCTTCTGCCTGCCCATGTTGCTTTACTGCTTGTCTTAGCCTTCCTCCTAAAAGCAGAACCTGAGGCAAAAGCTTGCATGCAGCCATTTATTTGGAAACGAGTGGAGAAGTGAAACAGAAGGCAGGAAGGCCTATCAAGGATGTGTTGAGTTGGCTTGATCTTGAGGGACCTTCAAGGAGCCTTATGAAAGGTGGCCCTGAGGAGCAGAGAGGTGGCCCTCACCTCCTCTGGGTTGTGGGGACCCACGTGCCAGGCAGTTCCTGCAGCTCGTCAGAAGCCCAAGGGCAGGAAGCGAGAGGTCTCTGGAGCAGAAGGCAAGGTCCAGCCCTACTTGGAAACTGGTTGCTACAGCAGTGGCCGAAGGCCAAGATGAGTGGCAGTGACACACAGGGTCTCACACACTACTCTTGTAAATGACCTGAGTGCCCTGATGCCATCAAAAGCCATAAAATAGGCATTCACTACAATGACCCTGAGAATAGTTTCTCAGGTAAGTAATGGTTTTGGTATATTGTAGATTTTTTTTTTTTTTTTTTTAAGATGGTGTCTCGCTCTGTCACCCAGGCTAGAGTGCAGTGGTGCAATCTTGGCTCACTGCAGCCTCCACTTCCCAGGTTCATGTGATTCTCCTGCCTCAGCCTCCCAAGTAGCTGGGATTACAGGCACCTGCCACCATGCCCAACTAACTTTTGTATTTTTTTTTTTTTTTTTTTTTTTTTTTTTTTTTTTTAGTAGAGACAGGGTTTCATCACATAAGTCAGGCTGGTTTCGAACTCCTGACCTCAAGTGATCCGCCTGCCTCAGCCTCCCAAAGTGCTGAGATTAGAGGCATCAGCCACCATGCTCGGTGACATTTCACTTTTGAAAATTTAAGACTTACCTTCTCAGAGCAACTGTACAAGCAATGTACAAATAAAGGATGATAACATCAGCACCAAACTACACACTTATTCATTCCTGGGTTAATTCTGTGGCTCCTATGACTTTATTTCTTCATTTTACTTTCTCATCTACTTGTACTTTGTTAGCCTGTTGTACTTATAACCATAAGCCATCTTACATCCTTTTGGGAAAAAAGATTTACTTATTTGGAATCAATCGCTGGCACCCAAGTGAATATACACAACCAACAAAAACCCTTTTAGAGAACTCCAAGAGCACTTCAATATGCCCTTCCAGGAGATAAGTAAGGTGAATAAATTAAGAGAAATCTTGGTTGTGACAGTCCCCGGTAATACAATTAGTGGCAAAACTTTTGAGTCCTTTGATGATCATTTCTAACATATAAGCATGACAGCACAACTGGAAGAGCTGCAGTCACTGGTACTCAGACGTGGACTTACCTAAAACAGAGCCGGTAAGGCCAAAGGGACCTTCTAGATGCTTCGTTGCTAGACCAAACCCCACTCTCCATTTACCTGAAGGCACACAGTAGGTTTCTGCAAACTCAATTATTCAGGTCTTAAAAACCTACTAGCCTCAATCAAGGAGTTACATCTGCTTGTCAAGGACAGGTCATAGCCGACTTTTCATCTACATGCCCGGCATAAAGTTGAAGCCAAATACTTGAGGAGTTTGAGAAAGGGCCTTCACCCTGTTGCCCAGGCTGGAGTGCAGTGGTGCCATCTCAGCTCACTACAACCTCCACCTCCCGAGTTCAAGCGATGCTCATGTCTCAGGCTCCGGAATAGCTGGGATGACAAGTGTGCACCACCACACCTGGCTAAATGTTGTATTTTTAGTAGAGACAGGGTTTTGCCATATTGGCCAGGCTGGTCTCGAACTCCTTACCTCAAGTGATCTGCCTGCCTCAGCCTCCCAAAGTTTTGGGATTACAGGTGTGAGCCACAGTGCGAGGCTTGATGATTAAATGACACAGGCTCCTATAAATGTTTACTAGACTGAAATAAGCTCTTGTGCAATGCTGTGCTACATACAGCAGCTCCTCTGTGAGTCCATGTGGTACTTCCACGTCTCAGCAGTTCTACTTACAACTGCGAATATGGAATCAGCTTGATCATCATTTAAAACTCTTGTCTATGAACATCTAAACTTCCATTAAAGCAAAAACATCATTTGGGAAAAAAAGGCAGATTCTGATTCGATAGGTTTGGGTGGGGGCTGGATGTCTTAATGGGCTCCCAGGTGATTCCTGGCAGCTGCTGGCTGGGGACCATCCTTGAGCAGCTAGGCACCTGGGGCTCAAAGAGCCGGATGATTCTCTGACTTAACCACAGGAGGGCACAGGAAGTGTGCAGAGACACGAACAAGCTTCTCCCTGCCAAGGAATTCACTTTGGCAGAGAGGGGAATGGGGGTTTCTGGCCGTTTGGCTGAGCATTTATTTCTATCCCAAAATAGCAGGTTGATCTTCTCCCCAGCTGACAAGCATCCAGGCTGGTTTGAAGCAGAGGCTGCTCCAGAGTGGGGTGAGGGCCCTGCAGTGTGGCCAACTGCTCGTGAAGACCTGGGGCTGCACTCCAAGCCCCCACTAAGCACTGGAGAAGCATGAGGAGGTCCTCTGGCAAGTCCCTTCCAGGTGCATGCTCGCTACAACACTAAGTCCAGAGATCGGACAGAGTCAACGTTTCTTCCTTTCTTACTACAAAGGACAGACTTGGTCAGCAAGGAGAAATAGGATCAGTGTTAATATCTGGACACCAGCAAGAGGCCAGACGACTTGTGGCTTCATACAAAATGTTTTCATTTAAAACTTTACTTGTAAAATGTCCTTACTGCTGAAACTAAAACCATTAACAGGTTCTACTGCTTAAGACTTAGAAATCTTCAAAGATTTCCCTAAATCAAATCAACTTAAGTATTAATATTAACATTTCTCCCCTAATGCCTTGAGTTTTACTGGGATAACAGAACAACTGATGCCCTAAGTCAGAAGTCAGCCAACCTCTTATTCAAGGGCCAAAAAATATTTTCAGCTTTACAAGTCATCGCCTGTTGCAGCTCCTCAACTCGGCCGTCACATTGCAAAAGCAGCCACAGAAGACATAGAAGCAAATGGGTGTGGCTGTGTTCTGATAACATTTATTCACAAAAACAGGGCTCAGCCAACTGTAGACTGCCCACCCTCGCCCTCAAACTATGAATTACAACCAGGATTTAATCCCAATAGTTAAGGAAAAACCAAATAAATCTGAATTTTAATATAGTAATGGAATTGGCCACAAAGTGTTTAAAAACTGGTTTCTAAAACTAGTGATCAAACTGCAAAACCAAAACACTCTCAACTACTTACTACATAAAATGTTTCTAGTTTATATAAAATGAATAAATAGTGCCTAATATAGCAGGATTCCATTTAGAAAGGGTAGTTGAACCCCTTAGAATTGGGGTTAACATCATGGATTCTGATGTCAGACAGACCTGGGTTCAAATTATGACCCTAGCCATGAGGCTGGGGCCTCAAGTTTCCCTGAGATTACTCCTACCCACCTACTTGGTCACTACCCCAGGCACATAGATCAAAGTAAGTTCTGGCTACATGGCAAAATGGAGAGTCTCATTGGTAGCAATTTTTTGGGTCACTGGCTGAATATTTTCATCTAGTGACTACAAAATTTTAGGGTTTTTAAAAGCGATGTGGTCTTCCCTTAGACTTCCATAGGTGCCTCTGATAGAAGTTCTGGACATACAGCATTTCTGTGTCAGATAAAGGTAGGGAGGAAGTATAAGAAGAATGTGCAATATGCAAGAGAAATCAGAAATCGCTATTTTGTATAATTCTATTTAGATGAAAACACTGTTGCAAACCATATTCCTGTAAACGCGTAATAGGGGGACTAGACGGATGCACAAAACCATGAACAGAGGTAACCTCTGGGGAGGGAGCTCAGGCAAAGGAAAAATGATGAGGGTCTTGTATGTTTTCATAAAGTCTACAGTGTTTCATTCTCAACAGGATCACACCTGAGGATCACAGCATCATCCTGGGCCTCTACTCACCAGATGCCAGTAGCACCCGATTCCTGCCGGTTAGGACAATCAAAAATGTCTCCAGACATTGTCCAATGTCCTCTGGGGGGAGGGGAGCAAATCACCTCCATTTACAAACCACTGCTCTAGGGCCTAGAGATTATTAGAGATTACAGAGACTTCTGGTCTCTAAGACTTTTTTTTTTTTTTTTTTTTTTTTTTTTTTTTTTGAGACAAAGTCTCACTCTATCACCCAGGCTAGAGTGCAATGATGAAATCACACAGCTTACTGTAGCCTCGACCTCTCAGGCTCATGTGATCCACCTGCCTCAGCCTCCTGAGTAGCTGGGACCACAGGCGTGCACCACCATGACAATTTTTAAATTTTTTGTAGAAATGGGGTCTTGCTATGTCGCCCGGGCTGGTCTTGAATTCCTGGCCTCAAGTGATCCTCCCACCTTGGTCTCCCAAAGTGCTGGGATTTCAGGAGTAAGCTACTGTGCCTGGCCAGAAATAAACTTTTTGAACCTAGTCAAATATTAGAGATTTGACCTAAGAAGGTAAGTTTTCTTTTTATAGGATGGTTTTGGTATTTGAAATGAAATTTTCCAAAGAAAATTTAGGAAATAATTGCAACTTGATGGCTTTCCTTGGCCTAAATTCCCTACTGTGATTTTTCAATTGAGGCCTGTGGCATAATGAAAGTACCAGACTGGGTGTCAGGACACATGGACGGGAGCCAGAGATCCACTCAATCACGCACTGCATCAGCACAGACAAGCTTCAACCTCACATTCCTCACCAGCAACAAGAAGCTTGGTTGGCCTCCTGCATCATCTTGCAGCTCAAAATCTATGATTCTACTGAGGGGCTCCAACCTACAGCCTTGCTCCATTTATCTCCTCTCACCAGGGTACTACACAGCAGTGAGCAATCTGCTCGGCTCCTGTGAATAGACTTTTTTCCTTATAAAGGATATCAATTCCTGTCTCTTTAGGCCACAGGATAGTGAATTGTTAGGATCATCTAATATCCAAACCTGGTTAAACAGTGACATTACTAAATCATAAAAGTAGCTACAAATTATCCAAGTAGTTAAATAAAAACCCACCTCTTCCATATACTGATATATGATGGCTTTGACAGCTGGCATATTGGTGGCATCCATCATCAGGGTCACTGCTTGCCCTTTCCGAATCTTCACTGCCCCTTTGAACACCTGCTGGTTATTATAACAGGCAGCCAAAGTGGCAATGGCCATCACCTAGAGACAACAAGAAGAGAGGGAAAAAAGAAGAAATGATGTCGTTAGCTATCATTATCACAAAAAGGTAAGAAAACCTTCTGTTGAATGGGCAATTGCTAACTGCTAATCAACTAAGATGGAATCGCTCAAGAAAAAATACCCACGAAGAAAGTATGTCAAGATTTTTACCTTCCCCACTCCTCCCTTTCTCAACAACACACAGAATTAAGCAGTCTAAAACAATTCTATAATGTAGCCACAAAAGTTCCATTTTATTTGGAAAAAGCAAACACAAGTAAATCCAACATTTTCCATGCTAGAGCAATGGATTATCGGATCGGAAATATGTATTTCAAAATAATATATGGGAAGAATTTTCTATTGTAGTTGTTTTTCTATTTTTCCTACAACAAACATAATCATTATATATTTAAAACCAATGCCAGGGGGAGAACAACCAGAAGGGGATTAATTTCCTGTGCTCAAAGGTAAAGTATTTCTAGGTAAATGGAAACATAAGACGGCGATACAGATTTTACTTTCAACCACCATTCGAAGTGGGTCATTAGAACAAGATCAAACCAAGTTCCCAAATCAGTTAAATGCTGTTACTTTCTTCACTTATTTGCAGTAGTATCTGCAATACTTGGTAAAGGCAACTAAAAAGTGTAAGTTCCTAGCATACTGAGAGGCTAGGTCTACCGGACCAGGTTCTTTTTATGCCGGGTCTAGGAAAAGGACAGCAGTAATTAGGTGCTTAATGAAGACTTTTTAATGATAACAGCTTCACCCAGGTTTTACCCAGCACTCCCCATAAATCTAAGCCAAAGACCTTGACTTAACTGTGAGGAAAAGAACCTAACTAGTTTAGGATAGCTGTAGAAAATAGTAAATCCAGAAAGAAGGTTCTGAAAAGGAGCAGGCTTAACCTCAAGGCTGAGCTGAGTTTGGTGGCTGGAAGCAAAGGCGGGTGCTATGAAACTCCCAGCGTAATAAACTGGAGTCATCGTCTTTTTAAGGAATCATATCCTTGAATATAGCACAGCAAAATCCACCCTTACTCCTACCCCACTCCCTTTAGCCCCGTATCCACCCAGAGGAGCCCCGTTCCCTACCTGTGGAATAGCACAGAAGTTAAACACACTCTGGTTTCTGAGTCTCGAAAGGTAGGTGATGACATCTGGGATGTGGTGCAGTGCATTGGTTATAAGTTCATTCAGGCACTGCACGGCCAAGTCAATATTCTCCGGCTTAGCAAAATCCCCTAACTTCTTAACATACCTGCTCCAAACCTAGACAGATAAGAAGATTAAGGAACAGGTCAGCGTGTGCATAGGGGAGAATTTACAAACAATATTAAAGGGTCTTTGTGCATAAGAACTATGATACAGGCTGGGCGCCGTGGCTCACGCCTGTAATCCCAGCACTTTGGGAGGCCGAGGAGGGTGGATCACGAGGTCAGGAGTTCAAGACCAGCCTGGCCAAGGTGGTGAAACCCTGTGTCTACTAAAAATACAAAAACTAGCCGGGTACGGTGGCAGGCGCCTGTAATCCCAGCTACTCAGGAGGGTGAGACAGAAGAATTGCTTGAACCTAGGGGGCGGAGGTTGCAGTGAGTCAAGATCTCGCCATTGCACTCCAGCCTGGGTGAAAGAGTGAGACTCCGTCACAAAAACAAAAACAAAACAAAACAAAAAAAAACACTATGATATACAGTAAAGTCTCTTAGCTGCAGACTCATCTTTCACGAAGATCAAGTTCATTTTAAGCTCCATGCAATAGCTATTTCTGACTACCAGTAAGTGTCCAGTTGCAACCTGGAAGTGAGTTACGTATTGGGGAGCATGTCCCGAGGGACAACTAGTGCAACACTGCACTACTTGGACGAATTCAGGCTAAAGAGGCTCCTGTTAGAGCTACTGGCCTACTTCTGAAAAAAATAACCCAATATACAAAAACAGTTATAATTGTACTGCAGACTAAACAGTAAACCTTCTCAAGATGGCCAGGCCTCTAAATAATGACTAACATTATATTCCTACTCTGGTAAGAATGCTGCTGAAAGGCATAGCTGGGAAATGAGCTGAGTCTATCCTCTAAGTGTATTACACCTCCCTGGATCCTGATAACTTGAAAGTGAAATAAAACCTTTAATTCTAACAGTGGGATTCGGCTTGATGATTTTTAATGATATTATTTAGAGGATTCTCTGAAGCTAGCGAAAGTTCTGGAAACATAGTGTTGATGGTTATATAACATCATTAATGTACTTAATGCCACTGAATAATAGACTTAAAAATAGTTAAAATGGCAAATTCTCTATTATGTACATTTATTATAAATAAAATGTTAAGTATATATACATACAGTTAAAAAGAGATAACAACAAGTGCTGGTGAAACTGGGACTCTCACACTGCTGACGGGAATGTAAAATGGTGGAGCGACCTTGGAAAAGCGTCTGGCAGCTCCTCACAAGGTTCGAGCTGCTGTATGAACCAGCAATTCCACTTCTCAGCATAGACCCAAGAAAAAGGAAAACACACATCTACACAAAACCTTATATGCAAATGTACACAGTACTATTCACCATAGCCAAAAAAAATGGGAAGAACCCAAATATCCTCCAACTGATGAATGGATAAATGTGGTCTATCCACACAGTGGAATAATACTAGGCGATAAAAAGGAATAAAGCAGTGATGCAATGCCCCAGCATGGAGGAGCCCTGAAAACATGCTAGCAAAAGAAGCCAATCACCTAGGACCACATTTGGCATGATTCAACTACTACGAAATGTCCAGAACCTTTACTAAGCACTCTATGCTAGAAGTTCATCTCATTTTATTCACACCACCACCGTGTGGTAGAAATGATGCTATTTTACAGATAAAGTAAGTGAATGAGAAGAGCAGGGCTCTGCTCCTGTGTGTGCAAGATGGTGTGGCTCACGCTCATGCATCACATGCCCGTGGCTGATGTTCTGTCTGGGAGACAATGGAACAGTGGTCAGGGGCTGGCCTAGGAGCCGGGAGACTGAGACTCCACTTCCAAGGCAGCCACTGCCTCACTATACATCCCCAGACAATCCCCTTCCCTTCTCTGAGCCCTGTGTCTGCAAAAGAGGGGTAAGACAAGAGTGGTTTCTCAACCCTGGCTGCACACGAGTCACCTAGGAAACTTAAAAGGCCATGTCTGAGCTGAGGGAAGTGTTTTTTGTTTTTTTGTTGTTGTTTGTTTTGAGACAAGGGTTTTGCTCTGTCTCCCAGGCTGCTAGAATGCAGTGGTGTGATCATGGTTCACTGCAGCCTTGAACTCCTGGGCTCAGGCAATCCTCCTGCCTCAACCTCCCAAGGAGCGAGAACTATAGGGGTGTGCCACTATACCCAGCTAATTTTTGATTTTTTTTTTTTAAATGGAGTCTCACATCAGCCTCCCAAGTAGCTGGCCCTACCAGCGTATGCCACCACACTTGGCTAATTTTTGTAATTTTAGTAGAGACGGAGTTTTGCCATGTTGGCCAGGCTGTTCTCAAACACCTGACCTCAAGTGATCCACTCACCTGGGCTTCCCAAAGTGCTGGGATTACAGGCAGGAGTCACTGTGCCCGGCCAATTTTTACTGTTTTTTTTTTTTTGTTTTGTTTTGTTTTGTTTTAAGAGATAAGGTCTCACTACGTTGTCCAGGCTGGTCTCGATACCCTGGCTTCAGTGATCTTCCTGCCTTGGTCTCCCAGTGTTGAGATTACAGGCGTGAGCCACCTTGCCCAGCCCCCAGAGTAGTTTAAATGTGAATTTTTCTTAGGAGTAAGACTCAGCATCTTTTCAGATTTTTAATAATCATCTGTGTGTCTCTTCCTGTGAACAATCTTGTTCTTATCTCCTTGCCCATTTTTCTGTGGGGCAGTTGGCCTTTTTCTTAACTTTTAGAAGTTTTTTTTAATATTAGGAATATGAACCCTGTATCTGCTCTATGAATTGCAAATATTGTTTCCCTCTGTCACTTTTTTTTTTTCTTGAGACAGTTTCATTCTGCCACCGAGGCTGGAGTGCAGTGGTGTGATTACAACTCAATCCAACCTTGAGCTCCTGCGCTCAAGGGATCCTTGTGCCTTAGCCTCCCGAATACCTAGGAATACAGGTGCATGCCAACATGCCCAGTTAATCTTTTAAATTTAGTTTTATTTTTTCTACTTTCTTTAATTTTTATTTTTGCTCTTTCAGCAGAATCATTTTCTAACAATTTTTTATAGAGATGGTATCTTGCTGTGTTGCTCAGGCTGGTCTTGAACTCCTGGCCTCAGCACTGGGATTATAAGTATGAGACACCACACTTAGCCTCACCCGTCTTTTTAAAACTTTAAAGTACTTGGCTGCAGGAAACACTTTTATGGAAAGCAAAAGGTAAATGCTGGAATAAATTCAGGGAACAGTCATAAAATTTTCTACTTTCCTTCTGAACAAAATCAGTATCAAAAGCTTTCTGTTCCCTGTCCATGTTTTAATTAAAGATCGACCCTGTCCCTTATTACAGACACCTGGAGTTTTTGTCTACCTGCCATCCCTTTCCCCTTCCTGCCGCAGAATTCTTTCTTTGGGGGAAATCCATTCTGTGTGTACTGTGTAGACGTAATCCAGGTGAGGCCAGAGAACTCAGCTGTGTAGCAACAGTAACTGATTCAGGGCTGAGCAGAAGAACCAAGCCCTTCCTCTTCTTTTGAGAGGGAGTCTCACTCTGTCGCCCAGGCTGGAGTGCAGTGGCACAATCTGAGCTCACCGCAATCTCTGCTTCCTGGGTTCAAGCGATTCTCCTGCCTCAGCCTCCCAGGTAGCTGGGATTACAAGCCCTTGCCACCACGCCCGGCTAATTTTTGTATTTTTTAGTAAACACGGGGTTTCACTATGTTGGCCAGGCTGGTCTCGAACTCCTGGCCTCAGGTGATCCGCCCACCTTGGCCTCTCAAACTGTTGGGATTACAGGCATGAGCCACTGCGCCAGGCCGAACAAAGCCATTCCTAAGAACTTTTTGTTAAGCTAGTGCACATGGGTTGTTACCATATCCACCACTTGGAGAAAGACCGTCTGAAAGAAATCAAGGACAGCAAGGCTTGAATATACTGATTACGTGGTGTGAATCCTGGGAGTCAGCCAGTCTACCTGAAGCAAACTCATGTCAAACTATCCTATTTTCCACATCCCCTTATGCTGCCTGGGGGAGGCCTGACTTGTTTTTCTGTCACCCGCAACCACAAGAGTTAAAGGATTTTTCAGAGAATGTCTAAAGTTATTTTCCCCCAAAATACCCTGAATCTGTTACCTCTTGAGGCCAGAACTCTCTTCCTCCTTGCTGGTCTTCCAGATAGTCACGGATGATGTTTGTTTTCTGCAGAAACAGGCCCATAGAGTTGGCACGTTCTGTATCTTCACCAACTAAGGGGTCTTCAAACTCTGAGGCTGAGAAAAGACGGGAAAGGCCAATTCCGACCAGCCCAGCAACATAGTGGCAGTACTGTAAGAGACGATTTTTAAAGCACTTTAATAATGGAATTTTTACTGAAATGGACACACTAGAGATCATTAGCTACAAAAAAGCAGGTTCAAAAGAGAATGGGTAAGAATGCATTTTGATTTTAAAATACAAATATACATACCAGGATTTAAAAAACATTCAAGAAGGATGTGCTCAAAACATTTCACAGCAGTCTCTGGCTGACGGGAATTTGATGTTTTTATTTTTCACTTGTATTTTCCAAATTTCTACAATACACATGTACTGCTACTATAATAAAAGGCTACTGAAAAAAACTAGTAAACATTTTTTTATTTTTATTTTTTTTTTTTTTTTTTGAGATGGAGTCTCATATATTTGCCCACGTTAGACTCAAACTACTGGACCCAAGCAATCTTTCTGCCTCAGCTTCCCGAACAGCTGGGATTGTAGGCAAATACCACCGTGTCTAGCTTTACAATAACTTTTTTTTTTTTTTTTTTTTGAGATCAAGTCTCACTTTGTCCCCTGGGCTGGAGTGCAGTGGCACAATCTCAACTCACTGCAACCTCTGCCTCTTGGGTTCAAGTGATTCTCCTGCCTCAGCTTCCTGAGTAGCTGGAATTAAAGCACCCACCACCACATCCAGCTAATTTTTTATTTTTAGTAGAGACGGGGTTTCACCATGTTGGCCACGCTGGTCTCGAACTCCTGACCTCAACTGATCTGCCAGCCTTGGCCTCCCAAAGTGCTGGGATTACCAGCCCAAGACACCGTGCCCGGCCTAGCTTTACAATAAACTTTTTGATACATAAAACTATGAGAGAAGGCAACGATGAAAGATGGAATATTCTGGTAACAGGAACTAGGACAATACCAACTATGGTTTAATCTTTTTTTGACCAATCTGATAACATGTCAAGATCCGCAGGCCCTCAAAATCATCATTATATGAAAGAACAAATAACTATTTTATGTTCTTGACACTGTTTTAAGAACTCTGCACATTCAGCCGGGCACGATGGCTCATGCCTGTAATCCCAGCACTTTGGGAAGCTGAGACGGGCGGATCACGAGGTCAGGAGATCAAGACCATCCTGGCTAACACGGTGAAACCCCGTCTCTACTAAAAATACAAAAAAATTAGCTGGCCTGGTGGCGGGTGCCTGTAGTCCCAGCTACTCAGAAGGCTAAGGCAGGAGAATGGCGTGAACCCAGGAGGTGGAGCTTGCAGGGAGCCGAGATCGCGCCACTGCACTCCAGCCTGGGCGACAGAGTGAGACTCCGTCTCAAAACAACAACAACAGAAAAAAAGAACTCTGCACATTCAATCCTCACAAACATTGTATCAGGTACATAGCAGTATGATCTCCATTTCAGATGAGGAAACTGAGGCACAAAGAAGTCGATTTAACTTGCCCAACATTGCCCATGTGAGGAAAAAAAAAAAATTAGCCAGGCACAGTGACACAGGCCAGTGGTCCCAGTTACTCAGGGGGCTGAAGTAGGAGGCTCGCTTGAACCCAGGAAGGTTCAAGGGGCTGCCGTGTCTGTGGCAGGGGCTAAGAGTTCAAAACTAGGTAGTATGACTTAAGTGTCAGGCTTTAACAACTTTGCTAAAACTTCCCCTTTTCTTTTTAGTTTTTCTTTTAGAGACAACGTAACTTCCCCTCTCTCAACAGAGATTTCAGTAAATGCAACTCTTAATTGCCAAATACTTTTTTTTTCCGCGACAGCAATTTGTCAAAAGCTGTCCTCCTCTGAAAAGGGTATCCTAAGACAACTTAATGCAATATCCACATACAATAATTGTCTATTAGTTAACTTAAGAAGCAAAAGTAAAGAAGGTAAGCTCTGGAGTGTCATTAGGAAGGGTAAAAGTTAGGAAATGACCGAAGTTCACGCCTGTAATCCCGGAATTTTGGGAGGCTGTGGAGAGGGGACTGCTTGAGCCCAAGAGTTTTAGACCAGCCTGGCCAACAAAGCAAGACCTCATCTCTGTAAAAAATTTTAAAAGGCTGAGTGTAGTGGCTCACACCTGGGAGGCTAAGGCAGGTGAATCGCTTGAGCCCAGGAGCTCAAGACCAGCCTAGGCAACACGATGAAACCCTGTCTCTACCAAAAAATTACAAAAATTAGCCTGGTGTAGTGGTGTGGACCTATAGTCCCAGCTAATGGGGAGGCTGAGGTGAGAGGACTGCTTGAGCACAGGAGGTGAAGGCTGCAGTGAGCCTTGATCATGCCACTACACTCCAGCCTGGGTGACAGAGCAATACCCTGTCTCAAAAATAATAAAAATTAAAATAAATTAGCCAGGCATGGTGGCAACGTGCCTGTGGTCCCAGTTACTCAGGAGGCTGAGGGCAAGGAAGATTGCTTGAGCCCAGAAGGTCAAGGCTGCCTTGTCTGTGCCACTGCATTCCAGTCTGGGTGACAGAGTGAGACCCTGTCTCAAAAAAAAAAAGTCGTCTCTGACTGAAAGTAATACAAAGCCAGAGACTAATCAGGGGGAAGAATGCACAGGTGAAGAGAAAGCACTTGAAATTTGTTCTGGGACAAAAGTAACATGAAAAGAGTGAAATCTTGCTGAAATTAGGTAGACAGAAATTGGCTTTGGACAGCTATACAAAATCTTCAAAAGAATTACTAGAAATTTAAAAAAAAATTAGTATATCTATAGTACTATCCAAAAATATATTTGAAGATAATAGTTCTTTTGGTAGAAATACTCCTAAAATGGAGACTTATATAATTCATCTTCCCCCAAAGTAGAAGAAAAAAAATAACTCCTTGAAATAATTGGCTGGTCATGCCTGTAATCCCAACATTTGAGAGGCCAGAGTGGGAGGACTGTTTGATGCCAGGAGTTTGAGACTAGCCTGGGCAACATGGCAAAACCCTCTCTCTACAAAAAATGTACAAAAATGAGCCTGGTATGGTGTCATGCACTGTAGTTACAGCTACTCGGTAGGCTGAGGTGGGAGGATCACCTGAGCCCAGGAGGTTGAGGCTGCGGGGAGCCGTGATCACACCACTACACACCAGCCTGGATAACAGCAAGACCCTGTCTCAAAAAAAATTTTTTTTAATTCAATTTTATCTGATCAAAACTTCTATTCAACAACCTAAAATTAAGTTTCCTGAATAAATCTGCACAACAGAAAATGAGTTACTATCATAACCAGTGCTGGTTCTTGGCCAGAAGTTTTAACTTCAACTTTATTTTCTTTCAGATGGTGTCTTGCTCTGTCACCCACGTTGGAGTGCAGTGGCACAATCATGGCTCACTGCAACCTTCAACTCTTGGGCTCAAGCAATCCTCCCACACCTCAGCCTCCAGAGTAGCTGGGACCACAGGCACATGCCACCAATTCCCTGCTCATTTTTTAATTTTTTGAAAGACGGGGTCTCGCTATGTTGCTTAGGCTTGTGTCTAACTCCTGGGCTCAAATGATCCTCCCACCTCAGCCTCCCAAAGTGCTGAGATTACAGGTAAACCATAGTACCCGGCTAACTTCACCTTAAATGCAGAAATTGATTTCTAGCAGTCATTGTATGCTGTTAACTTAGGAAGCACAAATCAGCAGTTCCAAAGATAACTGCTGTCAAGTTTTGAGGTTTGAAAAATTAAGAGGCCCAAGACCTTGGACCTACACTAACGTAGTGACCATGTAGCAGCATCTTTTCGGAGATCCTAATTTAAGCACAGTTAAAGGTATGAAATACATCAACACTTTAGATGTCTGAAATGTCTCTGCCTGCTAAATCTGACTGGCTTTAAAATAAATAAATAAAATGTCTTTACTTCCACAGAAGTGATGAGTAAGTCTCACAAACACCATTCCTATGAAAAATAGGCAAGACTCCTAACCCTACCTTATGTTTTGATGTGTAGTTTTAATCTTCATGGTCAATTACATCCCTTTGTCTAGATAAGCACTTCTCTCCAGTACCCTACTCCTAGCCTGGCTGATATCCTACATAGCTGCTGGTTTGGAATTAACTCTGGAATAAACTGTTTATGATGAGACATTCAACCTAAACAGATGAATTGTAAAACCAGAGGGGCTGAAAATACTGGACAACTTTTCTTGTTCTGAGCTTCACTATGAGGACTGCCAGCTCTGTCTAATACATCACACACAGACACTGTTTTATGAGACTAACCTTGTCCCACTCCTGTTCAGAGGTCACATGCTTATCCAAAAACTCTGCCATCCCAATGCCCATTCTCCGGCAAATGTCGGCAATCACTGTTTGGTATTTCTCAGCCAGATTTCTAAACTCAAGGGAGATCTGAAATGGAAACCGTAAAAACACAGAAATCATGAAATATGTACAGACATGGCACCAAAGATCACAAGGCAAACAATGGCGGAATTAATCATGACTGCAATGGTTCATCTATAAGCCTAATTTAGGTCACACATTTTTTTTGTTTTTGTTTTTGTTTTTGAGATGGAGTCTCGCAATGTTGCCCAGGCTGGAGTGCAATGGCACGATCTCAGCTCACTGCAAACTCCGCCTCCCAGGTTCAAATGATTCTCCTGCCTCAGCCTCTCCAGGAGCTGGCATTACAGGCATGCACCACCACGCCCAGCTAATTTTTATATTTTTAGTAGAAGTGGGGTTTCACCATGTTGGCCAAGCTGGTCTCAAATTCCTGACCTCATGATCCACTAGCCCTGGCCTCCCAAACTGCTGGGATTACAGGCATAAGCCACTGAGCCCGGCCTCATGTTTCTTATTATTTCATAAATTTCATAAATATTAAAATAGAATGGTCTAAAAATGCTAATGTTTCTAGATTCAAAAGAAGATTCAAAGTCTCACTACACATTTCATCTTTCCAATGTATAATGAGATGCTTCAACATAAAGCTGGGTTTAAGTTTTTGGGAGAACAGCTTGTTTAGAGAAACCTCATTATGAGAAAGATTCATTTGTGCAAACATGGATCAAGCACTTCCTATGTAACAAGTATCATTCTAGGCACTGGGGATATACATCAGGGCAACAAACAGAAACTCAGACCCAGAGTTGCTTCCAAGATGTCCCAGTAGGAACAGCTCTGGTCTACAGCTCCCAGCAAGATCGATGCAGAAGATGGGTGATTTCTGCATTTCCAACTGAGGTACCTGGTTCATCTCACTGGCACTGGTTGGACAGTGGGTGCAGCCCATGGAGGGTGAGCCAAAGCAGGGCAGGACGTCACCTCATCCAGGAAGTGCAAGGGGTCAGGGGATTTCCCTTTCCTAGCCAAGGAAAGGCGTGAGTGACTGTACCTGGAGGAACAGTATACTCTGCCCAAATACTGTGCTTTTCCCAGTCTTCGCAACTGGCAGAGCAGGTGATTGCCTCCAGTGCCTGGCTCGGGGGGTCCCATGCCCATGGAACCTTGCTTGCTGCTAGCCAAGCAGTCTGAGATCAAGCTGGGATGCTGGAGCTTGGTGAGGGGAAGCGCCTCCCCGCCATTGCTGAGGCTTCAGTACGCACTTCTATGCTCACAGTGTAAACAAAGCAGCAAGGAAGCTTGAACTGGGTGGAGCCCACCGCAGCTCAGCAAGGCCTACTGCCTCTCTAGATTGCATCTCTGGGGGCAGGGCATATCTAAACAAAAGGCAGCAGACGGCTTCTGCAGATTTAAACAGCCCTGCCTGACAGCTCTGAAGAGAGCAGTGGTTCTCCCAGCTCGGCATTTGAACTCCAGTAACGGACAGACTGCCTCCTCAAGTGGGTCCCTGAGCCCCATGTAGCCTGACTGGGAGGAGACACCTCCCAGTAGGGGCCGACAGACACCTCATATAGGTGGGTGTCCTTCTTGGACGAAGCTTCCAGAGGAAGGATCAGGCCGCGATATTTGCTGTTCTGCAGCCTCCACTGGTGATACCCAGGTAAACAGGGTCTAGAGTGGACCTCCAGCAACTCCAACAGACCTGCAGCTGACGGGCCTCTGTTAGAAGGAAAACTAACAAACAAAGGAATAGGATCAATATCAACAAAAAGGACACCCACACCAAAACCCATCTGTACGTCACCAAAATCAAAGACCAAAGGTAGATAAAACCACAAAGATGGGGAGAAACCACAGCAGAAAGGCTGAAAATTCCAAAAACAGAACGCCTCTTCTCCTCCAAAGGAACGTAACTCCTCACCAGCAAAGGAACAAAACTGGATGGACAATGAGTTTAACGAGTTGACAGAAGTAGGCTTCAGAAGGTTGGTAATAACAAACTTCTCCAAGCTAAAGCAGCACGTTCTGACCGATCGCAAGGAAACTTAAAACCTTGAGAAAAGGTTGGACAAATGGCTAACTAGAATAACCAGTGTAGAGAAGAGCTTAAATGACCTGATGGAGCTGAAAACCAAAGTACAAGAATTTCACAAAGCATAAACAAGCTTCAATAGCCGATTCGATCAAGCAGAAGAAAGGATATCAGTGATCGAAGATCAAATTAATGAAATAAAGCAAGAAGACAAGATTAGAGAAAAAAGAATGAAAAGAAATGAACAAAGGCTTCAATAAATATGCGACTATGTGAAAAGACCAATGCTATGATTGTTGTACCTGAAAGTGATAGACAGAATGGAACCAAGTTACAAAACACTCTTCAGTATATTATCCAGGAGAACTTCCCCAACCTAGCAAGGCAGGTCAACATTCAAATTCAGGAAATACAGAGAACACCACAAAGATATTCCTCGAGAAGCGCAATCCCAAGATACGTAATTGTCAGATTCACCAACGTTGAAATGAAGGAAAAAATGTTAAGGGCTGCCAGAGAGAAAGGTCGGGTTACCCACAAAGGGAAGCCCATCAGACTAACAGCAGATCTCTCAGCAGAAACCCTACTAGCCAGAAGAGAGTGGGGGCCAATATTCAGCATTCTTAAAGAATTTTCAACCCAGAATCTCATAACCAGCCAAACTAAGTTTCACAAGTGAAGGAGAAATAAAATCCTTTACAGACAAGCAAATGCTCAGAGATTTTGTCACCACCAGGCCTGCCCTAAAAGAGCTCCTGAAGGAAGCAGTAAAAATGGAAAGGAACAACTGGTACCAGCCACTGCAAAAACATGCCAAATTGTAAAGACCATCGAGGCTAGGAAGAAACTGCATCAATTAATGGGCAAAATAACCAGCAAACATCATAATGACAGATCAAATTCAAACATAACAATATTAACCTTAAATATAAGTGGGCTAAATGCCCCAGTTAAAAGACGCAGACTGGCAAATTGGATAAACAGTCAAGGCCCGTCACTGTGCTGTATTCAGGAGACCCGTCTCACGTGCAGAGATGCACATAGGCTCAAAATAAACAGCTGGAGGAAGATCTACCAAGCGAAAAAAAAAAGCAGGGAATGCAATCCTAGTCTCTAATAAAACAGACTTTAAACCAACTAAGATCAAAAGAGACAAAGAAGGCCACTACATAATGGTAAAGGGATCAATTCAACAAGAAGAGCTAACTATCTTAAACATATATGTACCCAATACAGGAGCACCCAGATTCATAAAGCAAGTCCTTAGAGACCTAGAAAAAGACTTAAAGTCTCTCATTATTATTGTGTGCGAGTCTAACATCCCACTGTCAATATTAGATAGATCAACAAGACAAAAGGTTAACAAGGATATCCAGGACTTGAACTCAGCTCTGGACCAAGCAGACCTAACAGACATCTACAGAACTCTCCACCCCAAATCAACAGAATATACATTCTTCTCAGCACCACATCGCACTTATTCTAAAATTGACCACAGAATTGGAAGAAAAACACTGCTCAGCAAATGTAAAAGAACAGAAATTACAACAAACTTTCTCTCAGACCACAGTGAAATCAAATTAGAACTCAGGATTAATAAACTCACTCAAAACCACACATCTACATGGAAACTGAACAACCTGCTCCTGAATGACTACTGGGTACATAACGAAATGAAAGCAGAAATAAAGATGTTCTTTGAAACCAATGAGAACAAAGACACAACATACCAGAATCTCTGGGACACATTTAAAGCAGTGTGTAGAGGGAAATTTATAGCACTAAATGCTCACAAGAGAAAGCAGGAAAGATCTAAAAACAACACCTTAACATCACAATTAAAAGAACTAGAAAAGCAAGAGCAAACAAATTGAAAAGCTAGTAAAAGGCAAGAAATAACTAAGATCAGAGCAGAACTGAAAGAGATAGACACACAAAAAACCCTTCAAAAAAAAAAATTAATGAATCCAGGAGCTGGTTTTTTGAAAAGATCAACAAAATTGATAGACCGCTAGCAAGAAGAAAAGACAGAAGAATCAAAAAGACGTAATAAAAAATGATAAAGGGGATATCACCACCAATCCCACAGAAATACAAACTACCACTGGAGAATACTATCAACACCTCTATGCAAATAAGCTAGAAAATCCAGAAGAAATGGATACATTCCTCGACACATACACTCTCCCAAGACTAAACCAGGAAGAAGTTGAACCTCTGAAATGACCAATAGCAGGCTCTGAAATTGAGGCAATAATTAATAGCCTACCAACCAAAGAAAGTCCAGGAACAGACAGATTCACAGCCGAATTCTACCAGAGGTACAAAGAGGAGCTGGTACCATTCCTTCTGAAACTATTCCAATAGAAAAAGAGGGAATCCTCCCTAACTCATTTTATGAGGCCAGCATCATCCTGATACCAAAGCCTGGCAGACAAACAATAAAAAAAGAGAATTTTAGGCCAATATCCCTGATGAACGTTGATGCGAAAATCCTCTATAAAATAATGGCAAATTGAATCCAGCAGCACATCAAAAAGCTTATCCACCACGATCAAGTCGGCTTCATCCCTGGGATGCAAGGCTGTTCAACATACACAAATCAATAAACATCATCCATCACATAAACAGAACCTATGACAAAAACCACATGATTATCTCAATAGATGCACGAAAGGCCTTTGACAAAATTCAACAGTCTTTCATGCTAAAAACTCTCAGTAAACTAGATATTGATGGAACGCATCTCAAAATAATAAGGAGCTATTTATGACAAACCCAAAGCCAATATCATACTGAATGGGCAAAAACTGGAAGCATTCCCTTTGAAAACCTGCACAAGACAAGGATGCCGTCCTCTCACCACTCCTATTCAACACAGTATTGGTAGTTCTGGCCAGGATAATCAGGCAAGAGAAAGAAATAAAGGGTATTCAATTAGGAAAAGAGGAAGTAAAATTGCCTGTTTGCAAATGACATGATTGTATATTTAGAAAACCCCATCGTCTCAGCCCTAAATCTCCTTAAGCTGATAAGCAACTTCAGCAAAGTCTCAGGATACAAAATCAATGTGCAAAAAATCTCAAGCATTCCTATACACCAATAACAGACAAACAAGGAGCCAAATCATGAGTGAACTCCCATTCACAATAGCTACAAAGAGAATACAACACCTAGGAATCCAACTTACAAGGGATATGAAGGACCTCTTCAAAGAGAACTACAAACCACTGCTCAATGAAATAAAAGAGGCCATAAACAAATGGAAGAACATTCCATGCTCATGGATAGGAAGAATCAGTATGGTGAAAATGGCTATACTGCCCAAGGTAATTTACAGATTCAATGCTATCCCCATCAAGCTACCAATGACTTTCTTCACAGAATTGGAAAAAACTACTTTAAATTTCACATGGAAGCAAAAAAGAGCCTGCATAGCCAAGACAATCCTAAGCCAAAAGAACAAAGCTGGAGGCATCACGCTACCTGACTTCAAACTATACTACAAGGCTACAGTAACCAAAACAGCATGGTACTGGTACCAAAACAGATATGTACACCAATGGAACGGAACAGAGGCCTCAGAAATAACACTACACATCTACAGCCATCTGATCTTTGACAAACCTGACAAAAACAAGCAATGGAGAAAGGATTCCCTATTTAATAAATGCTGCTGGGAAACCTGGCTTGCCATATGTAGAAAGCTGAAACTGGATCCCTTCCTTACATCTTATACAAAAATTAACTCAAGATGGACTGAAGGCTTAAATATAAGGCCTAAAACCGTAAAAACCCTAGAAGAAAATGCAGTCAATACCATTCAGGACATAGGCATGGGCAAAGACTTCATGACTAAAACACCAAAAGCAATGGCAACAAAAGCCAAACTAGACAAATGGGATCTAATTCAACTAAAGAGCTTCTGCACAGCAAAAGAAACTATCATCAGAGTAAAAGGCAACCTACAGAATAGGAGAAAATTTTTGTAATTTATCCATCCAACAAAGGGTAGTATCCAGAATCTACAAAGAACTTAAAAAAAATTTACAAGAAAATCAACAACCCCATCAATAAGTGGGCAAAGGATATGAACAGACACTTCTCAAAGGAAGACATTTATGCAGCCAACAGACATATGAAGAAATGCTCATCACCACTGGTCATCAGAGAAATGCAAATCAAAACCACAATGAGATACCATCTCAAGCCAGTTACAATGGCGATCATTTAAAAAGTCAGGAAACAACAGATGCTGGAGAGGATGTGGAGAAACAGGACTAAATTTACACTGTTGGTGGGAGTGTAAATTAGTTCAACCATTGTGGAAGACAGTATGGTGATTCCCCAAGGATCTAGAACTAGAAATACCATTTGACCCAGCAATCCCATTACTGGGCATATACCCAAAGGATTATAACTCGTCCAACTATGAAGACACAAGCACATGTATGTTTACTGTGGCACTATTCACAATAGCAAAGACCTGGAACCAACCCAAATGTCCATCAATAATAGACTGAATAAAGAAAATGTGGCACATATACACCATGGAATACTACACAGCCATAAAAAAAGGATGAGTTCATGTCCTTTGCAGGGACATGGATGAAGCTGGAAATCATCATTCTGAGCAAAGTATCACAACGACAGAAAACCAAACACTACATGTTCTCACTCCTAAGTGGGAGTTGAACAATGAGAACACATGGACACAAGGAGGGGAACATCACATACCGGGGCCTGTTGTGGGGTGGGGGGCCAAGGGAGGGATAGCATTACGAGAAATACCTAATGTAAATGACGAGTTGATGGGTGTAGCAAACCAACATGGCACATGTATACCTATGTAACAAACCTGCACGTTGTGCACATGTACCCTAGAACTTAAAGTATAATAAAAGAAAAAGAAAAAAAAAAACTCAGACCCTTGAAGAGCTTAGATTCTAGTGAGCAGATCTGCCAACCATTTTATCTCATTAGTTACCCAATTTATATTATGAAGCTATAGAGTTTCTCTCACTATTAAGGCTATACTTTTAAATTCATTAAACAACTCAGTATGAGGCATGCTGCCCAATACTTTTTCCATAGTCCAAGCCCTAATGTAAAAAAGTTGAATTGATGTTTTTAAAATTTATTGTTACTGCCCAAATATCTTGTTTTAAGTTCAAAGAATTGTTTATAGGTTAGCAAAATACAATACAAAAACACCATGGGAAGTCTTAAAACATGAGAGCCTACAGATAATACTGCAAACAGTGAAGAGATTTGGTTAAACATTGAAAGTATGCAATATACCTGGTCTGTGTTTACAGAAAAGTTAGAAAAACTTCCTCGGAATACACCTAAAATTAAGAGCCCAGAGGAAAACCAGGTGGCCGGCTGATTGCAACATACCAGGAATACACATAATTTAGGATTTCTGATTAACATCAACTGTCAATACCCCCATGTCCCTCCAAAAAAAAAAAAAAAAAACCTATAAAATCAATCTGGTACTTCCAGAACTTTCCAAAAAGTTTTTCTTTGCACAACAGCTGTTCAAGCCAATGTCAAAAGGTAATTCCTTCTTGTGGCTGAAACAAACCAGTGATTCTACAAGAGGTTATTAGAATCCCTGAATCTCCGTTGGACTCTGCTCATTCCACAGATCCTTGGTTAGACCAGTTCTATTTATTAGAGAGGAAAGGTCAATGAGGGTGGGAAGGAGCTTAGACTCCTCCAAAACACTTTCACTTCTGAACTTCACCTATCCTTCCAACGACTTTTTATTATTTATTACGTAATTGTACAGTTCTAAAAGTAAAAACAAAAATATACAGGAGAAAGTGACAATGAAGGGGTCCACGTTTTCCCCAGAAACCCAGAGGATGGACAGGGCTTTCCTGACTCCGCACTCAGTGCCCAGTTTCATATGTTCCCCGGGTACGACCATAAGCCGTGACATGTGAATTGAGCCAGGAGGGCTTTTTCCGCTTCCAGGTAATTCTGTTTCACAACACAGTAGATTTCTATGTTCTCAGATCACTTTCTGATGGTTCCAAGTACAAGAAGGAAGGTCCCAGAGCGAGTTCACAGGGATAATGGAGAAAGGCCAAATCCCACATAGAGGGTAAGAGTAGCAGGGAATACAGATACAAATTCCTCTGATTAGAAACCTTAGAGGTAGTAAAGTATGCGAGTGACTCAGCACAAGAGATCTGAAGCCAGACCTTCCAGATTCATTGATTCTGTCACTTAACTTCACGGGTAATCCTAGGCAAAGTACTTAATTTCTCTGTGCCTCAGTTTCCTCATCTAGATAAAATGTAGATAACAGTACATTATGTACTAGGTAATTTCCCTGTTAAACGATATTATAGATCAAATAACACAAAGAGTAAATTAACGATGAAATATATTTAGTAAGTAACTCATAGTAAAATGCTCAATAAGTGAACACTATTATTGCTATTATCATTTAAAAATAAGGCTGTATTATTACTTAAGCTATGTTTACAGGTAGACTTCTAAGCCTTCTAGCTTTCCACTAGTACCAGGTGAGAAAGATACGTGCTCATGTACTGTATAATGATGTTTCAGTCAACGGAGACTGGAAATACAATGGTGGGCCCTTAAGACTGTAACACCCTGTTTTTACTATACCTTTTCTATGTTTAAATACACAAATACTTACCACTGTGCTCCAATTGCCTACAGTATTCAGTACAGTACCATCCTGTAGAGATGTGCAGCCTTGGAGCAATGGCCTGTACCACAGAGCCTACGTCTGTAGTAGCTATGCCATCTTGGTATGTGTAAGTACACTCTATGATGTTCACAGAATGATGAAATCATCTATCAATGCGTTTCTCAGAATGTATCCTGTGGCCATTCATTAAGTGATGCATGACTGTACTCTAATCGAACCCCTAACATACAATGAGATTTCTAGAAAGCCTGACTTGAACTGGTATCAACTAATGATCACTAAAGTATAAAGGATCAGGTTCAATCTACTGTACATCGAGGCGGAAGTCACTGGGTTAGAACACTGTATTGAGGCTTATTCCTAAATTCTGCAAGGCCTGGGATAAGAGGACAAATGGAGGCCCACATACTATATGTAGCTAAAAATTTAAAAATGATCAATCGAGCTAGTAACTTAAGTAAAATATATTGTATCCTCCTGCACTGACAAACTTATCTTTGTAACAACCTGGTTGATTCAGGTTTGAATTTAGAATTCTTAGTCCCTCAGAGTTTTATTCCAGAATGCAGCAGGGCACAGACAGCTGATCCCCATATCCCAGGCTCTTCCCTTCCACTGCTTCCTGAATCCCGCTCTCTCCAGCACTGGGAGGCACCTCACATTCATTTGAGAGGATATCCCAGCCCTCGGTGCCAGGATCCATCCACAACACTCCCCAACACAGCCCTTGGCCATCACTCAGGCCCAAGGGCACAGTCAATGGTGGCACGTTCCCACCTGGAGGAGATGGACTGACCTTAGGAAATAGACTGTGCGGACGCAGACGTGGGCTCAGGGATTTGGGGCAAGGAACTCCAGATGTCCAGAACGTGGTACAGAAGGAGAGCCCACGAGAGCTGAACAAGCACATTCCCATGGCCCCAGTGATCCCTCACCCCTTTGGGAGTGAGGGGGCCTAGAATGGGGCACTCTGAAGTGAGGAGTTTCACTTGCCCCAGTCTAAGAGCAGTACTGTGTGTGAGGCCAAGGTATCAGTCCTCTTTCACACTACTTGTTCCATCCTGGGACCTCTTAGCCAAAAGCTGATTGCAGGCCTAGCCCCAGACAACTGGTTTCAAAGACATACTGAGCTATATCAGCACATACACAAATCACTCCTTAAGAAGACAAGGCACTGTTAATTCCCATACAGTCCCATCTCAAACTGAATCACAGACTGGAGGGACCTACAACTCAAGTAGCTTAAAATTATATATGCACGCAAAACACACAACTTAGTACATCTTCATATTCGTAAGGATACAAAAGGTGAACAACAGTGAAAACAGCCGTGCCTGGCTTACGCCTTCTGCTCCCTTTTACTCTTCCCGGGGCAACTGTGCTTTCAAGAGGATGGAATCTCTAACTCTACTACCCAAAAAAGAAAACGATGAGTTCAGTGTTCACATCTGAAACCTTCCAGAACTAAGCATTATTTTTCCACTGGAACACTGTATGAACACAGGAAGACACTGAAGTTTCACAAACATGTTGGAATATCATCTGGAAATCTGACGGCGATATTCCCCAAAATTATGTTAGCATTCACACACTTTCATATTCCCTCACTTCTGCTGAGGGGATAGGGCTGCCTTGACTTAGCAATACCTAACACATTTATCCCATGCCCCAGAAATTTTTTAATTATTATGAATCCACTCAAGTCAAATGTAATTTGGCTGTTTCTAGAGGCTAGGTCCAGCTAGAATAATATTAGTTGTTTTTAAGTGAGAATGCACTTCCATTATAAATGGGGTATTACTACTTCCTCTGCTTCAGCAGAATTCAGAGGCCCATCAATGAATCGCCACAGATTTCCCATCAAAGGAAACCCATCCTCTGGTCATCAGGTGTCCTGTGAGAGTCAAATCACCAGGACCTTCCCAGGGTTACAGTTCTAATTCTCACCCAGCTAGTCGTCATAAATTTTCTTTCTTCTCTTGAATTGTACTGTATAAACTCGAATTATTCTTCAGCTATTTTCTTCTCATTTGTATTATGTTGTACTATATTTGGGCTTTGGTACTTAAGGTCTGATCTCAGCAATCTGAAACAGCCTTTGCACCGCAAGAGTCTTCCCCAAACATTCCTTTTTTTTTTTTTTTTTTTTTTTTAAATATTGCTCCCATTATGCCCAAGAATCAAAGATTCTTTTGTTTGGGTGGAGGACTCTCTGTCCACTTAGCTCCCTCCCAACTCAGCTACAGATTAGGTTTGTTTCAATAACATAAGGACTGTTCTCCAAAAGCTCTGGCAACTGTGGACAAAAAGGGCTTCTTCGAGCTATTACACAACATGTGACTTTGCTAAATCAAACCTTTATTTATAAGATATGGAAGAATCAGTTATTTGTGTGATAAGACATGCGAATTCTAGGATAGTAGGACCTAGGCAGATGTCCACATGAACTTGAGGGACTTTAAAAATCTTAGGATTTTAACTATAACCCACTTTACTCCAACAAAATAGACCAAATAGCTAATACTTACAGAATACTTACCCTGTACCAGGCACTAAGTACTTTATATGTGCGAAATTAATCCTCTCAGCTCTAACTTTACAAACGAGGAGACGGAGACACAAAGCAGATAAGGAACTTGCCCAGGATCACAGGTGAAGTGGCAGAGGCTCGCCCTAGCTGCCAACAGACACCGCCCCCATGCCAGGCTGCTGCCCATCGTGAGCAGCAGTCCCATGCTACCAGGCTCCGGGTAGTCAAGAGGCCAGCAGTGTTACAGGTAGGCTGCATCATACAGTCGGCAGGCTTTTGTGAGCTAGCCTGAGAATCTTTCACAACACTAAAATTTGACTGCGTCTTCCCACAGGAAGAAACACTGGACTTCCAATACTGATAATAACAGCAGTAGCTAACATTCTAAGAGCATTACCTACGTTAATTCTTTGAATCCTCAGAATACCATGAGGTAGGTGTTATTATTACCCCTATTTTACAGATGAAGAAACTGAGGCACAGAGAGTCTTTGTAAGTAACCAACAGTTTAGTAAGTGGGAGATTTGAGATTCCAACCCAGGCAGCCTGGCTTCAGAGTCTTGGCTACCGGAGTTTTTAACCCTCACATTATGCTGCCCTCAGAATGCTTATTTAACCTTTCTCCACATGTATGGAGGCTACCGGACAACCACGTTAGCAATTATGAACACAACAGTCCGTAGACAAGATGCGTAACCCCACTCACCGTTGGGAAGTCCTCCAGCACCTGGCGATCCTTCTCCTTGCTCTCCATGAACCGCCAGTCTGGTTGGTAAAGGAAAGAGTGAAAGTTGTGTAACAGCGGGACCTTCTTTTCCACACTGATGGTCATGTCATCTTCCAGTGTGTCCAGAGCTCGGAGAACCAGATAAAATATGCACACTGCGTTGCTGTAAAAAAGGGAAAACTATTAATATATTGGAACAAACAGCCAAAGATTTTTTATTTTAAAATAACTTGTGCCTGGCCACTTTCTAAACCCATCTCACCCTTAACTCTAAAGAACTATAAGGATATCCAACGCTTTTCATACTTAACGAAAGTTACATTAGTTTTCCTTCCTTACATGAGAGTAATGAACTTCTGTAGTTTATTAAAAAGCCTACTAGTTGAATGTCACCACTACTCCCAGAAGTGAGTTGCATTTAACCAATGTAGAACTATGGAGACCAGAAGACCAAACGTTTAGACCGAACTAATATGTAGCAAATAGAAAAGAAAGTCAAAAAACACAGTAACTTCTCAGTATAAATACGATCATACATAAAGGCAACTGGTCTAAGTTCATGGGTGTAATGTGCACAGAGGCAGCTTCAAAAGAATCAACCCAATATGCTAGAAATAGAAATGCAAAGTTGGATAAGGGAAGCCGAGAAATACACGACCTGCTCACAGGCAGGTTCAGCTGCCAAGACTAAAAAAAGTTAATAAACATCACCCCCTCCCCCCTCTTCTCTGAAAGGCTGGGCCCGCAGGGACTCTACTAGATGGCAAAGAGCCTGGAAGGGCTTTCTAAAGTAAACACGTAGGGCCGGGCTATGTTCTGGATAAGCCACAGCAACGAGGCTGCAACGCTGAGCGCTATATCAAAAGGTAGCTTCCAACACACTCAAAGGTCCCGGACAAGCTTTCCTCCAAGCCAGAGGCGCTGCCTCCATCACTCACCGCATTTCCCCATCCAGCGCCTGGATAACAGCTGCGAAACTGCGACTGGTCTGATTGAGATACTTGTAGCAAGTTTTCAGGCTGCTGCTGAGCGAGTCCTGCGGGCAGACAACACACACGGCGGTGGGAGACGTCGAGGAGCAGGAGTGGGAGTGGGAGTGGGAGTGGGAGTGGGACTGGGGCAGGCGGCTCCACAGCCTGCCGCCCTCTCCCCGAGGCCAGTCCTTGCAGGGCCAGGCGGCAGGAGGCAAGCAGCAGCCCCGCGGGGCGGTGCCTGCGCCCGGGCCCCTGGGCGCCGCGGCGGGACTCAGCACCAAGGTGCGCTTGAAGAGGGCCATGGCCTTGGTGCCGCAGGCGGCTGCGGCCATGGGAATCGCGGACCCCGCGGAGTTTTTCCTCCATAGACTCAAGCAGATCTGGGAAGCGCCCGACGAGGGGCGGGACGGGCTCGCCCTCTACTCGAATACGCGCTGGGCCGACCCACAACGGGCCCGCCCCGCAGCCCCGCAGCCCCGCCCCCGGCCTCCCGCTCCGCACCGGCGCCTCCTCCCGCTGTTGCCCTTCTCACCAGAACCCACTGGCCGCTAAGGGAACCCAGCGCACTTCCGAGCGGCTCGCTCGTCCTCCCAGTGACAGAGTCTCCCTAGACCAAACTCTACTCGGGCTCCGCTGAAATCCTCTTCCCAATAAAGCCTGGACTTTGTACTCAACGCATCTGTCTTTGCATCGCCCAGTTTTACCAAGAATCCTGCTAAATTGATTTGACCAGAATCCCCCAACTTCAGTATCTGATCACCCTAGACAGCCGATTAGGTTCCACATCCCCCTCCATCCCTCAGGTGATGTCTGATAACTCTGGCCTGCCTTCAGCAAGAACGCACACCCCTGTGTTTCCTCGTAATAATTTTCCATCCACTGACATCCGGCTCCCCCGCCATCAATTCCTACTTTTCTTTGTATTCGCAGTGGAGCAGTTCTGTACCGAGGTCTCTCTCCTCTTACTGCAGTAGTTTTTCTGAATAAAATCTGTTTTGCCGTTTTACTACCACTGTCCAACCCTGGTTTTTTTATGACACCTATTAAGCCTCTACTATTCTCTAGAAAGCCAGCCATTCCTTTCAAGATGTCTTCTCATCTTTCCCTTCGAAATTAATGCAATGCAGCGCACTGACCTTTACTCTTCCCTAAAGCAAACAAGGACTGTGTTTTTCCAAAAGGGAGAAAAAGCCTGATTTTAAATGCAAGCATATCAGAAAGAGTTGCTGTTTGTACTATGTATTTTTTCATGGACTATTTTTTAGAGCAGTTTTAGGCCCACAGGGAGTGGAAAATACGGCGGGTTCCTATTTGTCCCTTCCCTCCCCTCACCCCACAGTCTCACAACAGTTCTTTTTGGGAGAGACTGGAATCATTTATCCAACAGGGCCGGGTGCAGTGGCGCACGCCTATAATCCCTGCACTTCGGAAGGCCAAGGTGGGAGAATCACTTGAGCCCAGGAATTTGAGGGCAGCCTGGGCAACATAGTGAGACCTCGTGTTCATAAAAAAGTTTTTAAAAAATTTTTTAAAAAGCCAGGTGTGGTGGCGCCCACCTATAGTCTAGCTACTGAAGACTAGCTACTCAGGAGGCTGAGGTGGGAGGATCGCTTGAGCCCAGGAGATACACGTTACAGTGAACTATGATATTGTACACTGCAGAGTGGGACCCCATCTCAAAAAAATAAAAAACAAATATCCAATAGGAGTGGTTAAAAAAATATGGCATATCCACTTCTAGGAAATTCCATAGTCACTTCAGAATGGTAACAGTGAACCCTGGGCTCTGGTGGGAGGTTTAAGTGAACTATGTTGTTTTTATTTGTATATATTTCCTATCATGAATACGTATTTTGCCAAAAGGGTCAATCTTTTAAATCACATAATCCTGAAAAAGTCATTTTATTGCCATAAAAAATATTAGTAAAAACAAGTATTTACTGGGCACCATAATATTAGTAAACTTCAGCGTCTGGCACATAAATATATTCAGAAGTGGTGTCATGAATAAATGAAGACATTCATCGAGGATTTTAAAACAATTCACCAACTCCTTCCTTCTCAAAATATCGAGAGGCAGGATTTCAGAGTGAAAGAAACAGAATACCCGCTCTGGACTGAGCTCCAGAGCAGCTCTTCACATAGCCTGACCATTACCAGGCTACAGCAGGAAGTGTTTTTAACTGCACTGCCAAATGTCATGTTCAGTCCAACTAACAGTTTCGGGGTGATGTTAAGCCAGGAGTTTCAATCAATGCCAAGACACGGTCCCCCTAGATTTAAACCCCAACACTCTTCAAGAACACTACCCCTCCTTTCCATACAGCCCTCCATTCTGAAAGAGAGCAAGCCAAGCCACTTACTCCTCCAGCTCGTACCCCTGCTGCTCTTTTTCCTGTCACCTATTTGTTTCAGTCCCTTACCTTGTAAACAGGTTTCTTCAAATCACCAAGAACAAAACAGGAAGACACAACTAGTAAGCATACTATGGAAAACAACACTCACTAAAAATTTCTACTGCTTGATTCCCATGAGCCAGGGGAGAAAGCAAGCTCAGGCTACTGGTGCCTGTCCCTCTTGGGTTTATCTATTGCAGTCTGAGATTCAGCACACTCCCAAAAGCTCGCAAGCGGGAGAAAAACAGGGATGGAGGGAATTTAGAGGAAGGGTGTGGGGGTGGTCAGGAAGACGACAAGACCAGACTCCCAGGAAGGGGCTCCAGCCTCAGGCTGAAAGTTCCACAAGTGAACAGCTACCAGCTACCAGCCCTCCACGGAGCCTTCCTCACTTTAAAATAGAATAGATTTCTCCAGGAGGGGAAAAAAACCACAAACTTGAGAACTGAATTTACATAAATTTACATAATCAGATTGATAACCACCATTTATCAAGCACTTAACTCCATGCCAAGCACAATGCGGACATCACCTGTGATCCTTACTCAATCAACCCTTTAAGGTCTCACAGGCCCATAGTCCACTGAAACATCTGTGG